>NC_000001.11:62281107-62584138 GCF_000001405.40 Homo sapiens | reverse complement strand
TCTTTATATAAATAATAAACTTTGAGTTGTTTTACCAGTTGTGTTGATGGAATTGTCTGACATGTTCACATATCTATTCATGCATATGTAAAGATGGCTATACAGACTTTAAAAGTTTAATCTCTGGCTAGATAACACTGCAAGTCTGTCTCACATAGGAATTATAGCTATAACCTTGACATTGAGCCATTTATCTAATCAGCTGCTCTGATTAACGACAGTATTCCTGTTATTACTCCAGAAGTCAAGAGACAGATATACAAGGCTGAATTACTTTATCTATAAACTTATTCCAAAAGTAATATTGTATTCTTTTTAATGTGGTGGATTAAAAATATATATATATGCAAAAATATAAGAATGGAGCTCCTCCTCTATTGTAGAGTAGCTTGAAGGAAATATTAGAAGCAAAGGATACATAGCTTGACCTAAAATAGGATTTCTGATATCATATATAATTTATATTTGACTTTCAGAATGACTCTGCTGTTTTAGTGTTGAAGCCAACAATTTGTATAGTAGGTTTATGCCACTATTTATATTTCTTACATAAGTTCCAAATAATATGCTACATCTGATTTAAAAGTGAATTCTTCACCTTCTTTAAGAAAAAGGAAAGAAATGTATCTAATTTCCCAGTAGATATAAATAAAATTGATAGAAACTTTTGAAATATTTAAATGTCAGATGGGTCTGTTGTTGAAAAGAAACTTATAGTTAAGCAATTGAACTTTTTGATGAACGTCAGTAGGCACATTGTTCTTCATTGGGCTGATTTTGCCCATTTTTCTCAAATAGTTATTAAATCAGACAAATTCTTACATAGTTATGAAACATCCAGCATTTACTACAACAAAGTTTCAACATGCTGTTATTTGTTTCAGGTAATCTTTGGTAAATCTAGCTGTTCAGAATTTTCAAAGGAAGCCTATACAGCCGTAGTATATCATAACAGGTACTGAATTCAAATATTTCTTTCAAAGTTACTCACTTCTCAGTGGCATTGTTAGCACTCACATTAGTGTGTTTACCAAATGCTTTGCTGCACTAAATGTGCCAAATTCAAGGCTGACATCAGAGTTATAATTTTCAACCTGTGGATGCACAGCCATTCTCTATTGACATCCCAAATATGACTTTGTACACCAAACATCTTTTCTATCGAATTCTCTGATCCTTTCATTTTTATTATATTGTTATTGATTATCATTGTGGCCGCTGGTCCTTTGGTCTTTCCCAGTTATTTCCACCTGACACTTTGTAGTAACTTTACCCTTTACTAAGCTTGAACACATTAGTCAGTTAAATTGGTGATGTTACCAGTATCCATTAATTCTTTGATTTAGTGACTTGTCATTTTTCTTCCTTGGGAAATTGCTAACTTTGGATAACCTTTAATTTCTTCTTTCTTTTGGGGGGATTATTGAATACTGTTGGGGAAAAATCACAAAATTGTACTAATCAGGACTATCACAAATTGATGTTATTGTATCATATGATAGGGCTACAGCAATTCATTTTATCTTTTTTTTTTTGGGGCCCACAGCTCTTTTATAATCTTTTTTTTTTTTTTTTTTTTTTTTTTTTTTGAGACGGAGTCTCGCTCTGTCCCCCAGGCTGGAGTGCAGTGGCGGGATCTCGGCTTACTGCAAGCTCCGCCTCCCGGGTTCACGCCATTCTCCTGCCTCAGCCTCCCAAGTAGCTGGGACTACAGGCGCCCGCCACTACGCCCGGCTAATTTTTTGTATTTTTAGTAGAGACGGGTTTTCACCGTTTTAGCCGGGATGGTCTCGATCTCCTGACCTCGTGATCCGCCCGCCTCGGCCTCCCAAAGTGCTGGGATTACAGGCGTGAGCCACCGCGCCCGGCCTCTTTTATAATCTTATTGTTTTAACACTTTGCCTTCATTTAGCAGTAGCTACAGGAGTTTCTTCTAGCTCCTGCTTCTTTTCTATGTGCTTTACTCTCAGCATTCCTATTTATCAAGACTATCCAACTTGACGTGGTCCATCAACTTCTCTACTCTTCATCTCAAATTCTCTATACTGATTTGCCTTTCCTTCTGTTTCAAGGGGAGTGATGGCCTACTCCCTGTTAAATGTGAATCTTTTCACCTCTGCTTTCAAATGATCCTTTTAACCTCTTCCAGAATATAAGTCAATCATTTATCCGGTTTCTTGCAGCATTAGTCTCCTGCTTCATTGGCTCTGTCTCTTATTCTCAAAAAGAAGCTTCTGTTTCCATACTTAAAAACACAACAGTCCTTTCTTGGTGCTGTTGTATAGTATGTATTTTCCTTGCCCTTCTTAAAACTTTCTTCTTTCTTGTCTTTATATTGTGGCCTTGTCTTGAGCTTCCTTCTACCTCTTTGAACACTTCTTTTTTTTTTCTGTAGTATTCTTTTTCCCGTAAGTGTAAGGCATTCCACACAAAACACTAACGTTTTGCCCTTAACCCTCATTCTTAATATATTGTTTTCTTAAATAATCGTACATGTATCTCTCAGAGTTACATTCAGTGAAAATGCTACTGCTTTAATATTTATGTGGATTGTTTCCAACTCTATTTTTAGTAATACCTTCCTTCTGAAGTACAGATATATATTTTTAGTGGCCTACTGGACATACTCATTTGGATGCCCTGCTGTCTTCTCTGTGTTCATATATCTATCCTTGACTCTTGTCCTGACCCTATGTCTTTCTTACTCTCCATTTTTATTAATGATACCACCATTTTCCAGTTACTCTGGCGCAAAATTTAAGACATCTTTGTCTTTCCTCTTCTCTAATATTCAATCATCTGTTAAGTCTTGCTGATTTCTTTTCTGCTTTATTACTAAACATAACCTGTGCTGTCCTGTTTCTGGGCCATTCTTGGTTTTTTTTCTATTATAATACCAAATCCCTTTACTTATTGAACTCCTACTCATTCTTCAAGGTCCATATCAAATATTACCTCCTAAGTTACAATTCCCTGATCTCAAACTTGAAGTAATCTGTTCAGCTCTGTTTTTGAAGCACATAACCCTATATGCTGTATACCAGGGGTCGGCAAAAATTTTCTACAAAGGACTGGATGGTATATATTTTAGGCCTGTGGTTATATGGTCTCTCTTGCAGCCATTCATCTATGCCATTATAGTGCAAAAACAGCCATAGGCAGTAAGTCATGTTACAAGTAAATGGGTGTAGCTGTGTTCCAATAAAGCTTTATTCATGGACATTGAAATTTGAATTTCATATTATTTTCACATGTTGTGAAATATTATTCTTTTTTACCCCCAATCATTTAAAAATGTAAAAACCATTCTTAGTTTGCAGGCTATACAAAACCAGGCAGTGAACTATTTTTAGCTCATAGGCCATAGTTTGCCAACCCCTGTTTTATAGCATAGCTATTGATATATATGTGTCTTACTTATATTCCTGCTGTTGCCTAGTTTTTGAGGGAAGTTTTTTTTTAATCTTCATCTTTAAAACCACCACAAAAGTAATGCAATGTTTAGCCAAAGGTGGGCAATTAAACCTACTTATTGAATGAATAACTCTCTTAGATATTTAATTTTCAACAAAAGTCTTCACATTACATGATTTTTAGGACAGAAGTGAACTAAAACACTGAATACCAAGAAATATATTGATAAGGAAGATAGTAATTTCTAAAAATTATCTCATTTTATTGCTAGGTCTTTATTTTTGTTCTCAGCATTAGTGGAATTAAAATGACTATGCCATCTGACATTGTTGGTAAACTCAACTTTCTCATAATTCAGTGGTGATTTGGTGGGATTGGTAATAAGATGCCTAGTGTCTTATTTTTTTTCACTGAAGTCATCAAGTTCTCAGATGGCTAACATTAGCTATCTTTCTTGTTTATTATCAAAAGCCTTGTTCTACTTAATATTCCTGTGTTCAAGTCTATACCTGTTAATGTTTTTGAGGCTTATTTGAGATAGAAGGATATTTGACCTATTAACATCTAAGGAAGAAAACCTGATTGGTGGGACAGACCTCGCTTTAAAGATAGTTGGAGCAATATGGTTTGGTTGCATTTTTGTTGAATGTAATTCTGAGAGATACTCACTGAATATGGAAGGTTGGGATGCTAAGGTTTTATCCCTTTTTGTTATGAATAGCAGCCGTGCTTTTCTATAAAAGTGCCCTCTTGGGATTATTCTCAATGAATATTGAGAAGAAAGTGTCATTGGTTTGGTCAAACAAGATATTTGATGTATTCTTAAGAGTCTGGAAGCGCTTCTAAACTGAGGCAAATGCAGTTTGTGGGCGTTTCCTGATTTTACTGGTTTTTTTTGTTTGTTTTAGTGGTCAATTCTAGTCCATATTTAGGATTTAGGTAACTTTTTTTATTTCTTCAACAGTGAGATGGTTGATATAAGACAGTCTATAGAGCAAAACTTGATCTTTTTTTTTTTTTTTTTTTTTTCGGTCTCACTCTGTCACCTAGGCCAGAGTGCAGTGGCAGGATCATAGCTCACTGCAGCCTTGAACTCCTGGACTCAAGTGATCCTCTCATCTCGGCCTCCCAAGTAGCTAGGACTTTTTTAAATTTTTTGTAGAGATGAGTCTGGCTATGTTGTGCAGACTGGTCTCAAACTCCTGACTCCAAGTGATCCTGACGCCACAGCCTCCCAAAGTGCTGGGATTACAGGTGTGAGCCACTACACCTGGCCTCCAATGTGATATTTTGATATTAAGTTGTCTAAAGATGCCTTTTTTCCCATTTTTTTACAAAAGGATGATAAACATTAGTTTTAATATGAAAGCATTCTCCTATGAAGGAAAAATGTTTTATGTAATGTTTATCAGAATTGGCTCATAAATAGAGAACTCCCTACCTTAGTGTCCTCTTTTATGCAGCTTCCAATCTAATGGAGATCTCAGGATCAAAGTGGTGATTATTAATGAACTTTTAAATAGTAGGATTACTCAGCCCATTAAGAAAATTGGGATGAGAAATTTCAGAAACAGTGGCAGCTCTCTTATATGGAAGTAAGATTTAGTTATTTAGAGATTGGGGATAAAGAAAAATATTTTGGACTAGAGGAAAAATTAAACATGAATCTTAAAATTTTAAAATTATTCAAATATACAAATACATTATTTATTTTGGACAAATTACTGACTGTTGATTTTTTTTTTTTTTTGTATGAAGGTCTCCTGATTTTCATGAAGAAATCAAGGTTAAGCTTCCTGCTACTTTAACTGACCATCATCACTTGCTTTTTACTTTTTATCATGTTAGTTGTCAACAAAAACAAAATACTCCTCTTGAAACACCAGTTGGATATACAGTGAGTCCTTTTGGTTCAATATTTAGATCAAAGAGCTAAAATAATGGTGATATTTAAGATATAATTGATATTTCTGGTCATTTGTGGGTTTTTTTTTTTTTTTTTTTTTTGAGACAGAGTCTCTGTCTCCCAGGCTGGAGTGCAGTGGCGCGATCTTGGCTCACTGCAACCTCCGTTTCCTGGGTTCAAGCAGTTTTCCTGCCTCAGCCTCCTGAATAGCTGGGATTACAGGTGCCCGCCACCATGTCCAACTAATTTTTTTGTATTTTTAGTAGAGATGGGGTTTCACCATGTTTGCCAAGTTGGTCTCAAACTCTTGGCTTCAAGTGATCTGCCTGCCTCGGCCTCCCAAAGTGCTAGGATTACAGGCGTGAGCCATGGCGCCTGGCCTGTTTCTTGTTATTTAAATATTTCTTGTCTGATTCCCCACAGTTATGAAGTTGCATTGATTAGGAAGAGCCATTATAACAAGAAAATGCCCATTAATGTAATTAACTAATGTAATTAATTGATTTATTGACTAACACGTATAAACACTTGGGTGTTGGTCCTGATTATTAGGTGTATACCCAACAATGCAGTATAAATATAATAGGTTCATAGACTCTTCAGCAGATAATGATTTTATATAAAATGAGTAAAAGAGACTATTGGAGAATAAATTAAAACCCTTGAGTATTTTTCAAAATTATGCTTTCCAGCTTGGCATAACCCCATCTCTACCAAAAATACAAAAATTAGCTAGGCGTGGTGTCGTGCACCTGTGATCCCAGCTGCTAGGGAGGCTGAGATGGGAGGATTGCTTGAGCCCGGGAGGCAGAGGTTGCAGTGAGCCAAGATCATGCCATTGCACTCTGGCCTGGGCGATGGAGTGAGACTCTTGTCTCAAAAAAAAAGAAAAAAAAAATTACTATGGTTGAATTGCAAAGATAAACCTAAGATGAAGGAAGTCATGGTATAACACAGTTCTGTCAGAAAAATTATGCTTTCAGCCAGAAGAGAAAAGCCAACATTTGATTCATTATTTTTGTCTCTTGCAGTTTGTGACATGAGTTTTGCTCTAACTGTAAGAAAATAAATTTATGATCATACTTTTTGTTTCTATCATTCCTGTCTCAATCAATTATTTCTTTCACTATTTACATTGAAATGATTATCTCAGTTTTAAAATGGATTTACTTCATGGCTTTTTTCTAAGACCAACTTTTTGCCTCTAGATTTTAATATTGCATGGTTAGTAATAATAATGTTTTGGTGATATCCTCCTTAATAAAATTTCATTAGGGAAACTTCTCTTTAGAGGGATTATGAAGGCCTATTATTATTATTACTTGTATAATTAAATCCCTTAATGTTTGATGATATGGGACAAATTTGGCTTGTACCAAGTTCTTAAAACATGCTAAGTAATTATTTTTATAGCAAGCATATTTAAAATAAAATTGTTTTCTTTTCATTTAAAAGTGGATACCAATGCTTCAGAATGGACGGTTGAAGACTGGCCAGTTTTGCTTGCCAGTCTCATTGGAAAAACCACCACAGGCTTATTCTGTACTGTCTCCTGAGGTCAGTGTCTCCCATGTTGACTTTCTCCAGATTGAATGAAATGGGTTTTTTACTATAAAGATGTTTTTACCAAGCAAACTCTTGCCATTTCTTCTACTTAAAGTTTATAGATAATGAAGGAAAAGTATTTTCTCCCGTGGTTAAAATTCTTTTACATAAAACTTAAAAGCTTTTATCCTGTTTTTAAATTTAAATTTAAATTTCATTTTAAATGTAAATATCCTCATTTTAAAACCAAAATAATACATGGAATGTAAACTCAAAAGATCATTTTGGAGAATTTTCATACTGTAACTTGAGAAACTTCTTTAAATAAATGAATATTTCTTTTTTATTTTTAGTAGACTTAACATTTCACTAAAAGACTGGAGGAAGGAAAACAGATTTAAATTAATTTTTTAGAATCTTTTTGTAATTGAAGATCATGTGAATGAAAACAAAGTAGCTGTGAACCTGTAATACATGAGATATTGGCAACTTTGATGATTACATATGGGATTTGAAAGACTTGTAACACAAATATTGGAAAAATCTCAATCAAGAATCAATAGCCACCGTTCATAAACCAAAGTTCCTCTTGAGAGAAACACAATGGTTGTCAGTGTCTCTTAATGATTTTGAATATAACTGCTGGTAAATGTTACTCTAAAATACGTTTTGTGAATATTTTCCTGGTGCTATTTGTTTTCAGAATACAATTCAAAATGTATTCACAAATAAATTTTTATGTATTTTTATTTTTAAAAAACAATTCAAGGCTATTGCTCTGATCTTATTTCTCACTGTTCTCTGTCACTCACTTTTGATAGCCACATAGCACAGAGCCTCTGCTGTTCCTTACACACGAAAAGTGCATTTGCATTTCAGGCCCTTTGCTCTTCCCTCTGCTGGCAGTGCTCTATCACAAAGCCTGGTTCTTCATTTTACTCAGACCTCTACTCAAATATCACCTCACCAAGGAAGTCATCTATGATTATTCTAAATAGCAGCCTCTCCCACTTTATCTCTTTATTTTTCCTCATGTCATTTATCATTGACTTTGTATTTAAAATGTTTTTTGCTTATTTATTCTCTATAGAGTATAAACACTATGAGGGTAGGAACTTTGTCTGTCTTGCTCATTGCTGTCTACAAGTATTTAGAACAGTACTTGGCACATCATAGACACTCAATATATACTTATTAGATTAATGAATAAAGACAGTAGAGTAAGAAATATGACTCTCCCTCCTCCCAATCTTTCATTCATTTTTCCAGGGACACATCTTTTCAGTGATGACTTTTTCATGTGACTTTGTTATATAGAAAGGTGGCCATTTGTCAGAGAGCATTATGTTTCAAAGGAGATGTTTTAAAAGAAAATATATTTTTGTTGAAGTTAAGGATTTGTTTTTACTTAATTGCAGTGCAAGTTCAGCTTTCTAAAGGGAGACTCATGATTTTCTTCTAGCTACCATACTGTATATGCTCACAGATCAAGAATATGGTGATAATTTGGATTTGACTGTAGACATATAATATAGCTGCTTGATATGTGAAATAAGCCACCTGATTAAGAGCCAAAACTTTTGTAAACAGTTGACCCTTAAACAACATGGCAGTAAGGGGTGACATCCCTCCTCCCTAGCATGCACTTGAAAAATCCACGTATAACTTTTGACTCCCTAAAAACTTAACTGCTAATATAATAGCTTACTGTTGACTGAAAGCCTTACCAGTAACATAAACAGTTAATTAGCATGTATTTCGTATGTTAAATGTATTATATACCATATTCTTAAAGTGATATAGAGGAAAGAAAATGTTCTTAAGAAAATCATAAGGCACAGAAAATATATTTACTATCACTAAGTAGAAGTGGATCGTCATCAAGGCCTTCATCCTCATTGTCTTCATGATGGGTAGGCTGAGGAGGAGGAGGAAGAGTAGGGATTGGTCTTGCTATCTTAGAGGTAGCAGAGGCAGAAGAGGTGGAAGGGGAAGCAGGCACACTTGGTGTAACTTTACAGAAATACATCATAATTTCTGTCTGACATTTTTGCTTTTTCATTCCTCTAAAAATATTTCCAGAGCAGGATGCAGTGGCACACCTGTAATCCCAGCTTCTTGAGAGGATCACTCGAGTTCTGGAGTTCGAGGCTGCACTTTGCTGTGGTTGTGCCTTTGACTAGCCAGTGCCCTCCAGCCTGGGAAACATAGCAAGACCCCATCTCTTTTAAGAAAGTGTTTCTGGCCAGGTGTGGTGGCTCATGCCTGTAATCCCAGCACTTTGGGAGGCCGAGGTGGGCAGATCACCTGAGGTCAGCAGTTCAAGAACATCAGGGCTAACATGGCAAAACTCCTTCTCTACTAAAAATACAAAAAATTAGCCAGGTGTGGTGGCAGGCACCTGTAATTCCAGCTACTTGTGAGGCTGAGGCGTGAGAATCGCTTGAACCCGGGAGGCAGAGGTTGACAGTAAGCCGAGATTGTGCCACTGCACTCCAGCCTGGGCGGCAGAGTGAGACTCTGTCTCAATATAAAAAAAAGAAAAAAAATATTTCTATGTGGTGCCAATCTTTATTCGTTTGTTTTAGTTTTAGTGCCCTTAGCACAGATGGGTCCATGTTTTAAAAGAAGTCAAAAGCAGTCTTGAATAACCCTTCTGCCATGTTGTATAATGTCAGTTTGTTTTCTGACACTGTTTCTTCTATGTTTGCTGCCTCAATGTCTGGCACTGGTTTAAAAGCACTCATCTCCATCAAGTCTTCTTCTATTAATTCCTCCAGTCTGGTGTCTATGAGCTTGTGAGTTTCTCCTTGGAAATCTATACCCCTCACTTTTTTTTTTCCTTTTTGCCATATCCACAATTTATTTCATGATTTTCTTGATTGGCTCTGTCATAAAGTCTGTAAAGTCATGACAACCTCTGGACACAGTTTTCTCCAGCAAGAATTTATTGTTTCAGGCTTGATGGTTTTTGTTAGAACAATGATAGCATTTTCAGTGGTATAATCCTTCCAAACTTTAATGATGTTCTATTTATTGGGGTTCTCTTCATAGCATTCACACTCCTTTCCGTAGAGTACCGTGTGTGATGAATCTTAAAGATCCTTGTGACTCCCAATCTAGAGGCTGAATTAGAAACATGGCATTTAGGGGCAGGTAGAAGACTCTGATGCCTTCTGTGTTGAACTCATGGGGTTCTGGGTGGCCAGTGGCATTGTCTAATATCAAAATAACTTCAAAATGCCGTTCCTTACAGCCAAGGTACTTCCTGACTCCTCCCCTTTTCCATACTCTTCTTCCTTGTAACTGTATAAAATTAGGATTTTTAAAAATTATGGTAAAAATGCTTGGCATGGTGACTCATACCTATAATCCCAGTGCTTTGGAAGGCTGAGGTGGGAGCAGGAGTTCGAGTTTACAGTGAACCTTGATTGCACCACTGCACTCCAGCCTGGGTGACTGAACAAGAACCTGTCTCTTCAAAATAAATAAATAAATAAAAATATTATGGTAAAAAATGTATAGAACATAAAGTTTATCATTTTAATTTTAAGTGTACATTTCTGTAGCCTTAAGTATATTCACAGTGTCCTGAAAACAAGCCTTTTAAAATTACTTTTAAAATGAAGTATTTGTATGCCAAAATATGATATTATTTACTTTATTTTATGAATTTAACAAAAAGCTTATGGCATTGTTTTACTAAGATTTAGTGTTTCTGCTATATGTAGTTCCTATTTCATTCACTTTCTCTGCTTTATAATATTATTCAGTTCTTACCTCTTTGAAATCCATTCTCACAAAATAAAGCAATTTTAAAATTAAAATTAGGTGGTTTCATTCTATTGCTTATGATCAAATAAAACATTTCTCTGGCTTTTTCTTGCACATAGACATAATCCAAGTATTTTTTCACATGACCTACAAATCTCTGAATGATTTGGTCTTTTCCACTTCTCCAGCATCATCGTCTACAATCATTACTACATCCCTTTCTCTCTGCACTGACAGCTTCTTCCAAGCTTTTTTCTGCCTCCAGCCCTTTGAATTTTCTCTTTTCTTTTCTTGATCTTGACATAGCTGAGTCTTTTTCTTTATTAAAATTGTAGACACAGCAGCATTTCCTCAAAGAAGTCTTTCTTCACTGCATGAATTTGCAACCTTTCCCTCCTCCATGCTACTGATACACACTCTGTTTCTTTTTAATTCTGTTTTATTTACTGAACAACATAGCCACAATCCAACTCTGTATGTAGGTAATTGTGTAGGAATAATTTATATACCAAATTTAGCAAAGTTAGCTCTCAGAAGAGGTGTGCGATTATGAAGGGATTTTTGTTATTTTTTTAAAAATCTATATGCTTTTGAACGGCAATAGAGCATAATCTTCTAAGGCTTTAATCCTGGCTCCAACACTTAATTGTGTGACCCTGGGCAAGTTTCTTAATCTCTCTGCTATGGAACAGATTGTTTCCCCCCAAAAAATCATATGTTGAAGCCTAACCCTCAATGTGATGGCATTTTGAGATGGAGTCTTTGGAAGGGAATTGGGTTTAGACAAGGTTATAAGGGTGGGGCCTTCATAATTGGATTAGTGCCCTTGTAAGAAGAGACCAGAGAGCTTGACATCCCCTCTCCCCCAGTTGCAAGAAGGTGGCCATCTGCAACCCAGGGTGAGAACCCTCACCAGAAACTGACCATGCTGGCACCTTGATCTTAGACTTTCAGTCTCCAGAACTGTGAGAAAATAAATATCTGCTGTTTAAGTCACCTGTTTATGGTACTTTGTTATGGCAGCCTGAGGTGACTAAGACACTTTCTGTGCCTCAGTTTTTTCATCTGTAAAATGAGAATAATTAAGACTTACAGTAATTGGTTGTATTGATGATTGAATGATATAATAACATGGAGAGCATTTGGAATAGTGCCAGGCACTTGGAAAGTGCTACGGAAGTGTTTGCTACTATTACACCATTGCTATTGCCATTGCTTATTAGAATATTTTAAGATAAAATACATTTTTCACTTTAGCATGAATCGAAATTACCTAGAGGGTTTGTTGTAACACTGATTGTTGGACCTTATTTCCCGAGTTTTTGTGACAGCCGATCTAGGTTGGGGCTTGAGTATTTACATGTCTAACAGTTTTCAGATAATGTTTGTGCTGCTGATTCTCAGACCAGACTTTGAGAACTGTTATTTTTTATTTATTTTTAAGTTCTGGAGTACATGTGCAGGATGTGCAGGTTTGTTACATAGGTAAACATGTGCCATGGTGATTTGCCGCACCTATCAACCCATCACCTAAGTATTAAGCCCAGCATGCATTAGCTATTTTTCCTGATGCTCTCCCTTCCCCACACTCCCCCCAACGACAGGCCCCAGTGTGTATTGTTTCCTTCCCTGTGTCCATGTGTTCTTATTGTTCAGCTCCCACTTATGAGTGAGAACATCCAGTGTTTGGTTTTCTGTTCCTGCATTAGTTTGTTCAGGATAATGGCTTCCAGCTCCATCCATGTTCCTGCAGAGAACATGATCTCATTCCTTTTTATTGCTGCGTAGTATTCCACGGTGTATATGTACCACATTTTCTTTATCCAGTCTATCATTGATGGGCATTTGGGTTGATTCAATGTCTTTGCTATTGTGAATAGTGCTGCAATGAACATACACATGCATGTGTCTTTATAATAGAATGATTTCTATTCCTTTGGGTATATACCCAGTAATGAGATTGCTGGTTCGAATGGTATTTCTGGTTCTAGGTCTTTGAGGAATCTCCACAATGTTTTCCACAATTATTGAACTAATTTACCCTCCCACCAACAGTGTAAAAGTGTTCCTATCTCTCTACAGCTTCACCAGCATCTGTTGTTTCTTGACTTTATAATAATTGCCATTCTGAGTGGTGTGAGATGGTATCTCATTGTGGTTTTGATTTGCATTTATCTGATGATCAGTGATACTGAGCTTTTTTTCGTATGTTTGTTGGCCACATGAATGTCTTCTTTTGAGAAGTTTCTGATCATGTCCTTTGCCCACTGTTTAATGGGGTTGTTTTTTTCTTGTAAATTTGTTTAAGTTCCTTGTAGACTCTGGATATTACACCTTTGTCAGATGGATAGGTTGCAAAATTTCTCTCCCATCGTGTAGGTTGTCTGTTCACTCTGATGATAGTTTCTTTTGCAGTGCAGAAGCTCTTTAGTTTATTTAGATCCCATTTGTCAATTTTTGCTTTTGTTGGAATTGCTTTTGATGTTTTTGTCATGAAATCTTTGCTTGTGCCTGTGTCCTGAATGGTGTTGCCTAGATTTTCTTCTAGGGTTTGTATAGTTTGGGGTTTTACATTTAAGTCTTTAATCGTCTTGAGTTAATTTTTGTATAAGGTGTAAGGAAGGGGTCTAGTCTCAGTTTTCTGCATATGGCTAGCCAGTTCTCACAGCACCATTTATTAAATAGGGAATCCTTCACCCATTGCTTGTTTTTGTCAGGTTTGTTGAAGATCAGATGGTTGTAGGTGTTTGGTCTTATTTCTAAGTTCTCTATTCTGTTCCATTGGTCTATGTGTCTGTTTTTGTACTAGCACCATGCTGTTTTGGTTATTGTACCCTTTCAGTATAGTTTGAAGTTGGGTAGCGTGATGCCTCCAGGTTTGTTCTTTTTGTTTAGAATTGTCTTGGCTGTATGGGCCTTTTTTTGGTTCCATGTGAATTTTAAAATAGCTTTTTAAAATAGTTCTGTGAAGAATGTCTACAGTGGTTATATGGGAATAGCATTGAATGTATAAATTACTTTGGGCAGTATGGCCATTTTCACGATATTGATTCTTCCTATCCATGAGCATGGAATGTTTTTCCATTTGTTTGTGTCCTCTCTGATTTCCTTGAGCAGTGGTTTGTAGTTCTCCTTGAAGAGGTCCTTCACTTTTCTTGTTAGCTGTATTCCTGGGTATTTCATTCTCTTTGTAGCAATTATAAATGGGAGTTCATTCATGATTTGACTCTTTTCTTGTCTGTTGTTGGTGTATAAGAATGCTTGTGATTTTTGCACATTGATTTTGTATCCTGAGACTTTGCTGAAGTTGCTTATCAGCTTAAGAAGCTTTTGGGCTGAGACAGTGGGTTTTTCTAGATAGAGGATCATGTCATCTGCAAACCAAGACAATTTGACTTCTTCTCATCCTATTTAAATACCTTTATTTCTTTCTCTTGTCTGATTGCCCTGGCCAAAACTTCTAATACTATGTTGAATAGGAGTGGTGGCTGGACGCAGTGGCCCATGCCTATAATCCCAGCACTTTAGGAGGCCAAGGCAGGCAAATCACTTGAGATCAGAAGTTCAAGACCAGCCTGGCCAACATAGTGAAACCCCGTCTCTACTAAAGATACAAAAATTAGCCAGACGTGGTGGCATGTGCCTGTAATCCCAGCTACTAGAGAGGCTGAGGTGGAAGAATTGCTTGAACCCAGGAGGTGGAGGTTGCAGTGAGCTGAGGTCGTACCACTGCACTCTAGCCTGAGTGACAGAGTGAGACTCTGTCTCAAAAAAAAAGGGGGGGGGGAGGGGGGAGAGTGGTGAGAGAGGGCATCCTTGTTTTGTGCCAGTCTTCAAGGGGAATGTTTTCAGCTTTTGCCCATTCAGTATGATATTGGCTGTGGGTTTTTCATAAATGGCTCTTACTATTTTGAGGTATGTTCCTTCAATACCTAGTTTATTGGGAGTTTTAACATGAAGCGATACTGAATTTTATCAAAGACCTTTTCTGAGCCTATTGAGGTAATAATGTGGTTTTTGTCTTTAGTTCTGTTTATGTGACGGATTACGTTTATTGATTTGCGTGTGTTGAACCAGCCTTGCATCTCGGGGTTGAAGCCTACTTGATCATGGTGATAAGCTTTTTGATGTGCTGCCAGATTTGGTTTGCCAGTATTTTATTGAGGATTTTTGCATTGATGTTCATTAGGGATATTGGCCTGAAGCCTTCTTTTTTCGTTGTTCTTTCTTTGCCAGGGTTTGGTATCAGGATGATGCTGACCTCATAAAATGAGTTAGGGAGGAGTCCTTTGCAGTTGTTTGGAATAGTTTTAGAGGAAATGGTACCAGCTCTCTTTGTATCTCTGGTAGAATTTAGCTGTAAATCCATCTGATCCTGGGCTTTTTTGGTTGGTAGGCTATTTATTACTCCCTCATTTTCAGAACTTGTTATTGGTCTATTCAGGGATTCAACTTCCTGGTTCAGTCTTGGGAGGATGTATATGTCCAGGAATTTATCTATTTCTTCTAGATTTTCTAACTTACTTGCAGAGAGGTGTTTGTAGTACATTCTCTGATGGTCGTTTGTATTTCTGTGGGGTCAGTGGTGGTATCCCCTTTATCATTTTTTATTGTGTCTATTTGATTCTTCTCTTTTTCCTTCTTTATTAATCTAGCTAGCAGTCTATTTTATTAATTTTTTCAAAAAAAAAAACAGCTTCTGGATCTGTTAATTTTTTGAAGGGTTTTTTGTGTCTCTGTTTCCTTCACTTCTGCTCTGATCTTGGTTATTTCTTGTCTTCTGCTAGCTTTGGGTTTTTTGTTGTTGTTGGTGGTGGTTCTCTAGTTCTTTTAGTTGTGATGTTAGGATTTCACTTTGAGATCTTCCTAGCTTTTTTTTTTTTTTTTTTTTTTTAGGCAGGGCACAGTGGCTCACGCCTGCAATCCAAGCACGTTGGAATGCTGTGGCAGGGGGATTACTTGAGGTCAGGAGTTTGAGACCAGCCTGGCCAACATGGTGAAATCTCATCTTTACTTAAAAAAAAAAAAAAAATTAGCCTGGCATGGTGGCACGTGCCTGTAATGCCAGCTACTCAGGAGACTGAGGCAGGAGAATCACTTGAACCTAGGAGGCAGAGGTTGCAGTGAGCTGAGATCGTGCCACTGCACTCCAGTCTAGGTGACAGCGAGACTCTGTCTCAAAAAAAAAAAAAAATCTTTCTAGCTTTTTAATGTGGGCATTTTAGTGCTATAAATTTCCCTGTTAACACTGCTTTAGCTGCATCCCAGAGATTCTGGTACATTGTCTTTTTGTTCTCATTGGTTTCAAAGAACTTCTTGATTTCTGCCCTAATTTCATTATTTACCCAACAGTCATTCAGGAGCAATTGTGCAATTTCCGTGTAGTTGTGTGGTTTTGAGTGAGTTTCTTTGAGTTCTAATTTAATTTCTCTGTGGTCTGAGAGACTGTTTGTTATTATTTCAGTTATTTTGCATTTGCTGAGGAGTGTTTTACTTCCAATTATGTGATCAGTTTTAGACTAAATGCAATGTGACACTGAGAAGATTGTATATTCTGTTGTTTTGGGATGGAGAGTTCTGTAGATATCTATCAGGTCCACTTGTTTTAGAACTGAAGAGAACTGTTATTTTTAAAGAAATTTTTAAAAGCTGAAAACAAGTGTTTTAGATTGAAAGAGCTAATAGTGTTTATTGCTTTGATGGGTTTCAACTTACTCTGCTGGCTTTTTTTTTTTCAAAAATGTTTCAGAATCTTTATTTTTTGCCTCAGAGATGTTGAATTTCTTTTTATTTATTTATTTTTATGATACTTTAAGTTCTGGGGTACATGTGCAGAACGTGTAGTTTTGTTACATAGATATACATGTGCCATGGAGGTTTATTGCACCCATAAACCTGTCACCTACATTAGGTATTTCTCCTAGTGCTGTCCCTCCCCTAGCCCTCCACCCCCCAACAGGCCCCAGTGTGTGATGTTCCCCTCCCTGTGTCTATGTGTTCTCATTGTTCAGCTCCCACTTATGAGTGAGAACATGTGGTGTTTGGTTTTCTGTTCTTGAGTTAGTTTGCTGAGTATGATGGTTTCCAGTTTCATCCATGTCCCTGCAAAGGACATGAACTCATCCTTTTTTATGGCTGCATAGTATTCCATGGTGTATATGTGCCACATTTTCTTTCTCCAGTCTATCATTGATGGGCATTTGGGTTGGTTCCAAGTCTTTGCTCTTGTGAATAGTGCCGCAGTAAACATATGTGTGTATGTGTCTTTATAGTAGAATAATTTATAATTCTTTGGGTATATACCCAGTAATGGGATTGCAGGGTCAAATAGTATTTGTAGTTCTAGATCCTTGAGGAATCACCACACTGCCTTCCACAATGGTTGAACTAATTTACACTCCCACCAACAGTGCAAAAGTGTTCCTGTTTCTCCACATCCTGTCCAGCATCTGTTGCTTTCTGACTTTTTAATGATCGCCATTCTAACTGGTGTGAGATGGTATCTCATTGTGGTTTTGATTTTGCATTTCTCTATTGATCAGTGATGATGAGCATTTTTTCATGTGTCTCTTGGCTGCATAAATGTCTTCTTTTGAGAAGTGTCTGTTCATAACCTTTGCCAACTTTTTGATGGGATTATTTATTTTTTTCTTGTGAATTTATTTAAGTTCTTTGTAGTTCTGGTTATTAGCCCTTTGTCAGATAGATAGATTGCAAAAATTTTCTCCCATTTTGTAGGTTGCTTGTTCACTCTGATGATAGTTTCTTTTGCTGTGCAGAAGCTCTTTAGTTTAATTAGATCCCATTTGTCAATTTTGGCTTTTGTTGCCATTGCTTTTGGTGTTTTAGACATGAAGTGTTTGCTCATGCCTATGTCCTGAATGGTATTGCCTAGGTTTTCTTCTAGGATTTTTATGGTGTTAGGTCTTATGTTTAAGTTTTTAATCCATCCTGAGTTAATTTTTGTTTAAGGTGTAAGGAAGGGTCCAGTTTCAGTGTTCTGCATATGACTAGCCAGTTTTCCCAACACCATTTATCAAATAGGGAATCCTTTCCCCATTGCTTGTTTTTGTCAGATTTGTCAAAGATCATATGGTTGTAGATGTGTGGCGTTATTTCTGAGGCCTCTGTTCTGTTTCCTTGGTCTATATATCTGTTTTGGTACCAGTACCATGCTGTTTTGGTTACTGTAGCCTCGTAGTGTAGTTTGAAGTCAGGTAGTGTGATGCCTCCAGCTTTGTTCTTTTTGCTTATGATTGTCTTGGCTCTGTGGGCTCTTTTTTGGTTCCATGTGAAGTTTAGTTTTTCCAGTTCTCTGAAGAAAGTCAATGGTAGCTTGATGGGGATGGCATTGAATCTGTAAATTACTTTGGGCAGTATGGCCATTTTCCTGATACTGATTCTTCCTATCCATGAGCATGGAATGTTTTTCCATTTATTTGTGTCCTTTCTTATTTCCTTGAGCAGTAATGTGTAGTTCTCCTTGAAGAGGTCCTTCATACCCCTTGTAAATTGTATTCCTGGGTATTTTATTCTCTTTGTAGCAATTGTGAATGGGAGTTCACTCATGATTTGGCTCTCTGCCTGTTATTGGTGTATAGGAATGCTTGTGATTTTTGCACATTGATTTTGTATCCTGAGACTTTGCTGAAGTTGCTTATCAGCTTAAGGAGATTTTGGGCTGAGACAATGGGGTTTTCTAAAAATACAATCATGTCATCTGCAGAGACAATTTGACTTCCTCTTTTCCTATTTGAATACCTTTATTTCTTTCTCTTGCCTGATTGCCCTAGCCAGAACTTCCAATACTGTGTTGAATAGGAGTGGTGAGAGAGGGCATCCTTGTCTTGTGCCAGTTTTCAAAGGGGATGCTTCCAGTTTTCGCCTATTCAGTATGGTATTGGCTGTGGGTTTGTCTTAAATAGCTCTTATTATTTTGAGATATGTTCCATCAATACCTAGTTTATTGAGAGTTTTTAGCATGAAGGGGTGTTGAATTTTGTTGAAGGCCTTCTCTGCATCTATTGAGATAATCATGTGGTTTTTGTCATTGGTTCTGTTTATGTGATGGATTACGTTTATTTATTTGCGTATGTTGAACCAACCTTGCATCCCAGGGATGAAGCTGACTTGATCGTGGTGGATAAGCTTTTTGGTGTGCTGCTGCATTCGGTTTGCCAGTATTTTATTGAGGATTTTCACATCGATGTTGATCAGGGATATTTTCTTTTCTTTTGAAAAGAAAATTCTTTTTTTGTTGTGTCTCTGCCAGGTTTTGGTATCAGGATGATGCTGGCCTCATAAAATGAGTTAGGGAGGAGTCCCTCTTTTTCTGTTGTTTGGAATAGTTTCAGAAGGAATGGTACCAGCTTTTCTTTGCACCTCTGGTAGAATTCAGCTATGAATCCTTCTGGTCCTGGACTTTTTTTGTTGGTAGGCTATTAATTACTGCCTCAGTTTCAGAACTTGAATATTGGTCTCTTCAGGGATTCGACTTCTTCCTGGTTTAGACTTGGGAGGGTGTATGTATCCAGGAATTTATTCATTTCTTCTAGATTTTCTAGTTTATTTGCATAGAGGTGTTTATAGTATTCCCTGATGGCATTTTGTATTTCTGTTGGATCAGTGGTGATATCCCCTTTATCGTTTTTTATTGCATCTATTTGATTCATCTCTCTTTTGTTCTTTATTAGTCTGGCTTGTGGTCTATTTTGTTGATCTTTTCCAAAAACCAGCTCCTGGATTCATTGATTTTTTTGAAGGGTTTTTCATGACTCTATCTCCTTCAGTTCTGCTCTGATCTTAGTTATTTCTTGTCTTCTGCTAGCTTTTGACTTTATTTACTCTTGCTTCTCTAGTTCTTTTAATTGTGATGTTAGGGTGTCAATTTTAGATCTTTCCTGCTTTCTCTTGTGGTCATTTAGTGCTATAAATTTCCCTCTCCACACTGCTTTAAATGTGTCCCAGAGATTCTGGTACGTTGTGTCTTTGTTCTCATTGGTTTCAAGGAACATCTATTTCTGCCTTCCTTTCATTATTTACCCAGTAGTCATTCAGGAGCAAGTTGTTCAGTTTCCATGTAGTTGAGTGAGTTTCTTAATCCTGAGTTCTAATTTGATTGCACTGTGGTCTGAGAGACTGTTATGATTTCCTTTCTTTTGCCTTTTCTGAGGAGTGTTTTACTTCAAATTATGTGGTCAATTTTAGAATAAGTGTGATGAGGTGCTGAGAAGAATGTATATTCTGTTGATTTGTTGTGGAGAGTTCCGTAGATGTCTATTAGGTCCGCTTGGTCCAGAGCTGAGTTCAGGTCCTGAATACCCTTGTTAATTTTCTGTCTTGTTGATCTAATATTGACAGTGGGGTGTTAAAGTCTCCCACCGTTATTGTGTGGGAGTCTAAGTGTCTTTGTAGGTCTCTAATAACTTGCTTTATGAATCTGGGTGCTCTTCTATTGGGTGCATATATATTTAGGTTAGTTAGCTCTTGTTATTGCATTGATCCCTTTACCATTATGTAATGCCCTTCTTTGTCTCTGTTGATCTTTGTTGGTTTAAAGTCAGTTTTATCAGAGACTAGGATTACAACGCCTGCCTTTTTTTTTTTTTTTTTTTTTTTTTTTTTTTTTTTTTTTTTGCTTGGTAAATATTCCTCCATCCCTTTATTTTGAGCCTATGTGTGCCTTTGGCCATGAGGTGGGTCTCCTGAATACAGCACAGTGATGGGTCTTGACTCTTTATCCAGTTTGCCAGTCTGTGTCTTTTAATTGAGGCATTTAGCCCGTTTACATTCGGAGTTAACATTGTTGTGTGTGAATTTGATCCTGTCATAGATATTGAATTTCTTATCTAATTAGTGTTGAAATTTGGTAATGGGGATTTGAATTTATTTGGTTTTATTTTCTATACATGATAAAAAATGATAAAACCATAGGAAAGAAATCTCTTGTATTTTTCTGTTTTTTTGTTTGTTTGTTTTGGTGAGTCTTTTTTCATTTGTTTAAAAGACATTCATAATTGCTTTTTGAAACATTTTTAATGATACCTGCTTTAAAATCCTTGTCGGGTCTATCTAGCATCTATGTCATCTTAGTATTGGTGTCTGATGATTGTCTTTTCTCATTTCAGTTGAGAGTTTCCTAGTTGATATGATGAATAATTTTTAATTACATCCAGGACATTATAGTTACCATGCGACTCTAGATCTTACTGAAATATTCTGTTGTAGCAGTGGGGGCTGGAGGTGCTGCTGTCAGGTAGAGGTGAAGGTCCACATTACCCACTCTGCCTCCTTTTACTTTCTAGGGTGGATCCAGTGAGGGGGCTCGTTACTGGGTGAAGGTGGAATTTCAAGCTCTCCACTAGGCCTTTGCTGACCCCTTCCTGGTTGTGAGGGAGGGGGGCACCTTGTTACTGCTCCACATGGCCTCCACTGTCACCTCTGTTGGTTGGGGGCTTGCTATCACCAGGCAAGGGACAGATTCTCAACTCTGTCTTCTTTGATAGCACCTCAATGTGTGTAGCATGAGTTGGGGAGAGGGGTACCTCATTTCAGGCTGCTAAGGGTGGCTGCCTAGGCTCTCCATTCAGTGTAGGGAGGCGAGAGTGGGGCCAGGATTTGTTCCCTTGTAACTAGCTGGAATATTATTTCTTTGGCCAGAGAGAGCAGGCTTTTCTTGGGGCTTTGTTTCTCCACTTCTTTTGGCGTTTCTGGGTTGCCATCCTCTCTAGCACTCAGTCCAGGATATGTGAGGCAAAAGTAAAACCCAGGAAATGCTGCTTTGTCGTTTCTTGCATCCTGAGATCTCTAGCCTATCATCTTTTTTCTCTCTACCTTTCAGTCTTTATGTTCATTTATATATCAGGTTTCAGAGTTTTTAGCTGTACTTAGCAGGAGGAATAGAGAGAATTTATGTACTTTTAAAAGTTATTTTTTATGAAATAACTTTGACATTCCTAGCAATTTACTTCTGAAAAAATGTTTTCGGCCTGGCATGGTGGCTTACGCTTGTAATCCCAGCACCTTGGGAGGCCAAGGCAAGCAGATCACCTGAGGTCAAGAGTTCAAGGCCAGCCTGGCCAACATGGTGAAACTCTGTCTCTACTAAAAATACAAAAATTAGCTGGGCGTGTCCCAGTTATTCGGGAGGCTGAGGCAGGAGAATCCTTTGAACCTGGGAGGTGGAGATTGCAGTGAGCTGAAATCATGCCACTGCACTCCGGCCTGGGTGACAGAGCGAGACTCTATTTCAAAAAAAAAAAAAAAAGTTTTTGGATCCTTAAACCAACAGGCTTTTGCTTGCAAATATTTTAAGACCCAATTAAAATATAATAGAAATGTTTAAAATGAAATATTAGAGGCCATTAAAATGATATTGTAAATTTGAATTTATTGACATGAAAAGAGATTCACAATGTAATAAATGAAAAACAGATTTCAAAATAATGTTTGGTGTTAAGTATATACAAATGTGTATAAAAATATATGTACATATATATGTACATATATGTACATATATGAAGGTTTAGAATGATATAAGGGGGTATATCTCTGGGAAGATAGAAATTTTGTGTGCATTATTTTATGCTTGTTGCTCCTGGAGACTTTTAGTTCTTTTGTAGAAAACATTGCTTGATTTTGAAATAAGAATGAAATATAAAAGTTCTTAATTTATTTACAGTGAATAAAAATATATTTTCACAATATTTTTCTCATTGGGATATTGTAATTTTTGTTTATTTTCAGAGTTCATAATCTACTTAAGCATCTGTGATCATTATATTTAATATCTTACAGGTTCCTCTACCTGGCATGAAATGGGTAGATAATCACAAAGGTGTTTTTAATGTTGAAGTTGTTGCTGTTTCGTCTATCCATACACAAGTGAGTTTTAATAATTTTTATTATCAAATTTCACTTAAATAAATTGAACGTAATATCTAATACTTGTGATGTCAGTTTTGTTACCTGTCATAAATCTGTCATTGCTGTCAGATTTATGAGAATATATGTCAGTTAAAAACATACAATATTTAGAAGATTTTTTTAAAAAGAATCAACAAAATGTCATTGAATGTCAACAAAAGCAAACATTTTTGTTTCAAAATGTCATTGACTTCATGTTTTTTCTAAGTTTCTGGTACATGGCAGAATTAATTAGAATTGAGAAACCATCATCAGCTCACTTTATTTCTCATAGACTTGAGTATTTCAAATGGAAAGAGTTTTTAGGGATCATTTGTTCCAAATTCCTTATTTTTGGAATATACCAAGTTCTGATAGGTTTTATACATCCTCTTTCTCTGCCTGGAATGCTTTTCCTCCTGGTATTCATTTGACTTATGAATTGGAGTTTCTCTTCCCCTCAGAGAGGCCTTCCATGGTTACTCTTTAAAACATAGCAACCTCATTACTGTATGTCATCTTACCCTGCACTTATTACTGCCTACGCCCAGCTTCTCTGTTGCGCTTTGACTCTGTCACTCTTTCTGTTTGTGTGTATGTATATAACACACATACATACACATTTGTTTATTGTTTCTTTCCCACATTAGATGATAAGTTCCGTGAGATGAGAGATGTTACCTGTTGAGGAAAGAGCTTTTCCTTCAAGAACCTTACAGTGTAATATGGGAAAGTGTAAAAAGTATGATAAAATTAGTACAGTGTTACATATATTAACTAAATTCTTTGAAGTACAGAGGGAAGAGTTATCTGTTTTGCTAGGCACTGAGATGTTGCATTTATAAGTAGCCATTTACTACTCAGAGAAAGGGAGAGTGGACAACTCAGATGATGAGTAGCAAGTACAGAGTTACAGTAGTCTAAGGACCATCAGGTGACCTGGTGTGAAAATAGTTTAAAGTGTGTAGGAAATCATGATACATAAGGATAGAAGGCTGGTAATAGATTGTGAAGGACCTTGAATGCCATAGAGTCCAGGTGGATGGTAATTTCTACCCTAAATAGAGAACATGAGAGAAATACTTTTGGGGCCATGCTAAGGGGAAGCAGTTATGGTGCCTGTGAGTTTATTTTTGAACCTGTTGAGTTTGAAGTGCCTACGTACTTCAGATGGAGATGTCCTGTAGGTGGTTGTAATTAGTTTGAAGTTTGGGTTTGGAGGTAACAGAATAAATGCGATAGCTGAAACTATATTGGTAAATGTGATTTTCCATGGAGAATATGTACAGGGAGAAGAAGCAAGTATTTAAAATGAAATTCAGGGCTTCACTAACCTATACACAGAAAGGGTGGTGTGGAGGGACTTCCCAAAGCCATCTCAGGTTCAGTGATTTGCTAGGAGGACTTACGGGACTCAGCATATAGTCATACTCAGAGCTATGATTTATTTTAGTGAAAGAATGGAAAGCAGAATTCACAAAGGGAAAAGGCTCATGGGGTGAAGTCCAGAGGAAACAAGAAATAAGCTTCCAAAAATCCTCTCCCAGTGGAATCACATGGGGCAAGTTGAAACAACATATGTGAAATGTTGTCTGCCACAGAAGTTCAGTACAGACTCAATTCCCAGGGTTTTTACTTGTCACGTAGGCACCCTTTGCCTAACATGTACCAAAATTCCAGATTCCCAGAAGGAAAGTAGGTGTTCAGCTTATACCATATTGTTTTGCACAAACGTTTGAGGCACAGTGAGCCATCTCTGTCAATGGGAACCCCCCTGAAATCCAAGTTCCCAGTGATTAGCCCAAGGCCAAACTTGTAAACAGGACTTTCAAAGAATAGCTGTCTTAAGCCCACTATGTTAATTCTTTTCTGCACAGTGAGGTAGGGGAAAAGAAGAAGATACAGCACCTCTATGCTGTCTTTAGGAAGAAAGTTGGTAGTATATAGATTTTATTTAGAACTACACAGGTAGTCTCCAGTAAAAGAATGACGCCAGTATCATAAGGTATGGCGATGAGTTTGCCTTATATCCAAAGGCTTTGGAGCTGAAAGACAATAAATTAATAATGGACAAAAGTAGGTTACTAATATGCCTGCCACAATAATTGAACTTCAAACTAATAAAGCAAACTAAAACTAAAAAAAAAAAATCTTAATTAGTATCAGTTTTCTTAAGTAACTAATAGTATTTGAAGTGATCATTTTATAATGATAAATGAAAATAGATTTGTTTAATTGGAAACAATGTTTGTATACCTACTTGAACTTTTTAGTGTTATCAAGTAATATGACATGTTTGTGGTCCGTGGTCCTTTAGAAGTGGGAAATTTATAAAGTTATAAGTGCTTAGTGCTTTTGTTTATTCTTTGTTTTAGGATCCTTATCTTGACAAATTTTTTGCTCTGGTCAATGCTCTGGATGAACACCTGTTCCCAGTCCGAATTGGGGACATGCGAATCATGGAAAATAACTTAGAAAATGAATTGAAGAGCAGTATTTCAGCACTGAATTCATCCCAGCTGGAACCAGTGGTCCGATTTCTTCATCTTCTGCTAGATAAACTGATACTTTTAGTTATTAGACCTCCTGTCATTGCTGGCCAAATAGGTAATTTACTTTTGTTTGGGGATGAGACGTGAAATTTATAACTTGACATTTCTAAATTTTGTTAAAAAAAAAAAACATGATTTCTATTTGCTATATATAAGGACTATATTTGATTTGGGGTGGAAGATGTTATTTACTTGTTTATAATGCCAGAAAATAACTTTTATTTTGTTTTTATAAAATGTGTTCTATAGGCATATACTGAAATTATAGAAACAAATTTATTTATTTATTTACCAAATATTTATTAAGCACTTACTATGTACCTGACACTGATAGGCACTGTTCAGGGCATGGTTCCTGACTTTAACATCTCACAGACTAGTTAAGAAAACAGGCAAACAGGTAAATCATGTTGTATTTTACAGGATGTATAATCTACCTACTCTACATTTTCATTCATCTGCTATCCTCCGCTTAATGTAGCTCTTCTTTCCTTCATTTTCTTAGTCTCTGTTTTCTCTTTTTATTTTCTATAATTCTGGAAGGAAAGGTGTTCTTCATTCCCATCGTTTTTCAAGGTTTACTCCTTATTTTTTTACCAACAGCTTTCACCCAAATCCTGCAGG
The DNA here is from genome assembly GCF_000001405.40 of Homo sapiens. Lineage (NCBI taxonomy): Eukaryota > Metazoa > Chordata > Mammalia > Primates > Hominidae > Homo > Homo sapiens. The sequence goes on along the minus strand of NC_000001.11, from coordinate 62,558,419 downwards.
GAAGTTGAACTTGAAAGAAATTTCAGCTAACCAGATATAATTTTTATGTTTGACTAGTGACACAAAGGAGAGGAGTATTCAATTATTTGAGTTTTTTTAGGGGAGATTTATAAGTAGAAATAATTCCTGGGTTGAGTATTTAAAGATGAATAGGAGTCTGACAGGTAAATATTATTCCAAGGAGATTAAACAGCATGAAACAGCATGTACATAGTACACAGACATAATGAACTCAGAATGAATTTGGGGGAGGAATTTTAAGTAATTAGTTATAAATTAGAGGATTGATTAGAGGTAATATGGAGAGTGGGAGATGAAGTTGGGTCTTCCACACTTTAGGAAATTGGGACTTTTTCTGTAGGGAATAAATAGCCTTTGAAGAATCTGGTCTTAATTAGAGAAGTAACATGACCAAGTTTGACTAGAAAAAGATGGCTATGCTATGTAGAGATGACTTAAAAGTGGGAAAACCTACAGGCAGGGAGACAAATTAGGAGTCTTGCAGAATTTCATACAAAAAATGATGAGTTCCTGTTAAAACATGGGTGACAATGGGATGGAGAAGAGAGAATGGATTGTGAGATCACAGAGTGTACAGTTACAGAAATTATAGAAGAAGGTTTTAAGGAAAAAAAGGTTAGCATTGTTCTTTGTTATAGATTATATAAGTAAAATAATAGTAATAACAGTAATTGCAAACACTTGCATAGCATTTACTGTGTACCAGGAATAATGCTATGTGCTTTATTTATATTTGAGAGCCAAGATTCAAACTGGTTCCAGAGTCCCTCTCTCTCTTATCTAGTATGCTTGAGAAATGTCTACTCGTGAAATTACATCAGTAATTTTAGTCTAAGTGAAGGTAGAAGCCAGATTACAGGGAATTAAGAAGCAAATAGATGATAAAATAAATACAAGAAGCTATACTACTATTTAAGAAGTTAAGTTAGAAGAGAAAGCAGGGTTGAGTAGGGCAAAAGAGTGGAGACATTTTAGCATGTTTATGTGCTGAGAGAAATCAGCATCTAAACATGCTCAAATGGGAGAAGGGAGAAAAATACATGGGGAGAAAAGAGGTTAATTAATGAAGCAATTCTGGGAGACAAGAGTAAAGGTGATAGATAGATCACTCTTACATAGGAGAGGGCACTACTTCCTTTGGAGAGGAGATAAAGTAATTTCAGATTCTGATAAATTTGTAGAAAAAGATGAGGACTTTTGGCCAGGTGTGGTAGCTCACAACTATAATCCCAGCACTTTGGGAGGCCAAGATGGGAGGACTGCCTGAAGCTAGGAGTTCCAGACCAGCCTGGTCAACATAGCAAGACCCCATCTCTTAAAAAAAAAAAAAAAAGAAAAGAAAAAGAAAAACATGAGAACTTTCATGCTTTATACATTTCTTCTGTGAGGTAGAAGGCAAGATTTGCTAAGGAGGAATTAAGGAGGACCTTAGTTTTGAGAAGGATTCTTGTAACTTGGAGTAGCTACTGTAAGAAAAAGGAAAAGGATTAACCAGAAACACAGGTAGGATCGCTTAACTTCGCTCAGGTTTCTGTCTCTGGTCTCTTTCCCCTCTAGTTCAGTATATATAGATTAATCTTCCTAAATGACCATTTTATCTGATTATTCTACTTTTGGGAAAACTTAATTGGCCTCATTATCTCTTCATAATTTCCTGTCTTGGTTAAATAAATTATAGAATCTAAGATCCTATTGCTCAAAGTGGCTGTTCAGTTTACCCATTTATGCAGTGTGCAATTTATCACAATTCTCCAATTTTTGTAAAATTATTGTTACATACTGACTTGAGTGACCGAGTAGGTATTGCTTAGCCTGGGATTTAAAATGCTGTAGTCTTACCTCAACCTGTTTTTCTAGCCCCCTCTTTTTTTTTTTTTCCTTCTAATCATTTTACAGATTCACTCATTCCAATCAAGTTGCTTATTCACTATTTTCTTATTATACTGTTATTATTTTCAATAATCTCTTTTATTATTGATATTTTTAATTTTTTTAAACAAAAGTAATATATGCCCTTATATGCTATTTAGATTTTTGGAGTAATCTTTAAAATGAAAAATTGCTTCTTAAGGTATTACACACGATGTATTTTCTTTTTTCTTATGTACTTTGTATTGTTTTACTAAATAACATATCCGTTGAGCATTGTTTTCTTTTTTGACTAATCAAACCCATATAATTTTCATCTTAAATTAGTAAAATGAGTTCTCATTTTGTTCAGAAAAGTATTTTTGGCTCAGCTAATGCAACGTGTAATTAAAAGTCAATATCAAATAGTAATCATCTTTATACACTTACTGTGTAGTCACTATACTTAAAGTATGCAAAGATGACAAAATGTTGATCTTCGTGGAATTTACAGTCTAAAAAAAGTTAAAGCAAAGGTAAATACTTCTTCTTTCTTAAAAGTTAACCTAGGTCAAGCATCTTTTGAAGCCATGGCATCAATTATAAATCGACTTCACAAAAACTTGGAAGGAAATCATGACCAGCATGGCAGAAACAGCCTTCTTGCATCATATATTCATTATGTTTTCCGCCTACCAAATACTTACCCTAATTCATCATCACCAGGTATTTTATTCTTTTTACTATGAAGCTGTCTTTCATAAATTATATGTTCATGTCAGTATTGAGATAATTTTGTAGTCCATACTGTGATCCATTTATTCAAAGGCAAACATTTATTGAACACCTGCTAAGTACCATTCACTGTGCTAGGTGCTGAAGTTAAAGAGATAAATAAGTTACATTTTTAGACATCTTTTTTTATACAGTTTGCTTTAGTTTGAATTAGAGTTCTTGGTTGAGTTAATTTTTGGAAATGAGCTTTGAAAATAACTTTGTCTCTGGAAGCATTTTATCATTCCTTGTTAAGATAAGGAATTGCTTGCCCCTGTAATCCCAGCTGTTTAGGAGGCTGAGGTGGGAGGATCTCATGAGCCCAGGAATTTGAGGCCAGAGTGAGCTATGATCTTGCCAGTGCACTCCAGCCTGGGCAACAGAGTGAGATCCTGTCTTTTAAACATAAAAAAGACAAGAAAAATAGAATCTTGTATTTGTCATTCAGAGTGCTGTTGGGCATTAAAGGAGAAATGTGGTGGCTCGGTAGTTTCCTGAAAACCCTTTGAAACCTACAGTGATATAGAAGATTGTTCTCTAGGAAAGTTCTGATCTCTTCGTGGTCAGTGAAATAATATAACCTTTCTGAGTACTGGAGACTCGACTTGTTATTGTCTTTTGTGTACCACTGGTGATAGTGGAGGTAACGGTGGGAGATGTCTTAGTGTGAATAATCCTTTGGTTGTTCATTTAACTAACTAATGATTATGTTGTGCGTATCATTTAACCTACTCACATACATGTCTGTATGACATTAATGATAATGGCAAGTGCCTTTTATCAGCTTTTGGCAATGTTGACATTGATAACGGTGACTAATAATTGTGACGTTCGTTATGAACACTAGACATAATAGTAACCTGATTTTAAATTTTAGCCCAATTTATTTCTTTACTTAATTGCAAAAAGAAAAGCAATTGACATTTATATTCTGGTTTATAATTTCCTATGTTAATTTTTAAAATTATACCACTTGAGGACATGAATGTGTGAGTGATTATGTAATATCTACAGTGCTCCTCCATTTACTGTTTTATTCAGTACACTATTAGAATTCCACAGATTTTGCAAAGCATCTTTTTTTTACATGCTGACCTGAAAGATTGTATGAATTAATTAGGCAACAGGTATGTATTAATATCATTTGCAAATATGACATTCGGAAAGATGAAGATAAATTAACACTATAATTCCTGGATGTTTTATTTTAAAAATAAAAGACAGGTTGGAAGATGATGTTAGGCTTGATTTTAGTCAGGCAAAAAGGGAGGCATTGCTTTTTTTTTTTTTTTTTTTTTTTTTTTTGAGATGGAGTCTCACTCTGTTGCCCAGGCTGGAGTGCAATGGCGCAATATTGGCTCACTGCAAGCTCCGCTTCCCGGGTTCACGCCATTCTCCTGCCTCAGCCTCTCGGGTAGCTGGGACTACAGGTGCCTGCCACCACGCCCAGCTAATTTTTTGTATTTTTAGTAGAGACGGGGTTTCACTGTGTTAGCCAGGATGGTCTCAGTCTCCTGAACTCGTGGTCCGCCTGCCTTGGCCTCCCAAAGTGCTGGGATTATAGGCGTGAGCCACCACGCCCAGCCGCCTTTGCTTTTTTATCACTTTGGATCTGAAAATTATCTTTAGTTTTTTGTATGTATATCATAAAGATACTATTTTGTTATTCACATTGTCACTGATGAAGATAGAGAAATGAAACATGCTCTCATTTAAAAGATGTTAGCAGTAATGAAGGTAGAGAAATAAAACACGGTTTAATTTAAGAGATGTTAGCAATAAATTGGCACTCTCTCTAGTGACTGTCAAGGGGCAGAGTAGGAGAGGTGGGAAAAAAGGAAGAGACACCAGCTGGAGCATCTTGGGTCCGAAATACCAACTATACCGAAGTGAAAGGGCTGCGTGTGCGTGTGTGTGTGTGTGCGCGCACGCACGCACACGTCTGTGTGTGTGTGTTTCCTATTTTGGTTTTTATTGTATGTGTAATATACAATTATAGAAATACTGAAGAGATAATGATTTTATTTATAGTTCATATGGTTTTATAAACTGCTGTAAAATAGAGTATCTTTGTACAGCAATCATTAGTTCTTGAGTGTTTTTATTTTCTTTCTTTCTAAAAAAAACATTTCCCAGTGCTTCAAGGAGGCCAAGAGAGGAGGATTGCTTGAGGCCAGGAGTTCAAAACCAGCCTGGGCAACATAGCAAGACCCCGTCTCTACAAAAAAAAGAGAGAGAAATTTACCCGGGCATGGTGGTGTGTGCCTGTAGTCCTAGCTACTCAGGAGGCTGAGGTGGGAGTCCAGGAGTCCAAGATTATAGTGAACTATGGTCTCACTGCTGCACTCCAGTGCTGCCTCTTAATAAAAAAAAAAATGGCACCTGCCTATTAAAAAAAAAAAAAAAAAAAAAAAAAAAAAAATATATATATATATATATATATATATATATATATATATATATAAAATACTTTTTATTTAGAAGACCCTGCCTCTTCAGGCGGATCGCAAGGTCAAGAGATTGAGACCAGCCTGGCCAACATGGTGAAACTTCATCTCTACTAAAAATACAAAAATTAGCCGGGCGTGGTGGCACGCACCTGTAGTCCCAGCTACTCGGGAGGCTGAGGCAGGAGAATTGCTTGAACCCGGGAGGCAGAGGTTGCAGTGAGCCAAGATCAAGCCACTGCACTCCAGCCTGGCAACAGAGAGAGACTCTGTCTCAAAAAAAAAAAAAAAAAAAAAGTATATTTTTTATTTAGAAACCAAAGCAATTCATGATCTTTGTGGAATTTTCTAAAGTGGCAGAGATTTTTTTTCAGATCCTTTCCTGACTAATTTTCTTTAATTATGTGCTATTTCATATACAACTCTAGGTCCTGGGGGTTTGGGAGGATCAGTGCATTATGCCACAATGGCTAGATCTGCGGTGAGACCTGCAAGCCTTAATTTAAATCGTTCTCGAAGCCTTAGTAATAGCAATCCAGATATATCTGGGACTCCCACGTCACCAGATGATGAAGTTCGATCAATCATCGGGAGTAAGGTAAACTGAAGACATGCATCTGTAAATTTGGTTTTTGTTTTGTGAACAAACGAGAAATATCCAGTTGTTGTAATGTATTCTGAATTTTGAGATGTATGTAAGTTAGGAATTAGGAAGGAATTGTACATTTCTGTTCTATCAGTAAACACTGTTTTATTTTTCTGTTAAATATGCTTGCTCTTACAAACTACTCCACTAAAAATTCTAAAATTTGTCTGGAATCACTAGTTGCATATAACTTATTGTTGTCAGTCTGATACTCCATCATGTGAAAAATGGCTAGATTGATTTCATATAGAATTAAAATAAATCTGTGACTGATATGTAGAAGAGAGATGTCATCATTGATTCAAGTCATGAGATCCTCTTCTCCAAAAAATATCCAGAAGAGTGATTAAACAATTTTCCATTTTTGTAAACTAGAAAGAGTGATACTCAGAGTTATTTATAAGGGATACTGCAGAGTAACCTGAGTACTATGGCAGCTGCGAAAAGAGAACGCTTCCCCCACCCCCCACACACATTTATTTCCATGTTTAAGAAAAGAACTCAGGTTTTTTATTCCTGTTTTCATTATTGATTATATTTTATTGTAATACAGGTAGTACGTAGCATTATTTATATACTGTATATTTATATACTGCATAGGTCTTCAGTAGAATAAGTTTGATTTTTGGATTTTCAGAAACTTTCCTAAAGAAAAGAAGCTATAGACAGCATTTCCTTAAGGTTCTTTTAAAATGTCTCTTAATTTTTGTAAGATTTACATTAAGACTCATTTAGCATAATTCTATTTATTTCTTTTAGGTTTGATAGATTATAAACTCAAGATTTAGAACAAAGAGGCCTATATATATATGTAATGATTTTTTGCCTTTTTTCAAGATGTACTTTAAATGGATCAATGATTTTTAAAATATATATAAAAATATATACAAATATATAAATACAAGGTAGTTTCTTAGAAAGCCATTGCAAGATGAGAATTTGTCAGCCTTGTCCTAATCAAGTATTATTTACATAGTTTTTATGTTGTTTTCTTTTTATTGCAAAATTTTTGATAGCTACCTTCCTATTGAGTTTAGTTGTAATCACTAATAATGTATATAATTTTATCTCAAAATTATAAGGAATCTAAAGTTTATTTATAGCTACCCTTCATTTTTTCTTATTTTATTGACCTGGCAGTTCAAGAAACTCTTCTTCAGGTGATCTTGTTTTCCACTCCACCTCAGTCATGGTCTTCCCTTATATCACACTTGTTCAACCTGTGGCTTGCAGGCCACATGTGGCCCAGGACAGCTTTGAGTGCAGCTCAGCACAAATTTGTAAACTTTCTTAAAACATTATGAGTTTGTTCAGGGATTTTTTTTTTTTTTTGTAAGTTCATCAGCTGTCATTAATGTTAGTGTATTTTATGTGTGGCCCAAGACAATTCTTCTTCCAGTATGGCCCAGGGAAGCCAAAAGATTGGACACCCCTGCAATCTTGTCATTACCAATAACTTTAATTTTCACAATCTCAATTTCATGTATTTTGTTCTCTGTTATCTCCTGTTTTTCTTGTAGTACCTCAACTTAGTTTATCTACTCCTTTGCAATCTCTAATCTTGATCCTCCAACCTTTTTACTGTGTCTCACCCCCTTAATGTTCTCTCTTCTTCCTTAGCCAGCTTAATGTCTGTGGGCAATCATTATAATTATTCCCATCAGGCTGGGTATGGTGGCTCATGCCTGTAATCCCAGCACTTCAGGAGGCTGAGGCGGGCAGATCACCTGAGGTCAGGAGTTCAAAACCAGCCTGGCCAACATGGTGAAACCTCGCCTCTACTAAAAATACAAAAATTAGCCAGGCACGGCGGCAGATGCCTGTAATCCCAGCTACTCTGGAGGCTGAGATAGGTGAATCGCTTGAACCTGGGAGGCGGAGGTTGCAGGGAGCCGAGATCTCACCATTGCACTCCAGCCTGTGAGACAAGAGTGAAACTCTATTTCAGAAAAAAAAAAAAAAAATTACTCCCATTATAATCAAACCTCAGTTCCCTTATCTTTCCCAAACCTTGAAACCATAGTTAAACCCAATTGACTGCCTGTGCCATGTCAGCATCTGTGCAGCTAAACATGTCTTGAGAAATACCATGGTGATTGATCTCATTTGAAATAAACCTCAAGAGAGCCCTTAATGCTATTGGGCAATTATACTGTATTTCTGTATCTCCATCACTTTCCTGTTCTCCCAGGAAATGATTTAATTCCTTCTTTCATTACCTCAAACCTCCTAACACCTCTCCCCTCATTCCTTTTCTCATTTTATCTCCCATTTCATTGAGACAACTGAAACCATCAGAAGAAGACTTTGATAAACTTTTACCATGCTATCTAGCTACCTATTACCATCTACTATCTACTGCCTAATACTCTTCTGTATTAAAAATGAATAGATGAGCTATTTATTTTTCTAAATTAATTTCTTTCACTCAAGCTCTCATCTGGTCTCACCTGCTCAAGATCTACACTCCACCAGTTTTTCCATATCTCTTCCACATCATCAGTTTCTCCCTAAATACTGAATCATTCCCATTCACATATAGGCATGCTATTGTTTTTCTCATTTTGAAAAAAATGATTCCTCTCATTTGAAAGCAATCTAAGTGTCCATCAACAGATGACTGGATAAACAAAATGTGGTACATATATACAATGGCATACCATTCACCCATAAAAAAGAATGAGATCCTGTCATTTGCAACAAGGATGGAAGTGGAGATCATCATATTAAGTGAAATAAACCAGGCACAGAAAGACAAGCTTCACATGTTCTCACTTATTTGTAGAAGGTAAAAACTAAAACAACTGAACTCATGGAGATGGAGAGTAGAATGATAGTTACCAAAGACTGGGAAGGGGCAGTGGGTGTTAGGAGGGAAATGGAGATAGTTAATGGGTACAGAAAAATAATTAGAAAGAGTGCATAAGATCTAGTATTTGATAGCACAACAGGGTGATTTGTATAATTAAATAGGTAAATACTGTTTATTATTTAGTTATTTAAAAATAACTAGAAGTGTATATATAATTTGATTCTTTGTATCACAAAGGATAAATGCTTGGGGTGATGGATACCCCACTCATCCTGATGTGATTAGTACACATGATACATCTTTATCAAAATATTTCATGTAAACCATAAATACATATGTCTACTATGTACCCACAAAATTAAATAAAAATAAAAATTATAGTAATTATTCTCTAGTATTTCAACTGCTACCTTACTTGCTATTTCTGTGCTACCTTTCATAGTAGAATTCCTTAAGAATTTTCTTTACTTGCTATCTGCAGTTCTTTTACTTCTATCATCTCTACTTCAGTCAAATATTCCTCCCATTTTCCACCAAAACTGTCCTTGTTAGTGTCACCAGCACCCTTCATGTTGCTAAATCCAGTGGTTAATTTTCAGAACTCGGCTTACTTTTACCTACCAGCAGCTTTTCACACAGTTAAATTTTTTTTTCCTCTGTGATTTATTCATTTATTTGGCTTCCAGGGTACTACATTCTGTTAGTTTCCCTCTTGGTTTACTGATTATACCTTTTCAGTCTTTGTGGATTCTTCCTTTTCTGATCTCTTTATCTGGATGTGTTTCAGGCCTCTGTCCTTATTTCTCTTCTCTTGTCTTCTCTCTACACTCTACCTTGGTCAGCTTATCAGGTTCCATGGCTTTAAATACCACGTAAATGTTATGCTAATGATTCCCAAAATTATATTTCCAGTACAGATCTCTCTCTGGAGTTCTAAACTTAACTGCTTTTTCTAAATAGTTTTGTTCAGATTTGGATATATATGAAAGGTAGAGACACTTCTTTCCATCTCCATTGCTACCATCTTGGTCTGAGCAACCATCATCTCTCCCAGAACTAATGTACTAGTTTTAAAGATGGTTTCCCTACTTCTACCCTGTGCTCTGTTCACAACATAGCAACCAGAATGTTGCTTTAAAGACTTAAGACATGGCTGGGCGTGGTGGCTCACGCCCATAATCCCAGCAGTTTGGGAGGCTGAGGCAGGTGGATCACCTGAGGTTGGGAGTTCGAGACCAGCCTGACCAACATGGAGAAACCCCGTCTCTACTAAAAATAGAAAAATTAGCTGGGTGTGGTGGTGCATGCCTGTAATCCTAGCTACTCAGGAGGCTGAGGCAGGAGAATCACTTGAACCCAGGAGGCGGAGGTTGTGGTGAGCCAAGATCGCGCCATTGCACTCCAGCCTGGGCAACAGAGCTAGACTCTGTCTCAAAAAAAAAAAAAAAGACTTAAGACACACACAAAAATTAAGTCATTATGTCATTCCTCTGAGCACAATCTTCTAATGGCTTATTCTCTCAGTCCTTTAAGTCTTTACTCTGAAGGCCGCCTTCTCAGTGAGGTTGACTCTGATTATCTTATTTAAATGTATAACCAGTGGCTGTGTCCTCAGCCTTCTAATCCTGTTATTCTGTTTTTTGTCTTTTTTTTTTTGTCTGACATTTACTACCTTTTAATGTAGCATATGAATTAATTATTCTTATGTTGATTTTTTTTTAGTGTTTATCTCCCTTTAACAGAGTGTAAGCTTCATTGTGGCAGGGAATATTTGTTCCAAGGCACCTGTAATGTCTAACTTATTCAAGGTGCTCAGTAGATATTTATCCAATGAAGAAATGTTAGTATGAGTTAACACCGCAGGACTAGATCACTTGTTTAAGAACAGAATTATGCTTTTGTTTGCCCTCTTACTATTGGGATTAATTATGTATTTAAAGGTCTGCAGAGATTTGACTTTATGAAAGTTTTGGTTATATTTTATTCCCCAGTATAAAATACAGAACTCCTAAAATTTAAGAATATTTATATAACCTGAACAGGCTTTTATTACTCCAGTGGCTGTAATGTAAATGTGAAAATATTTGTGAGACTTCTTCATACTTATATTGCCAAAACTAGCTGTGCTTTCTTAATTCTAGTAATCGTCTTTTAACATTCAGTTATGTAAATACATGGTTACATCAGGTCTGAACTTTATTGCTTTTTATCAAATGCCAGTGGAATTTTGCACTGATACGTTTCTTTCTCATATATCATCTTTTTTTAATTTCTCAAACACTGAGAGCTTACTGTGTGCTAGGCACTATGCTGAGGACTTGTGGATATGAAGTAAAATCTTTGTAATATAACACAAGTGTTGATGTCACATCAAATACAGTATGGGCCTTGCTCAAGGATCTTATCTATATGTAAGGGAAGAAATCAATAGTGTTACTGGGATTTGGCAAAAAAAACCTCACACTTACATACACGTGGGCACACATTTGGTTAATCTGTTCCATGTTTGTTGGAAATTGGTAAACATAAAGTTATTATATTAAATATAAGTGATGAGTTTGCTTAAATGTGGGCTGTTTGATATAACTCTTAGCTTTATAACACCTGAATTATGGAATTTACTTGCTTTGCCAAATAACTGGCCACAAGTTTTCTTTAAATAGTTAGCTTTGACTAGTGTAATTACAACTGTTCAGAACATCAGTATTGTGTATATAAATATAATTCATAGCACAAAGAGATTTTTTTATTCTCATATTAGCGATTATCATATATTGTAGTTTTAAAGGAAATTATTAAACAGTAAGTTAAGTAAATTTAAGAGTACAGCAAAGTTCTTATTCTTTTTGTGGAAATTCATGAGAGAAAAGAGGACAGTTATAATTTTGCAAAAATCAAATGCTCATGTTTTGTTATTTTTGTAACATGAGTAGTGACTGTAAAAATTGAATATGGTAGGAAGAACTTTACACTTTTATACAAAAAAGACATAATTTTGGGCTTGGACATAATTTTGGAGACTAATGAGAACTTTATTTTAACTTCTATGAAAAACATAAGCCTTTTGGTTTGCTTTTATTCGAAATATTGTAATGGGATTCTGAGAAGGCAGATATTTTATTTTAAACAAATCTGATTGCATAATCTTACTAGTATTTTGATATTGTCTAATTTACTTTGATAGAAAGCATTTTAAGAAAAATATGTATGGGAAATTTTTATAAAGCTGTTTTTGAGAGTTTACTATATTCAAGGCATTGAACTTAGTAATTTACTTCCATTATTTAATTTGATTCTTACCATGTGAAGGGAGACACTCTCATCATTTTTATTTTATAGTTAAGAAACTGAAAAAGAAATTAAGTAATTTATCTTAGATTTTACAGCTAGTAAGCAGGAGAGCCTGGATTGGAACCTTAACTCCCATATTAGACAGTCACTGTCAAAAATGATTAGAAATGGGTGATTATTTTACCACCATTTCAATTTCTCTATATATTTGGGAAAAAATGAAAAAAGGTGGAGGAAATATTCTCCTGAAACCTAAGCCCTTGAGGGTTGCGGTTTTTCTTTCTTTTCTTTTTAAAATTTTCTCTTGAAGTATTTAAAAAATACTGATGTCTGGGCCGCACTCACAGCAATTCTGATTTAATTGTTTTAAGGTAGGGCGCTGCACATTTGTTAGTTACTGTTGTTGTTAAGCTTCCCAAATGACACTAATATCTAGACAGAGTTGATTACAGTTGTTCCAACTCTTCACTTTTACCTGTCTTTCCTTTGGTGGTTTCTGGTTTGGGTCTGTACTCATGTCCTGATATGTTTACATCAGCTTGTCTTCGATTGTCTTTGCTATTCTTACCCTAATAATTCTTTAAAAATCTTTTACAACTTGCTCCAGTTCCAATTATTAGATTCTCAAGTCCCCAGTCCAAATTACTGAATCGAATTTATAGAGATAGAGCCCAGGATCTGAATTTTATAAAGCTTCTCAATTGATTCTGACCAACAGTCAGTTTTAGGAAATAGAAGAAAAGCCTCTGTTTCCTTCACCTGGAATCACAGTAACCCCTTTCAGACAGAGATAAACATAAATTAACTTCTGGACATATACTTTAGTAGCGTTTTAAAGAAATTTTAAATTAATGAAGATGATGATGAAGATATAATTCCTATAAACAGCCCCAGCATAATGTTTTTCCTTATAATATTTATTAATAAATAGTAGCCCATTATTATTATAAGTGCAGCTCCAAATCCATTATTAGGAAGGAGTAAATATTAGGTATCATTTTTTTCTTAAGTTTTTACTTTATTTCTCCTGTCTGTCCCTAAAAGAGAGTGAAGGTGGTAGCAAGCTCAAATAGAATTATGGGGTATCACTGCATAGTAGTTTTCAGTTGATGAGAGATGGAATGAAATTAAAGTTTATAACAAAGAATGGAGTGTTTTTCTTCCATTTTTTCCTTTAAACCTCAGTTAGATACAGAGGAAATTACCTGTTGCTAACTTGTACTATCTTTAAAGAAAGTTTGGGGGTGTGGTGCTGTGGGAACATTAGTTATTGGTACTTCAAGAGTATTCCTTTACATAAAGAAAAATTACCTTTAAATACTATACTTAATGGTCTTGGTGATTTTTTTTAAAATTGTGTTATATAATAAGATAATTTTGATGAACTAATACTCTATAGGTGCCTACAAATTTTGGTTGCTTTAACAGTACTAATTAAAAACATGTTTGCATTAGAAGATCTGAATTTCTTTAAGAATAATTTATAGCATGCAACATGTAATATTTCTTTCCTTTCAAACTGCTTTCTATTATATGCTTAGGGTTTAGATCGCTCCAATTCCTGGGTTAACACTGGTGGTCCAAAAGCTGCCCCATGGGGATCCAACCCCAGTCCAAGTGCAGAATCAACACAGGTGGTGTTTATATTAGAGGTTTCTTTATTGGCTGCTGATGTTTCCCTTTAGAACATTACTTTTTAGTATATACTATGATTTCAGTGGCTTGCTTTTTTTAATCATTAAAAAGTGTGTATTTTTGTTTACTTAGCACATTTTCCAACTACTATGCATGAGTACCACCAATTGCACCAGTAATGTTCTTCTTTCCTATTTCCTATCTCTGTCTTCTTTCTTCCTTACACACCCTATCAATATTTCAGTGCCTGCTGCTTATGCAATTGATGGCTTTTATAACAGTTTCTTCTTTAGGGGTAGCACGTCTTTAATAGCAATTTTTAAATTTTTTACGTGGAGGAAAAAACCCAACAGTTTTCTATTTGCTTTTGGTTTAAAGTGTAACTATTGTATCATTTTCATTTAACATTTACTATCTTGTTATTTTCTTCCTAATCACCGAATAGAAAGACTGGCAATAAGTTGAAATTGAATGTGAACAGTATATGATCCCCGTGCTATAAGACTCAATACCAGAAGCAAAAATCCATTTTAATTTGTACTGTGTTGCAAAGTATGAAATTTGTTATACCTTAGCTGAATTAGGTTTTGCTTACTTAAGACTAGTTGCTTGATAGCTAATACTGCATGATATCTCAAAATATACTTCTCATCTGTGTTGGCTTTGGAGGGAAATCCTGTTCCTAAATAAAATTTTTAATTCCATTTCTAATATTGTAAATGATTTATATTTGATTTAGTATATGACAAACCTGAATAGTAGTTTTTGATAATAATGAAAAAGTGAAAGAAATTATTCTAAACTTTTTCTTTTCTTTAATATAAAGTTACTGATTTCTTTTTTGGTCTGAGACCAGTTGAGAAGTATGTTTTTACTTTTTATATATTTTTACTAGATATGTGCATGTATATAGATCACACAGATAAAAGTTTCATTCTTTGCAACACTCTGAATATTATATAATCACTGAAATACTCATCATTTTTTAAAGACCAAAAATATATAGAAGCCATTTTGATACTACTTATGCATTGTCATTAAAGCAGCTTAACATGGTGAAAATGAGATGAGCAATAAAATAGATGGTTTTTGAAACCATAATAAAACTCTGTTTTAAACTTGTACATAATCCATCAGCTGCAAAGTCATCCACTGCAAACGTTAATGTTATCTCGTCATTCATTCATCTTCACTCCATAGGCTATGGATCGAAGTTGTAATCGTATGTCTTCGCACACAGAGACGTCAAGTTTCTTACAAACATTAACGGGACGCTTACCAACTAAAAAGGTAGATTCATATGAAGACAATTCATAGAGGGGGAAAATAATTTCACCAATTAAATAGATGTAAGATTTCTTTACATAACCAGTATGAGATACTTACAGTAATTGCATTGTGCTTAAAAATATATCTGAACAAGCATTGCTTGTCTGATGCCTTTTGGGGCATATCTTGTCAATGTATACTTTTTTACATTATGATAATGTTTATATCTTTGGGATTGACTATTTTTAGGATTTAGTGAATTCAAATTTGATCATCAAATTTTAGTACCAAAAAAATGTATCAACTCTTAATTCTGTTTCTGTAACTGCTTCTGTTTTGTGTTTTAAATCTCCAGGGAAAGGAAGATGAGTTAGAAAAATTGTCACTCTTAGTAAGATATGTTGATTTGCTTCCCTTATGCACAGTTTTGTTAGTCCTTTTTCATATTAATATACACTACTTTGCAAATGCTTTGTATGCATATCCATTATAAGGCAGAAATCTTCTGCTATTTTTTTTTAAAAAGACCTTACCTGAAAACTTGAAAATTAATGGCTCATAGCAAAGTTTAAATTTTAAAATGTATTTCCTAAATTGTACCAGCAAAGTTCATGCATGTATTTGCGTATGTTTAAAAATGTACTTAAGATACAAACAAAATATTACTGTACTATAAGTTTTTAGTCTAGTTTCTGTTTGCAGGTACAATTTAGGAGGCTATCTTCTACCTGTCCTTTTAAAATTACATTTTACTGCAAGATAACATGTAATTTTTTCAGCTGTTCCACATACCACTGTCTTACATACATAAATAGCCGTTTCGTTAATGGGTGTCTTCAGTGCATCATTGAATGGTTCACGTGCCTTATTTTGCTTATTCTCATTATATCTTCGTTTGTATTTGCATTATGATTTGGTTTATGTTATCAGCAGATTTGACTTTGATAATAACTTTGGATTTACTTCTGGATAGCTTTTTCACGAGGAGCTGGCTTTGCAGTGGGTTGTTTGCAGTGGCAGCGTTCGGGAATCAGCTTTGCAACAAGCCTGGTTCTTTTTTGAATTAATGGTGAGCAAAAACTGAGCATGTTCTTTAATATTTTTTCTCTTAGTGAACAATTTTATGCTAGCTCATTTGTTACCTTAGAAATCTTTTTCTGTTGCACATCTTAACGCTTTTCCATGTGCCTCTAAGACAAAATTACATGTGTTACATCTCTAAATAAACACTGTGGACACTCAACACAGTTTAGGTGGAATTAAGAGTGAGGCTCATTTTAACTCTTATTTTCTCAGGGATGGTTGCATAAGCTAGCTATATTTTCAAAGGAAACTTGTGATACATTCTTTGCTAGTCATTATACATGAAGTGTATAATGACAGTATTGTAGATTTTATACCAAAGATGGAAAGAGCTTTATAGATACCCACTGCTATTGTTATGGCTAGTAAACCCTTAGGGAAATGCCAGTTACAATCAATAAAAAAACAACAGTACTGGCTGGGTGCAGTGGCTCACACCTGTAATCTCAGCACTTTAGAAGGCCGAGGCAGGAGGATCACTTGAGATCAGGAGTTTGAGACCAGCCTGGGCAACATAGCAAGAGCCCATATCTACCAAAAAAATTTTTTTTTAAATTAGCTAAACCTGGTGGCACAAACCTGTAGTTCCATCTACTTGGAAGGCTGAGGAGGGAGGCTTGCTTGAGCCCAGAAGTTCAAGGCTGCAGTCAGCTATGATCACCACTGCACTCCGCATGGATAACAGAGCAAGATCCTGTCTCTTTAAATTTTTTAAGTACTTTTTGCTTAATCAAATAAGTGACACTTTTAAAATGAGTGAATTAATATTTCAATTAATAAATACATATATATGAACAGTTGACCCTTGAACAACTTGGGGTTTAGGGGAACCGACTCCCCCACACAGTCAAAATCTGCATATAACTTCTGACTCACCTAAAACTTAACTACTAATAGCCTACTGCTGACCAGATGCCTTACTGGTAACATAATCATATTTTGTATGTTATTCATATTATATACTGTGTTCTTAGAATAAGCTAGCGAAAAGAAAATGTTATTAAGAAAATTATAAGGAAGTTAAAATATATTTGCTCTTCATTAATTGGAAGTGGATCATCATAAATGTCTCCATCCTCATTGTCTTCACATTGAATAGGCTGAAGAGGAGGGGTTGGTTTTGCTGTCTCAGGAGTGGCAGAGGTGGGAGAAAACCTACATATAAGTGGACTCATGCAGTTCAAACCCATGCTGTTCAAGGGTCACCTGTACATATAAACTTGTATATGTAAACACACACATATGTAAACAAAGGCAACAAACATTACAAACATTTATCAAGTGGGCACAATATGCCAGTACTGCCCTGTGGCCTAGGTATTACTAAGGCACAGAGAAGTTAAGTAACTTGTCTTAGAATGCACAGCTTGTAGGTAGCAGGACTGTAATTAAAACTCAGGCATTTCAGCACTTGGGACCGTCTTCTTCACCTTCGTCTTCAGCCTCTATAAAGCTGAAATCACTGAAACTTTTTCTTCCAAAAAAGAAGTATGTAAAAAAATATAAAACAAAACAACAAAAAAGAGAAAAGGATCTTCCAGAGTATGTCATAGGGTGGTCCTCAGCATTGAATGTTACCTATATTATGGGTAAGAAAACATTTCTTCTAGAGATTTAATAATCTACAGAAAAAATAAATCAGGGACTATATATAAGTGACAATTCATTTTTTTCCTAGAAAATAAACCTTAAATTCGTAATTCATGTACATCTCTGCTCCTGTAAGGTAAAAATTGTAATTTTCACCGTTTTTTAGTAGTCTTACATATATGTTCAGGTTTCTAAAATACAAAATAGTCAAAAGACTGCAATTTAAAACTTGGCTGTGCTCTATATTAAGTTTAGGACTTTAGCTTCAATTTCCCTGAATTTAAAGTTTAAAATTCTTTGTTACCATTACCACAGTGTTATAATAAAGAATCTGCACAATATTCAGTACAAATACAATACAATATAGTCCTCATATTTATTGTATTCCCACTATATGCTATCATCTGTGTATTAGCTACTGAGGACACTATAGTGAAGACAGGGTTTCTAACCTTTCAAAGCTTAGAATTTGGGAGCTTTGGAATGGCAAAATTATTGAGTCTTGGAAAAATTTAATTAAACTTTTTTTGGCTGGATGTGATAGATTACATGCCTGTAATCCCAACATTTTGAGAGGCCGAGGCAGAGGAAACACTTGAGGCCAGGAGTTTGAGACCAGCCTGGGCAACACAGCCAGACCCTGTCTCTATAAAATTTTTAAAATTAGCTGGGCATGGTAGTGTGCACCTGTAGTCCTAGCTACTCAGGAGGCTGAGGCAGGCAAATCACATGAGCCCAGGAGTTGGAGGCTGCAGTGAGCTGTGATCATGCCACTGTACTCCAGCCTGTGTGACAGAGTGAGACCCTGTTTTTTTATTGGAAAAAAAAAAAAAATTTAAAGGTTGAAATTTTTTTTTGTTGACATACACAGAATTTTTTTGTCCTATTGTTAGCTAGCATAATTTTCTGAAAGTAATATGGTGGTTTTTTTATTTTATTTTAAGCAAATACAAAACATTGTAGGGAACTTTAAAAAATATTTGAGAAGCTAAAAATATTTCAGTCATCTATTAAATTACATGCCATATTTTAAAAATAGTCCAAGTGTTTAGAGTTGTTGTAATTGTTAAATATATTCATAGGAAATTAATAATTTATATCTTTTTTTCAGGTAAAGAGCATGGTGCACCATTTATACTTTAATGATAAACTTGAGGCTCCAAGGAAAAGTCGTTTTCCAGAACGTTTCATGGATGACATTGCAGCTCTTGTCAGCACGATTGCTAGTGATATAGTTTCACGATTTCAGAAGGTAATGATAACTTTTTCCCCACTTATCTCTCTTTCAAGCTCAGATTAAGCTATCATACTTTAATTTGTTTTTGTTTTATATTCTGTTTCACAGGACACAGAAATGGTTGAGAGACTCAATACAAGCCTTGCATTCTTTCTCAATGATCTGTTGTCTGTTATGGACAGAGGATTTGTTTTTAGCCTTATAAAGTCCTGCTATAAACAGGTAATGCATAGTTAGGAATAATTAGTAATCAAATAATTTAAATACTATGTTAGTTCTTTTCAAAGTTAGAGCTAAGAGACCTTAAGAGCACATTTATATACTGATGTTAAAACAAAAAGTAGCCAAAGTAACATATTTTTATTAGCAAGGCAAAAGTAAATTACACATGTTTTATCAGGACACAAGGACTGTGGCAAGCTGTTATCAGTACAGCCAGTATTTCCTTGAGTTATACTGGCCTACTCATGACTCTTTAATCCTCATTCTGGATCATACTATCAAGTCAGTAGTAATGTAAAGCAGTCTCAAGATGTCATGCAAGTGGAGCATTTATACCGAGTGGACTTCTGTATCTTGAGTGATTTTTAAAGCAACTGCATTTTGCTGGGTATTCCTCCTAATCCAGCCCTGGACATTGTAGAGTTTGGAATTATGGATGTTTACCCATTTGCCATATGTTCATTATCTTGACTTTACGAAATTAAAAGCATCCTGGAACTTTTCCAAACATAGCTGATTTTGTTTTAAAATTTTTATCAACTGATTAGTGAAGTCTGCCTTCTAGAAAACATTAGTTATTGGTTCTGCTGGGCCACTTTGGTAGTAAACTGTATAAGCCTTTCAGAATTACCTTTTAAAGGAGCTTTAAAAATATACATATTTCTGAGTCCCATCCCAGAATTATTGAGAAGTTCAAACTTATGGTGGTGGGGATGAGGAGCACACAGTGCTTGTGAAGCACCTCACAACTGGTCTACAGATTAGTTTTAGGGAACTAATAGTCCAGAATTCTATTTGGCAGTCTAATATTTAGAATTTTGAATATTCTATTGGATGCCTTTATTGTTTATTTCTTCTAATAGAAAAGTTAAAACTATGCATGGGCACTCACCCACATGGAAATACTTGCAACACGATATGTATCATTTTTACCTTTCCCCCAAAACTTTATGTACTATTGCTACCAGAACTTGTCCTGTCTTTATTCTTTAAGCATTGATCTCCTATATTTGTCAAACATTGAGCTAAGCTGTAGGGACACTAAAGCTGTTAAATCAGTTTATAGTATGTCTCCTCAAGTAGCTTATGATGTTGCTGAGAAAACAGACAAATTATAAATACAGGTAAGCACAAAGTGCTATAAAAAGAATTGATAATTTCTTTTAAGAAGGAAGTAATAAGAAGTTATTTTTGGTGATATACGTTTTCCCTGTTTTATGAGAAGTAGAAATATTGATGCTATATTGGAAATACAAGAATGTGGCTTTTAGGTTAGTCAAATATGTTTATACAGTAAACCTGATAGTTTAAAATTTTTAATTTTAGCAGTAACTCTGGAAAAAGGTGATACTGCTACTTAAGCCACAAAACCCAAACTGGATACCAAGTACTATCTCTTTAATTCTAATTTGCCATTCTGGTATTAGTATTAAAGAAATAATAGATTCAATTGGTGTTCTCTTACTTATGCATTGCTTACAAGGTGTCTTCAAAGCTTTACTCATTACCGAATCCCAGTGTTCTGGTGTCCTTGAGGCTGGATTTTCTACGAATCATCTGCAGTCATGAGCACTATGTTACATTAAACTTACCCTGCAGCTTACTTACTCCACCTGCATCTCCATCACCTTCTGTTTCTTCTGCAACATCTCAGGTATGCAAATTGTGTGAATATACATATATTTAAAGTCACTTTTGTGAAGAATAGTTTTAAACAATGGAAAAAATAACACTTATTGAATAACAGCTGTATGATAGGCTCAGTTCTTAGTGCTTTGTAAGTATTAAAAGTCATTTAATCCTCAGAATAACTCTAAAAAGGCAAGTTCTGTTATTATACCCATTTTGCAGGTTAGAAAAACAGAAACACAGAAAGGTCACTGAGTAAAAAGTGGCAGAGCCAGGTTTTGAACCAAGGCTTTATTTTAGAGCCCAAGTTCTTTTTTTTTTTTTTTTTTTGAGACAGAGTCTTGCTGTTTCTCCCAGGCTGGAGTGCAGTGGTGCGATCTCGGCTCACTGCAACTTCCGCCTCTGGGGTTCAAGCGATTCTCCTGCTTCAGCCTCCTGAGTAGCTGGGACTACAGACGTGCGCCACTATGCCCAGCTAATTTTTGTATTTTTAGTAGAGACGGGGTTTCACCATGTTGGTTGTCCAGGATGGTCTCAATCTCTTGACCTCTTGATCTGCCGGCCTCGGCCTCTCAAAAGTGCTGGGATTACAGGCATGAACCACCGCTCCCGGCCGAGCCCAAGTTCTTAACCACTGTTTTATATTCCTTTCATAGACTTAATGCACATGTGAATGAATTCACCTAAATAAACTTACTAATTAAGATGTTTTCACAAATTGAGTTCTCTTGAAGCAGACACCAAGAATGAGTTTCAAATGCAAGATGTGTTTTAGAGATCAATACCTGTGAAAGGAAGTGGGGGATGAAGCATAATTGAACAGAGAAAGAAGTCAAACTGCAGTGGAGGCATGACAAAGCCCTGCTTAACTCTCTTGTATCCAGAAACCCCAAAGGAAACCAGATGAAAATTGATGGGTTTTTCAGTGGGTGGCACTTGACTTCAACAGCTAGTAGGTTCTCTGTAGATGAAAAAGTGTTATTGTAGCAGTTAATATGTATGTCCTCTTTTATAAATTGAGATGAAGAGATTTTGTGGTTTTAGTATCAGAGAAGCCTATATTTTCCTTTGTCCAGTGAAATACTCGTTCTACTGTATTATTCCTGAGGCAAGGAGGCTACTTTTTTTAAGCTCTTAATTTCTAAAGTGAAAGTTAGTTAATCTTAATACTTCTTAATTTTGTTTTCAATATATTTAATTCCTGAATAGGATTCTGTAGGTGATATCTCATATGCGTGATTTAAAAAACAAAATTTAAACTTCAGCTAGAAAGACTAGAAAACATCAAAGAGTACCCACAACTTTTCATTTTATCTCTGTAAAAAAATCTTCTGGATCAGCCTATTTTTCCACAAACTCTTCAGTCTGGCTAGCATGCCCTTAATCTAATGGATGAGGCTGGCCTTTTTCTTTCTTTCCCTGTCCTCTGCCAAAGATGTAGCTACACAAAGACAGATTAATCATAAATATGGTTGCTAACACCCTTAAGGAAACATATTTGTTTATATCTAATTCCTTACTGAACATCTCTTTCAGCCAGGAAATGCTCATAGAATTTCTTCTGTTATCTTGTTGCCCACTTTCTCAGCTAGCTATGTAATTTTCAGATTCTTTCAGATAACAGAGACATCACTCTTTTTTGAAAGGCTAAGAAGAGTTTTATATTCTTATTAGGAGAAGATTTCGCCATAGAGAAATGTGAAATCTATTGTTGCACTAAGAAACCCCACATGAGTCCTGAATATGGACTGTATCTTGGAGAATGCTATAATATTTTGAAGTATTAAGATGTTAAAAAAAAAACTCAGACAACAAAATGATGGTAATTTTCCAGAGATAGTATATTCTGTGAAAAACAATTGTACTGGTGTTTCGAATTTCTCTGGAAACCAATAGCCTTGACTATGAATATTTCTCTTGTACTTTGGGGTAAGTGCATACTATGTCATTTGGATTTAGTTGCTTCTTTTTTCCATCAGAGTGTGGTATTGAAAAGTGGCTAAGAGAATAAAGGGGAAAATATGTAGGAAAGTATATGTGAAAAAAGAAATGTAAAATAATTAAATTTTCAATGATTAATTTCTATAATAAAGTAATTAACTTAATAAAGCAATCTCATCATAGTTTCCTGTCCCAAAAGTCTGAAAAGTTGCTTTGTCTTCAGTGTTAGTAATATAAAATAAACTACCCTGGGAAAAAGTATTTCATTTCTTATATTGCTCTGTCTGTAGGATGCTTTGTTGCACTGCTGTTATAGTCTTGTTCTGCCTCACTTTCCAACAGAGTTCTGGATTTTCTACGAATGTACAAGACCAAAAGATTGCAAATATGTTTGAATTATCCGTGCCTTTCCGCCAACAGCATTATTTGGCAGGACTTGTGTTAACAGAGCTGGCTGTCATTTTAGACCCTGATGCTGAAGGGTGAGTACACTAGTTTTTACCTTGTAGAATATGAGTTTGATTTTGAACAGTGGACAGAAGTATTCCACTCACATTTCCTGAGGATTAGGAGAATAATCTTTCACACTCTTTTTCTACTTCCCTCTTCACTAAGTTTCTCACTTATATTATTTATCTGTTTAATCAGTTTTATGAAAGACTTTTTCTCATATTTTGTCACCTCTGAATTTGGGATTTGTCTTAAAATTGGTGGCGTATCATAATTCATTTAGTAGTGTTCTTTTTCTTCTTAATAATATATAAAATAAATTATGCATATTAGTAGATAGATTTTTTGATGTAAAGTAAATGCTTGTCATTTGAGGAAAATGGTCTTTTATTTGATTCCTTGTCAGGAAAATTTATCTTTTTTTGTGTGTTTGTTTGAGGCAGAGTCTTGCTCTGTCACCCGGGCTGGAGTGCAGTGGCAGGATCTCAGCTCACTGCAACCTCTGCCTTCTGGGTTCAAGCAATTCTCCTGCCTCAGCCTCCCAAAGCTGGGACTACAGGCACACGTCACCACACCCAGCTAATTTTTCTTTTTGTAGTAGAGATGGGGTTTCACCATGTTGTCCAGGCTGGTCTCAAACTCCTGACCTCAAGTGATCACCACCTCAGCCTCCCAAAGTGCTGGGATTACAGGTGTGAGCCACTGCACCTGGCCAAAAATTTATAATTTGCCATCATACTATGTAGCATTTTATTTCAAAAATTGCCCTATAAACAAATATCTTTAGGTTTTAAAAACTTCCAAAGTTGTGTACATTATTAAAGGATGTTTGGAAATTGATGTAGTTAGAAAAGTATATTGTCTGATGATGTGATTTTTGTTTGTTTGTTTGTTTTGTTTTTTTGAGAATAGGTCTCACTCTGTCACCCTCACCCAGGGTGGACAACAGTGGCATGATTTCAGCCTGCTGTAACCTCTGCCTCCCAGGCTCAAGCAATTCTTCTGCCTCAGCCTTCTGAGTAGTTGGGACTACAGGCGCGTGCCACCACTCCCGGCTAATTTTTGTAATTTTAGTAGAAATGGGGTTTTGCCATGTTGGCCAGGCTGGTCTCCCAACTCCTGGCCTCGAGTGATCAGCCCGCCTCGGCCTCCCAGCATGCTAGGATTACAGGCGTGAGCCACTGCACCGACCTAATGATTTGAATTTATAGAAGTAGCTTAATGTAGCCAGGTGCAGTGGCTCACACCTGTAATCCCAGCACTTTGGGATGCTGAGACAGTCAGATCACTTGAGGTCAGGAGTTCGAGACCAGCCTGGCTGACATGGTGAAACTCCATCTCTACTAAAAATATCAAACATTAGCCACACATGGTGGCTCATGTCTGTAATCCCAGCTGCTCGGGAGGCTGGAGCATGAGAACTGCTTGAATCCGGGAGGCAGAGGTTGCAGTAAGCCAAGATCACACCACTGCACTCCATCCTGGGTGATAGAGCAAGACTTCATCTCAAAAAAAAAAAAGCTTGATGTGTTGTGGTCCAGCATCCCATATGAGGTATGTCCATCTTAATAGTATGACCATAACTCATTTGGGTGATAATGGCTTAAAATTTTTTTTTTGTAGTAGGAATAATCCAAGTTTATAATGCAGTTTAGCCTCATGCAAGAACGAAAAGAGATACTTTAAATAGGTTTTTACAAGGTTCTGCTGATATATTTATTGAATGAATAAAAGAGGAGGTATGTCAAGTTCTTAGCAGTATGTCAGGGGCATAGTCAATACCGAATAAATTGTGAAAGGCCAGATCTGCAAGTGAAAGACATGTGTTTTTTATAATGGCAACTTCCTAAGTTTGGAATCTATTTTAAAGAAGTAGTTTTTCACCCTGTGTTCTAAACAGAACTGTAGGGTCCTGAAGAGGTGCTTAATGGGTTTCTGTGTAGATTGGGGTGGGCAGTGTGTGTGCAGACTTTGGAGTATAGAGAGGGCAAACTAAATGGGTGAAACTCTGGGCCTTCCACCCCTGCTTGGCGCCACTTTTGTATTTTGCCATTTGACAAATGACTGTGATGTCATTAAAAAAAATAAATAAAGGAATCTGTTATTTGGGGAAAAAACACTCTAAAAACAACTTACCTAAACATACTAGCTTTTTAAAATAACTGGTATAGCTCACTCATTTGAATCTGTATTTTCAATATTTTTACTTGGTATGTGAACCTGTTTTTGGTTACAATAAATAGAAAATTCTTCCTCCAGCTGGCTTTATTAAAGGAAGGAAATTTACTATTTCAAAATTGGAAGAAAGATAGGATTTTTATTATTTATTATTTATTATTTTTGGTTTTAAGGAGCAGAAAGTTTAATAGGCAAGAAAGAGGAAAGAAATAAGAAAACGGCTGCCTGATATAGAGGGAGGGGGGGCTCCGAACGGATAAACCCCCAGAAAGATAGGTTTTTAGCACAGTAATATCATCAGCTCAGTGATACCATCATGATTCCAGTTCTTTACATTTCTTACCTCTGCTAGAAGTGTCAGCTTTATCCTAAGGCTGGAGCCTCTCATGACTGCAAGATAGTCTTGCATATAGTTGCCATATATAGGTTCTTAAGGCCCTGTGTATCTGGCTCTTGTCTACTCCTGCCACTCTCTTCCTCCTCATATACTAAGATCTAGCCATGCTGGCCTACTTTCTGTTTCTCTAATGCACCAAGCTCATTCCCACCTTCAGGCCTTTGCACTTGGATTTTTCTCCTCTTGAAGCAATGTTGAACAGCCCTCAGATGTTCACATAGTCATTTCTTGCTTGTGGTTCTTCAGGTATCTGTTCAAACAGCATCTTCTCAGTGAGATTTTCATTGACCACCTAACCTAAATTACAGCCATATTGGCCAGGCACAGAGGCTCATGCCTGTAATCCCAACACTTTGCGAGGCTGAGGCAGGAGGACTGCTTGAGTCCAGGAGTTCAACACCAGCCTAGGCAACATAGTGAGACCCTGTCTGTACCAAAAAAATTTTTTTAATTAGCCGTACATGGTGGTGCATACCTATAGTCCCAGCTACTCAGGAGGCTGAGGAGGGAGGATCACTTAAGTCCAAGAGGTCAAGGCTGCAATGATCACACCACTGTATTCCAGCCTGGGTGACAGAGTGAGACCCTGTCTCAAGAAAATTAAATAAATAAATAGGCCTGGCATGGTGGCTCACACCTACAATCTCAGCACTTTGGGAGGCTGAGATGGGTGGATCACTTGAGGTCAGGAGTTTGAGACCAGCCTGGCCAACATAGTAAAACCCCATCTCTACTAAAAATACAAAAATTACTTGGGCATGGTGGTGCTTGCCTCTAATCCCAGCTACTCGGGAGGCTGAGGCATGAGAATCACTTGAAGCTGGGAGGCGGAGGTTACAGTGAGCCAACATCACGCCACAGCCTAGACAACAGAGCAAGACTCTGTCTCATAAATAACAGCCATGTTGTCCTTGTCACAATCATTCTCAGCCATGTAACCCTGTTTTAGTTTCTACAAGGCACTTATCTGAAATTTGCTTGTTTATGATCTGTCCTCTCCCAGTAGAATGTGAGCATGTGAGAGCATGAGAACAGGCACCTTGTCTTTCTTGTTCAGTGCTGTATTCCCAGTGCCTTAGTATTATGTCTGGCACAAAGTGGACACTTGCTAATGTATGTTAATTTGATGAATGAAGGATTAACTGTAAGAAACTCATATCTCATCTTTAAATTTTACTGTCTTGGGAGGTATATAGATTATATGCAGCATTGTCTTGGAGAGATCCTTGAGAGGAATGTTTGTCTTTTAATCCACATGCTTGCTACGTAATCAAGAATAATTCCTTAAGTGGCAATAATATGTTCTATAATTAATGAAAGATTTGCTCTTTAGAAACTTTCATTGTAATTAGAAAGTTAAGACTGCAAAACAGTACACTATGATTAAATGTTAGTTTTGTAGTACATGGTTCTTTAGAAGATGAGAGGATTTATGTTCCTTAATTGTAGCATTTATAAAGAATTGAAGAATTATTTGAAGTATTGAAGAATTATTATGTTTGTGTCCGTGTTTCTCTCTTGCTAAAGTGAGCCACTTAAAAATGGGGAATGTCTTTATCTTCAACATCTAGAATAGGATATTACAGATCTTGTATTAATATATATTTAATAACAATGGGATTGAGCAATGTAAGCATATGAAAAGGCTTTATGAAGACAAGTGGATAGAGTTTATATAGATTGGAGTATGAGTATGGTAGCTGCTGAGAGATAAGGCATACCTTTGGCAAACATTAGTGCTGATACAGAAAGTCAAAGAGGAGAACGTGAAAAGCAATTGGCGAGAATCTAAGCCTTGAGAATAATGATGAGGAATCTGGGGAAGGTGGGAACTACTGGAGAAAATCCTGAGAAGAGAATATATAAGGTGACAAAGTGTCAAGTGGAGCTGGAGAATGAGATCTGAGATAGGTTCACTAGATGTGGTTCTTGACAATGTTTAAATGTATACTTTCCACCCACCGACCCTCCCTATACCCACTAGTCAGTAAAAGGGAAACATTATTGAGGCCCCAGGGCCATGGGGCTTGGGCAGGAGGCCACCCAGTGGGAGAAGGAGGAGCCAGGGGAGGTGTCTTATTTGACCTTCTTTTGGGGGCACAGCATGTTTTGTGGCTGTACTTCTTGCGGCAGTTACGGCACAGGGATGCAGGTGAGCATAACCCTTGAGGCAGATCATCTTGTCGCAGTTGTGTTTCTGAGCGAGCTGGTGCAGGCAAGGCCCATTGGTGCCACCTCACGGGCAAAGCACCAAGTGCAGGCAGACTCTTTCTGGATGTTGTAGTCTGAGTGTGTGGCCATCTCTCAGCTGTTTGCTTTCATGTGTTTTAAGCCTCTATAAAAGTATACTTTATGATTAAAGAGCTGGAAGAAAGAAGAAAGAATCTCCATCTAGATTTCACATACAGCTTTGTAAAATGGCAGATACAATCAAGGGCTCTGGGAGAAGACTACCTGTTTTCTAATCTCAACTTTTTAAAGTGATGATGTATTTTCAAGATAGGAAAGGCATATTTGAAGAAAGAAGGGAAGAACCTAATGAGGGGAGACATTGAAGCTGTTGAAAAAAGACAGGGTTCATTGAACATATGAAGAAATTATTTTCTGTGAGAAGGTACACTTTTTCTGAGACAAAAAGGAAAGACTCTTTGTGAGCTATAAAGATGGAATTGTGTTAAAAGACCTGGCCAGAGCAAATTCAGAATGGCTCTTCTTTCCTAAGTTGGAAGTAAGGTCTTCTGTTGTGATTGACAGTAAAAGGCTTAAGGAGAGAGAGTGAGATCTGAAACTGCTTAGTGGATGCAGCATTAAGGGCCAGTTAAAGTTGGAGTAGATGAATTTTAAATTAGAATGGTTTGCATAGTTAAAGTGCTGTCAGCTTAAGAAGAGACAAAAATGTTTAAGTGAAAGTGACCCTTGTTAGTGTATTAGCCCATTTGAAACTGAGGGGGATTGAGAGTCTAAAAAAGTTGTAAGGACCCAAATGAGGTATATTAGTAAAGAAGTGCAGTTTAAATAGAGATGTCAAAGGCAACCCCAGCCTGTGGGCTACATAATCCATTAGGTAGGGGATTTTTCTTTCCGAAAAAGGGAATAATTTATTTTTGGTAAATGTGAAAAGATCTGATTTGATGAAATAACAATTACAGCATTTTAAAATTTACCTTGTTTAGCTTCAAAATGTAACTATAAGTAGTCTTAGTTTCTTTATATTCAAATACACTAATAAGGAGTTAATGTAAAAATATTCAGATTTACTTCTAAGTGAATTTGTATAGCATTTCCTTTTCTTCAATTCTTATTTTACACATTTTTTACATTTTTATACATTTATTTTAAAATGAGAAATGTTTTATAGGAATGGAATGCATGCAAATATATGACAAAGGTAAGAAATTGAACAAAATTTATTCAATACCATGACTTACTGTTTGTTTTAAAGATGTTAGCTAATCTCTGTGGCCTTACTGCTTTTTCTTCTTTGTCTTCTTCTTTTTAAATAGACTGTTTGGATTGCATAAGAAAGTCATCAATATGGTACACAATTTACTCTCCAGTCACGACTCAGACCCGCGGTACTCTGACCCTCAGATAAAGGCTCGAGTGGCCATGTTGTATCTACCTCTGATTGGTATTATCATGGAAACTGTACCTCAGCTGTATGATTTTACAGGTACCTAGTATAATTAAGGCAAATATTAAAGGCAAAGCTCAATGTTTAAAAGTGTTAGAAAATATCTCAAGGATGAAGATCTTATTTTAGGAAAATAAGAATTGTGTGCTGATCAAAGTAAACTATAAATATTAAACTATATTGCCAGAAAACCTTTGACCGTGTGAGAGAATTCCGTATAAGATTGCTTTAAGTAGTTCTTATGATGAATTTAAAAATAATGATTTTATAGCAATTCTGTACCTACATTTTAGGAAATGTTTGTGTGAACATGCAGTATACATCTGAAAAAATACAAGAAAACTTGACAGATGTTTACCACCTCAGTTTTGACTTGATTCATATATATAAAATTGAAATGAATATTCACTTGAATATCAGGAATTGTGTTTATTGCTAACACCAGGTTAATAAGTTGAAGTGGTATTACTTCTTCAAAACTAGAACCTACAGAGTTTTATTGCTCTTGCTTTCCATATTTAGAATTTACTTAAATACAGAATTTAGTTTGCAACAATATTTTCTTTAGGGCAAATGAGGGAATTTAAACCAGCAATTAGCCCGATAGCTTCCAGTTCAGTAAAACAGAAACATTTCCTGAGTATCTAATGTGTATTAAGAACTTTGACAGGTGCTGGTGTTGCAAAGATAACCAGCTATTTGCCTTAAGAGACTGATTGTTGAGCAGTCTTTCAAGTATTTTGATCACTAAAATGAATTTCCTTACCTGAAGGCAGAAATGTTTATATTCTTACATCTTCTGACTAGCAAGTTAATGTTCTCTGTAAACTATAAATTATTACCATAGCAATGAGTTACTGTTAAAGATATTTAAAATATTATCCAAAAGAAGTAAATCTAATAACTATAACATGTCAACAAGTTATTCTTTTAAAGAATAGTGGAGAATAGGAAAGGGAATTAGTTCAGCTAAACAGTTTTATTTATTTTTTTGGATTATTTTTCTTTAGAAACTCACAATCAACGAGGAAGACCAATTTGTATAGCCACTGATGATTATGAAAGTGAGAGCGGAAGTATGATAAGCCAGACCGTTGCCATGGCAATCGCAGGGACATCGGTCCCTCAACTAACAAGGCCTGGCAGTTTCCTCCTCACGTCAACGGTAAAAACAATCCTCCTACAGAATTTTTTTTTCTAGAAAGACAAATATTTACTAGGATATGCCCTTAAATATATGAGATGATTGTATCAGCTGATGCAAAAGTGCTCAGTTTTATTTATGAAAATATTAAAGTTCCCAGAATATTAACTGTCTTCTCCCAAACAGTTTTAAAAAATGATTACCTCAAGGTTTATGGGAAAAAGCCCCGTATTCTGTCATTCAGAATTTGGAAAATTGCCTCATTATAGATAGTTCATTTCTTTTTTTTTTTTTTTTATACTTTAAGTTTTAGGGTACATGTGCACAACATGCAGGTTAGTTACATATGTATACATGTGCCATGTTGGTGTGCTGCACCCAGTAACTCGTCATTTAACATTAGGTATATCTCCAAATGCTATCCCTCCCCCTCCCCCCACCCCACAACAGGCCCCGGTATGTGATGTTCCCCTTCCTGTGTCCATGTGTTCTCATTGTTCAATTCCCACCTATGAGTGAGAACATGCGGTGTTTGGTTTTTTGTCCTTGCAATAGTTTGCTGAGAATGATGGTTTCCAGCTTCGTCCATGTCCCTACGTCCATGTCCCTACAAAGGACATGAACTCATCATTTTTTATGGCTGCATAGTATTCCATGGTGTATATGTGCCACGTTTTCTTAATCCAGTCTATCATTGTTGGACATTTGGGTTGGTTCCAAGTCTTTGCTATTGTGAATAGTGCCACAATAAACATACGTGTGCATGTGTCTTTACAGCAGCATGATTTATAATCCTTTGGAATAGTTCATTTCTTTATTTTTTTAAACCTGTTTTATTCTTTGTCAGCCCTAAGAAAGATTCTCAGTCATTTGAGGGTTTTTTTAATCTGTGAATATTTATACTTTTTTATGTTTTGAAAACACTTGATATTTACTATGCCCCTGAACTTTTCCCCTCTTAAAGGCAGAAGGATCAGGGCAGGAAGGAACCAAATTGCCAATAGAGCAAGATCAAGTTCTAAAAGTTTTAAATGACATTTTTTTCCAGAAAAATGCAGTAATATTTAAGGAAACTTGACAATTTTATAGCTTTATTAAGATTATTTACATATCAAAAAATTCACCTATTGTGAGTATATATACCTTAATGGTTTTTAGTATATTTACGGAGTTGCGCAGGTATCACCACAAGCTAATTTTAGAACATTTCCAATACGCTGAAAAGATTCCTTATACCTATTAGCAGTCGTTCCTACCCCAGCACTAGAGAGTGACTAACCTACTTCTATCTATAGAATTGCCTATTCTGGACATTTTATATAAATGAAATTATTTACTATATGATCTTTTGTGTTTGTATTCTTTCACTAAGCATAAGTTTTTGAGGTTCATCCATGTCGTGTATGTATCAATACTTCTTTCCTTTTTTATTGCCAAATAGTATTCCATTGTATTGATACACCAAAGTTTGTTTATCCATTTGTCAGTTGATGAACAGCTGTATCATTTCCACTTTGGGGCTGTTAAGAATAATGCTGCCACGAACATTTATGTACAAGTCTGTGTCCACATATGTTTTCATCTCTCTTAGGTAGATACCTAAGAGTGGATTTGCTGGATCATATGGTACTTCTATGTTTAACATTTTTAGAGACTTCTAAACTCTTTTTTTTTTTCTAATGTGGCTGTACTGTTTTTCATTCTCATCAGCAATGAATAAGAATTTCTGTTCTCCAAATCCTCATCAACACTTGTTATTATCTGTCTTTTTGATTAGGACACCTTTAGTGATTGTAAATTGGAACTTCACTGTAGTTTTGATTTGCATTTCCCTAACAACCTACAGATGTTGAACATCTTTTTGTGTGCTTATTGGCACATTGTTTTGTATATCTCCTTTGGAGAAAAGTCTATTCAAATCTTTTGTCATTGGTCAGACACAGTGGCACACACCTGTAATTCCAGAAATTTAGGAGACTGAGGTGGGAGGATTGCTTGAGCTCAGGAGTTTGAGACCAGCCTGGGGGACATGACAAAACTCTGTTTCTATCCAAAACCACAAAAAATAGCCGGGCGTGGTGGCATGTGCCTACTGTAGTCCCAGCTACCTGGGAAGCTAAGGTGGGAGGATTGTTTGAGCCTGGGAGGTGGAGGTTGCAGTGAGCCAGGATTGTGCCATTGCACTCCAGCCTGCACAACAGAGCAAGACCCTGTCTCAAAAGAAAAAAAAGGTTGCTATTTTAAGATTTCTTAAGAGTTCTTTATGTATTCTGGATTTGTAAAATAATCAGCTATCTGATTTACAAATACTTTCTCCCTTCCTATGGATTATCTTTTTACTTTCTTGATGGTGTCATTTGAAGTGTGAAAGTTTTTAATGAATTCCAGTGTAGCAAATTTTTTTTATCAATTGCACTTTTGGTGACATTCTACCTATAAAATAATACAATAAAGTGCATGTACAAAATGTAATAATAAAATAAACAGCAGCATATCCACTGCTCAGTTTAAGAAATCAGACATTACAGCCTGGTAACCTTTGAAGCTACCAGTGGCCTTCCTCAATTTGATCTCTCCCTCCCCTGGGAATGACCATTGTTCTCAATTGTATTAACCTTTTTATTTTTTTTAACTTTTCTTTTGTGAAGTATACTACATATGACAAAGTACATAAAACATAATGAGGTTTTAAAACATTAGAAAATAAACAGCTTTGTAATTACCACTCAGGTCAAAAACAAGGATGTTGGCTGCCATCCAGAAGTTCTTAGCATGCCCTTTCTCAACCACAGCAACCCACCAAACTCTCAGTGTCCTGATTGATGATATAATTGCATAATTTTGTTTAGAGTTTTACCATCTAGGCCAGGCATGGTGGCTCACGCCTGTAATCCCAGCACTTTGGGAGGCCAAGGTGGGCAGATCACTTGAAGTCAGGAGTTCGAGACCAACCTGGCCAACATGGTAAAACCTGATCTCTACTAAAAAATACAAAAAAATTAGCCAGACATGGTGGTGGGCGCCTGTAATCCCAGCTACTCAGGAGGCTAAGACAGGAGAATCACTTGAACCTGGGAGGTGGAGTTTGCAGTAAGCCTAGATCGCGCCACTGCACTCCAACCTGGGCAACAGAGCAAGACTCTATCTCAAAAAAATGTATAGATAGAGAGTTTTACCGTCTAAGTTTGCATTTTAAAAATATATAGTTTATAGTAATATATATATATATATATATATATAGTTTGGTTGGTTGGTTTTGTTTTGTTTTTTGAGACGGAGCCCTGCACTGTAGCCCAGGTAGGCTGGAGTGCAGTGGCACGATCTTGGCTCACTGCAACCTCTGCCTCCTAGGTTCAAGCGATTCTCTTGTCTCAGTCTCCCGAGTAGCTGGGATTACAGATGACTGCCATCATGCCTGGCTAATTTTTGTATTTTTAGTAGAGATGGGGTTTCACTATGTTGGCCAGGCTGGTCTCAAACTCCTGACCTCAGTTGATCCACCTGCCTCGGCCTCCCAAAGTGCTGGGATCATAGGTATGAGCCACCACGTCCTGCCAAAATACTGTAGTTTAGTTTTATATTATGTTTTTAGTATTCATTAATGTTATGAAATGTAGCTATAATTCACTGATTTTCATTTCAGTATGATATTCCATTGTCTAACTATAAATCAGTTTATTTGCCCATTCTGTTGATAGGTGCATGAATGGTTTCTGATCCTTGGTTATTGCAAATAACAATTTTGCAGACTTTCTTTTATATATATCCTGCATGCATATATATACTTTTATTTAGAGTATTTTCTAGAAGTGGAATTTGTTGGGTCATAGACTGTGGGTATCTTAATCTATACCAGGTAATGGCCAACTATTTTCCAGAGGGCGTACCTTAATTTATACTTAACACATACAATATGAGAGTTCTCATTCCTTCACATGTTCATCAATACTTAGAGAATTGTCAGATTTTTAAATTTTTGCCAATCTGGTCATTTATAGTTGAATCTCATTTTAGCTTGTATTTCCCCGAAGACTTGTGCGGTGTGCACTTTTCCATAAGTATGATTGACCATTTGGATTCTCTCTTTTGAAGTGTCTAGAGTTCTTTGCTTGTTTTCCATTTGGTTGTTTGCTTTTGTTTAATGATTTTTAGGACTTTGTATGTTCTAGATCAAGTCCATTGTCAGTTATAAGTGGTTCAAATATTTCTTCTCTGTGGCTTGCTGTTTTACCCATTTAATGGTGAATTTGGTGGTTAGAATGCCTAATTTTATTTTACTTTTTATTTATTTATTTATTTATCTTGGAGACAGAGTCTTGCTCTGTCACCCAGGCTGGAGTGCAATGGCACAATCTCGGCTCACTGCAAGCTCTGCCTCCCAGGTTCACACCATTCTACTGCCTCAGCCTCCTGAGTAGCTGGGACTATAGGCACCCGCCACCATGCCTGGCTAATTTTTTGTATTTTAGTAGAGATGGGGTTTCACCATGTTAGTCAGGATGGTCTCGATCTCCTGACCTCGTGATCTGCCCATCTCGACCTCTCAAAGTGCTGGCATTACAGGCGTGAGCCACTGTGCCCAGCCTAGAATGCCTGATTTTAATATACTTAAATTTAGTCTTGCAGCTAATATTTTCTATATCTTATTTAAGGAATTTTTTTCTGTTTCAGAATTTTGAAGGTATTCTGTGTTACATTCGAAATTTTTTGTTCTTCCTTTTACATTTAATTTTAAAATTAAAATCTACCTGAAATAGATTTTTTTATATACAGTGTAAGTTGGGAGTCCAGGTTCATTTATTTATTTATTTATATTGCATATTATGCCAGATTATTTCAGCACCGTTTATTAAAAGAATATTTTCCCTACATCTCTGAAATACTGCCTGTATATGGTCTACCATGTAGAGAAAGTCATACATTTTTAAAATTTTTCTTGGCTACTTTTTGGCCCTTTGTATATCTACATAAATTTGAAAATCAGCTTGTAAAGTTCCACTAAAATAAATAAACAAAAACCAATAAACCTGTTAAAATTTTAGTTAAGATTGTATTGAATTATGATTATACTATTGAATCTCGTAATTTTTGAACACAAATCCCCCCATTGTTTAGGCTGCCTTTAGTGTCTTTCAGTACATAAACTTTTTTAGTTTCTACCAAGGAGGACTAGCATATCTTTTGTAGATTTATTATTCGTGCTTGATATTTTTTAATGTTCCTATAAATGGTGTCTTTTTCAAAAATTCTGTTTTCTAACGTTGATTGCTTTATATGGAAATAGAATCAATTTTTGTACAGAAACAAAATACTCATTATCAAAAAAATTGATTTTTGTACAATGATTTTTATTTCCACAATATAAAATAAATGATAAAGTGATAAACTAATAACATATTTGTAGATTCTTTTTTTCTACACACAATCATATAATTTGTGAATAATAACAATGTAGTTTCTTCCTGTCAGTTTTTTTATATATGTAATTTATTGTACTGGCTAGTACCTCCAGTACAGTGTTGAATAGAAGTGGTGATGTTTGTATCTTTAAAGGTAAAACTTTCAACATTTCATTCTTAAACATATGTTCTGTATGTTTTGGGTTTTTTTTAAGATACCTTCCTTTATTGTGGAAGTCTCTTTCTGTTACTAGTTTACTAAGCATTTTGTTTTTTAGTTATGAATAGTTGAATTGTTATCGAATGCTTTTTCCACATTCATTGAGATGGCTGTATTGTTTTGCTTTTTGGTCTTTTAATGTTGTTTATTTAAATTGATTTTCTAGTGTTAAACCAACATTGAAATCCTGAATTAAACTCAACTTCTTCATAGTTGTGTACTAATGGATTTCGTTTGCTAATATTTTGTTAGGATTTGTATACGTATGTTCCTAAGATTGCCTATAATTTTTCTTTCTTATATTCTTTTCAGGTTTTAGAATCAAGTTTAGGCTAGCCAATTAAAATGAGGTAGGGAGTTTTCTCTTTTATCCTCTTCTCTGCAAGTACCTAAGATTAGAATTATCTCTTCCTGGAATATTTGGAGAACTTATGAAACCATCTGTGCTTGAAGTGTTTTCTTTTTCAAGTTTTAAAATTACTGTTATAATTTATTATCTGTGAGACTATTGAAGTTTTTTGTTTCTTCTTACATTGATTGTATTTATTTATTTTTATTTTATTTTATTTTATTTTTTGAGATGATATCTCGCTGTATCACACAGGCTGGAGTGCAGTGGCATGATCTCGGCCCACTGCAACCTCCGCCTCCTGGCTTCAAGCCATTCTCCTGCCTTGGCCTCCTGAATAGCTGGAATTACAGGTGCCTGCCACTGTGCCTGACTAATGTTTGTATTTTTAGTAGAGACAGGGTTTCACTACGTTGGCCAGACTAGTCTTGAACTCCTGACCTCAGGTGATCCCCCCGCCTCAGTCTCCCAAAGTGCTGGGATTACAGGTGTGAACCACTGCACCTGGTCTTCTTAACAACTGATTTTTGTAAATTTTATTCTAGTAGAAATGTATTCAAATTTCTTGACTTATAAAGTTATTCAAAAATACCTTGTATAATTTTTTAAATGTCTGTATCATCTGTAGTAGATGTAAACTTTTTTCTACGGCTAGATTTTTGTACCTTTTCTTGTCTTTATCAGTCTTACCAGACAGTCGAAATGTATTGTTAGTCTTTATAAAGAACCAGTATGGTGGCACTGTTGACCCTCACTTTTTAAAGTTTATTATTTACTATCTTCTGCTTTCTTTGGGTTTACATTCATGTTCTTTTTCTAACTTCTTGAGATAGATGCTTAACTCACTAATTTTCATCCTTTCTTTTTTGATATGTATTTTCAGCCTATGCATTTTTCTTTGATTGTTTAGTTAAATGCTGTTTATATGTAACATTTTTTTCCCTTTTTTTAAATTATACTTTAAGTTCTGGGATACATGTGCAGAATGTGCAGGTTTGTTACATAGGTATACACATGCCGTGGTGGTTTGCTGCACCCCTCAACCCATCAATTACATTAGGTATTTCTCCTAATGCTGTCCCTCCCCTACCCCCCTACCCCCTGACAGGCCCCAGTGTGTGATGTTCCCCTTCCTGTGTTCATGTGTTCTCATTGTTCGACTCCCACCTATGAGTGAGAACATGTGGTGTTTGGTTTTCTGTTCCTGTGTTAGTTTGCTGAGAATGATGGTTTCCAGCTTCATCCATGTCCCTGCAAAGGACATGAACTCATCCTTTTTATGGCTGCATAGTATTCCATGGTGTGTATGTGCCACATTTTCTTTATCCAGCCTATCATTGATGGGCATTGGGATTGTTTCTAAGTCTTTGCTACTGTGAATAGTGCCACAGTAAACATACAGGTGCATGTGTCTTTATAGTAGAATGATTTATAATCCTTTGGGTATATACCCAGTAATGGAATTGCTGGGTCAAATGGTATTTCTAGTTCTAGATCCTTCAGGAATCAGCACACTGTCTTCCACAATGGTTGAACTAATTTACACTCCCACCAACAGTGTAAAAGCGTTCCTATTTCTCCACATCCTTTCCAGCATCTGTTGTTTCCTGACTTTTTAATGATCGCCACTCTAACTGGTGTGAGATGGTATGGTATCTCATTGTGGTTTTGATTTGCATTTCTGTAATGACCAGTGATGATGAGCTTTTTTTCATATGTTTGTTGGCCTCATAAATGTCTTCTTTTGAGAAGTGTCTGTTCATATCCTTTGCCCACTTTTTGGTGGGGTTGTTTTTTCCTTGTAAATTTGTTTGAGTTCTTTGTAGATTCTGGATATTAGCCCTTTGTCAGTTGGATAGATTGCAAAATTTTTCTCCCATTCTATAGGTTGCCTGTTCACTCTGATGATAGTTTCATTTGTTGTGCAGAAGCTCTTTAGTTTGATTAGATCCCATTTGTCAATTTTGGCTTTTGTTGCCATTGCTTTTGGTGTTTTAGTCATGAAGTGTTTGCCCATGCCTATGTCCTGAATGGTATTGCCTAGGTTTTCTTCAAGGGTTTTTATGGTTTTAGGTCTTACGTTTAAGTCTTCAATCCATCTCGAGTTAATTTTTGTATAAGGTATAAGGAAGGGATCCAGTTTCAGTTTTCTGCATATGGCTAGGCGGTTCCGAACACCATTTATTAAATAGGGAATCCTTTCCCCATTGATTGTTTTTGTCAGGTTTGTCAAAGATCAGATGGTTGTAGATGTGTGGTGTTATTTCTGAGGCCTCTGTTCTGTTCCCTTGGTCTATGTATCTGTTTTGGTACCAGTACCTGCTGTTTTGGTTACTGTAGCCTTGTAGTATAGTTTGAAGTCAGGTAGTGTGATGCCTCCAGC
The DNA here is from genome assembly GCF_000001405.40 of Homo sapiens. NCBI lineage: Eukaryota > Metazoa > Chordata > Mammalia > Primates > Hominidae > Homo > Homo sapiens. The sequence continues at coordinate 62,519,820 of NC_000001.11, read as the reverse complement.
TTTGTTCTTTTTGCTCATTGTCTTGGCTATACAGGCATTTTTTTTAAAAAATGTGTATCTTATTTATTCAACTTAGTTGCATTCTCTTACATCTTCCCCAAATGGTTTCATCTTCTCTCTCTCTTTTAGCCAGTTAGTCATCCCTTCTCATCGCCTCTAGGATCACATTGCCTACTACATTCTCCCTTCTGTCATCTGTGACTTCTAAATTGTGAGCTGGGGGAACAAGTTTATCATAATCAATAGGTAGCATTTTCAAGATTCATCTCAGAATGACTCTGAAGTTCATTATGATTTCTTCTTAGGCCTTTGAGCTATTTAAGAAGTTGTTTTTGTCTTAAATTTTCAGTCATGAAAATTTCTAGATATCCTTGTTTCTGATTTTGGCCAAATTAAATGATCAGAGAGCATAACTCTGTATGATATCAGTTTGTTATGTTTGTGGAAACTAGTTTTATGGTCTAGTATATGGTCAGTTTTTGTAAATATCTCATGTATTCTAAAAGAATGAATATTCTTTCATTGTTAGTTACAGCATTCTATGTCCTGTACTCTTGTTGTTTAAATCTTTTTGGTCTTTACTAAATTTTGCATGCTTATTCTAATATCCCACTACAATTGTGGTTTTGTAATTTCTCCTTGTCATTCTGTCAGATTTTTGTTTCTTTTGAGGCCTGATTATGAAACATTTAACACTTTTATATAATTTTTGGTGGATTGCACTTTCATCTACATGAACTATGATGCTTTTTAAAGTAGTTATAATTACACTAGGTTTTCTTTGCTCTGTGTGTGTGTGTGTGTGTGTGTGTGTATAGCATGACTTTTTCATCCCTTTCAACATTTTTGTATTATGTTTTAGATACTTCTTTTAAAAACAGCATATAGTTAGATTTTTTTCTTGTATCTTAAAAATCTGGTTTGTTAATCTCTCTCTTTCACTAGAGTTTCTAATCCATTTACATTTAGTTTAATTAAATTGGATGTATTTAACATTTTATGTTTTACTTTATATTGTCTTACCCCATTATAGTTTTTTTTTTCTCTCTTTTATTGACTTCTTGTTGTTGTTGCTGTTGTTGAGAAAGGGTCTTGCTCTGTCACCCAGGCTGGAGTGCAGTGGTGCAGTCTTGGCTAACTGCAGGCTCTGCCTCCCAGGTTCAAGTGATTCTCCCACCTCAGCCTCCTGAGTAGCTGGGATTACAGGTGACTGCCACTGCGCCTGGCTAATTTTTTTTTTTTTTTTTGAGATGGAGTCTCACTCTGTCACCCAGGCTGGAGTGCAGTGGCGCAATCTCGGCTCACTGCAAGCTCTGCCTCCTGGGTTCACGCCATTCTCCTGCCTCTGCCTCCTGAGTAGCTGGGACTACAGGCGCCCGCCACCACGCCTGGCTAACTTTTTTGTATTTTTTTAGTAGACACAGGGTTTCACCATGTTAGCCAGGATAGTCTCAATCTCCTGACCTCGTGATCCACCCACCTCAACCTCCCAAAGTGCTGGGATTACAGGCGTGAGCCACCACGCCGGACCAATTTTTTTGTATTTTTAGTAGAGATGAGTTGCACTATGTTGGCCAGGCTGATCTTGAACTCCTGGCCTCAAGTGATTTACCTGACTCAGCCTCCCAAAGTGCTGGGATTACAGGCATGAGCCACCACATCCAGCCAGTTTTGTCTATATTTCTAAACAATATTTTATTTAGCTTCACATATTTTCACCTTTTTATGAATATATACTATGTGTACTTCTATGACTTGATTTTTTTGTATATGTTTGTAAGAGTCATTTATGTTGATATGTATAGTTGTAGTCTGTAATGTCATAGCAGTCCGTTAGAAAATATAATTATGTATTCATTCTCTTCTCAAAGGAAGTTTGGGTTGTTTGTAGTTTCGGGCTGTTACAGATAAAGGTATTATGAATGTTCCTTTACGTCACTCTGTAGAAGAGTTTCGCTAAGGTATATACCTAAGAGTGGCATTTTTGGGTTAGAGGTTATGCACATGTTCAGTTTTACTTGGTTAGATTGTTTTCCAGTGTGGTTCTAGCAATATATATTCCTTCTAGCAATGAAGAAATATTTGTTGCTCCATGTTCTTTCTAATACTTGATATTGTGTGTGTTGTTGGAGTTGATTTATAAGAAGTAATGAGATGGAAAGTTGAAGTGGTGGTTGTGAAGAGAGATCATTAAAATGGAGGTGGTTTTTTTGTTGTTGTTTTTTGAGACAGAGTTTCACTCTTGTTGCCCAGGCTGGAGTGCAATGGCGCAATCTCGGCTCACTGCAACCTCCATCTCCCGGGTTCAAGCAATTCTCCTGCCTCAACCTCCTGAGTAGCTGGGAATACAGGCATGCACCACCACGCCCAGCTAATTTTGTATTTTTAATAGAGACGGGGTTTCTCCATTTTGGTCCGGCTGATCTCGAACTCCTGACTTCAGGTGATCCACCCGCCTCAGCCTCCTGAAGTGCTGGGATACAGGCGTGAGCCACTGCGCCCGGCCTGTTTGTTTTTTTGTTTGTTTGTTTTGTTTTTGTTTTTTAATTGGCATGGTGGGACATACCTAAAATGGAAATTTAGGGGAACATGCCATAATGGTAATAAAAGGCATAAGGTTTGACTGCAAGGGTGAGTGTGTGTAGTAAGTGGTATTCTTGAGAATTAGACAAGTTGGTTAAGGAAGTAAAAAATAGCACAGGATATTTAGAGAATCAAATACATAGACATTGAAATCACTAAGAACTGTGACAAAAAGTAGTGTTTAAAATAGTGAAAGTGAGTCAGGAGCTAAAAGCATCAAGATATAAGGGCCAGTCTTCTGGAGATTAGTATATGACTGCAGTGATGAAGGTTAGTAGGTTGTATAGTCTGACAAAGATACATGTGTTCTTATACATCTATGAGAACATAAGCTATGTATTCTTATAGATATAAAGCAGTTTTGTTAATGATTGACCATGTGTTTCAGAGGTCATAGTGGAAGAATTTTAGGAGAAGGGGCAGACATGGCAAGTGAGGTAAGAAGAGACAATATAAAGAGCTATGTGTGTGGTGATCAGAGTCCGAGTCATGAATGAAGCCTTCTGAAGGCTGGGCCTGTTGAGGTGGTAGACACAAACTGGGGAAAATAATTTAATGAGGTTAATCCTGATGGTCTGAAGGCAGAGAGTAATCGTGAAGCTCTGGTTGTTATAATATGAAGGAGAGGTATGAATCTTGGCCTAGAAAATGTAGAACTCTGGGACCTCTTCCTCATTCCTGGTAATAATGTTATGAAACAATTCTTTCTGTTTTCTAGAGGTCATCCCTTCTCAACCAGAAAATTAAGAACTAATGGGCTAGGGCATTTATTGTAGGTGATAGATTAACTTCTATACACCTAGAGTGGTCCTTGCTATCAATGTCTTTGGGAGAATGGGGAAAATAGTCCCTCAAATCCTTTTTTGTAGGGCTTAATTATGCCACGGAACCCTGGTTGAGACTGTTCTGGATACTAATCTCAGGTTGGTTTTATATGTGCACATTTCTACTAATTTATGATGTGCCTTTTTAATGTATTTATTTGAATGAATACAAATTCTCATTTTTAATGTAGGCAAATGTGACCATCTTTTTTATGGTTTATGTTTTTTATGTCTTATTTAAGATATACTATCCTTTCCCCAAGATTATAAATATATTGTCTTATATTTCCTCCTGAAAGTTTTAAACATTTTGTATTTAAAGTTCTTTCTTTGTCTAGATTTATTTTCTGTATGGTGGTACAAGGTAGGAATCTGCTTTTTTTTTCCTCAAGGAAGATCAGTTGTCTCAACATCATTTATTAAACAGTTCATCCTTTCAGTAGTGATCCACAGTGCCAGCTCTGTCACAGATCAGATTTTCAGATATGCATAGGACACTTTTTGTGTTCTTTATTCTGTTTCATTTGACTGCCAAAAATATGCCAAAATCAAATTGTCCTAATTATTTTAGTTTTTTAGTAACTGCAGATATCTGGCAGAACACATTCATCTCCCTGCTCCCCACATCCCACCTTGTTCTTCTTCAAGAGTATCTTGGCTCTCTGCTTTTCCCCCATTAAATTTAAAAATCATTGGTCAAAGTTCCAGGAAAACCTGACTGGGATTTTGATTAGAATTGCACTGATCCTATAGAACAATTTGATGGAAAACTGACATCTTTACATTACTGAGTCTTTTTCATGTTTGTCTTAATTCTTCCCAGAGATGTCACTGTGTTACTGGCAATTTATGTGGGAATATAAGAGATGTCAGCATATGCCTGTTTGTCAAGATGAGAATAATTTTTTATTGTATTTCTAAAAAATAGGTACTTGAAAATTCAGTCAGTGCTGTGTATTTATGCATATCTGAAAGTTCGGCTATAAAAAGTGTCTGTCTTTAAAATAAAGGAGCATTTTCCTTATGAGAACAATTGTGGATTTAGGGATCAGGGTCAAAGTTCTTTTGTGCCCAGCTCAGAAGCAGTATAGCAAAATAGTTAAGCAAGCTTATGTGGGTGAATTCACTTATATGCATGGGCAGCCATGAGAGGCAGTAAACAAAGTGGATATGAGCTTGGAGCTTGTGTCTCGGGAGCCACACTTTCTGTGTTGAAACTGTTGTCCCGCCTCTTATTACAAAATACTTCTGGTGGTCAGGTTTTTTTTTTTTTTTTTCTGTAAGATGAGGTGAGTAATAATACTTATTTCTTTGAGTGATTGTGAAGGATAAATAACTTAATACACATAAAGCATTTGGTCATTAATTATCATCCACTATAGAAGGAAGATTGGTGAGGTAGTTGAGATCATGACTTCAACAGTTGTGTATGTTCAGCTTTCCTATGTCTTTCCTCTCAACATCCCCTCTACTTCTTCCTCATTTTTAGTTAGTATATTTGTCAGCCGAGTATTAGAACATTGTATAATAGTGAAGAGTATGGGCTTTGGAGTCTGGTTAACCTAGACTAAAATCCTAGCTTTACCCTTTCTTGGTATAGTAAGGCAAATTACTCTCTAGCCTTCAGTTTTCTTGCCTGTAAACTAATAATAATAATAGTTAATGTTATAGTTTACAGTTGTTGTGAGAGCTAAATAAAACATGATTAGCATAGTTTCTTGCACATTTCAAATTTTATTTTTTGCCATCATCATTATTATTATTATTATCATCTGTATTTTTATCTGTAAAATTGGGATGATACGACCTGCTTGGCAATACTGTTGGAGGACTAAATCAAATAATGTATGTAAAATGTTTAGTATGATGACTGAAACAGAGTGTATGTCCAATAAGTGGTACTGTAAATGTGTTTTTATTTTTTCATTTCTGTTTTACATACTATATACTAATATAGATTGATGATTGAAAATAGCATTTCAACCTTATATGCTATAAGTAGAAATAGCTTTTTACTTCTATATAGCCTAAGACTTTTCCTTTTTGTATCAGTGGTGCTTGATTAAAAACAATAGTCTTCTAAGTCTGACATACATGATTTTGTCATTACTTTCTACTCTTAGCCCACTCTTATTTACTGTGAGTCAGTTGCTTTTTTCCTTTATTTTCATTATATCTGATATTCTGTGATATATATCTTTTAGTTTTTAATGGTAGAATCTTTTAGTTTTTATCTTTATGTTTTTTATTAACATTTATTTATCCCCTGCTGGCAGTCATGCAGTAGATTAAAACAAACTTCTGTTATCAGGAAAGGTTCATTAAACTTCAGGCTCTTAACCTTAAGGTTATATATGATCCTTTTGTACAAGTGTTGTCTGAATCAAATGGTTTTTAATTATATTATTTTTAAGCAACTTTTGTTTTATTGTTTTTAGAAGAAAACAGTTGATAGCCAAAAAACAAGAAATGGTCTTTGATCAATCTGTCTCATTCTACTGCTCTTTATTTTCAGAGTGGCAGGCAACACACTACCTTTTCAGCAGAATCAAGTCGAAGCCTTTTGATCTGTCTACTTTGGGTTCTCAAAAATGCAGATGAAACAGTTCTACAGAAGTGGTTTACAGATCTCTCAGTCTTGCAGCTAAACCGGCTATTAGATCTGCTTTATCTCTGTGTGTCTTGCTTTGAGTATAAAGTAAGTGGTCATTGTACCATTGCAAAGAACAAGAAAGGAGAAACATAATGTGGAAAAAATAGAAGAAAATTTCCTCAATACCTCTTCTCTTCTAATGTTTACATTTTAGGGGAAAAAAGTGTTTGAACGAATGAATAGCTTGACCTTTAAGAAATCAAAAGACATGAGAGCAAAGCTTGAAGAAGCTATTCTTGGGAGCATAGGTGCCAGGCAAGAAATGGTACGGCGAAGCCGAGGACAGCTCGGTACGTACACAATAGCTTCTCCTCCTGGTGAGAATTTCTTCAATTTCCTTGAGTTGTATATTGTAATGATCATTGTTGCTAGTCTTCAATGTCAATCCTATGCTTTTTAAAAAGTGTTTTAAGTGTAACTGTGAATTAACTTGAATAATCATTTCTCTGCAGTAATAAAAGTTAGAATTCTGATTTAGGTGAGTCAGCATACCGCCCCCCCCCCCCCGTTTTCTCTAGAAAGTCTTCTCTAGAAAACGTTCTCTAGAAAGTCCTCTCTAGAAAACTTTCTCTAGAAAGTCCTTATGTGATTAATAGCATCCATCCTCCCTTTTTAAATAGACTTTATTTTTGTAGAGCAGTTTTAAGTTCACAGCAAAAGTGAGCAAAGGTACAGAGATTTCCCATATACCCCTTAGTATGCGTAGCCTCCCCCATTATTAACATCCCCCATCAGAGTAGTGCATTTGTTGTAACTGGTGAACCTACATTAACACATCATCACCCAGAGTCCGCAGTTTACATTAGGGATCATTCCATATAACATCTATTTTTACTTTTTTTTTTTAGTTGAGACAGATTCTCGCTCTGTCACCCAAGCTGGAGTGCAGTCGTGTGATTGTGGCTTACTGCAGCATTGACCTCCCTCGCCCAAGCAATTTTTACACCTTCATCCCCCAATACACACCTACCCTGGTAGCTGGGACTACAGGTGTGTGCCACCATGCCCAAGTAATTTTTTTTTTTTTTTAAACATGGTCTCACTGTATTGCCCAGGCTAGTCTTGAAATTCCTGAGCTCAAGTGATCCTCCCACCTTGGCCTCTCACAGTTCTGTGAGCCACCACGTCTGGCCTGTTTTTACTCTTTATTTGCAAAATGAATTAATATGCCCTGTATATAAGGCAAAAATATTGCCCATCAAACTCAAATATCAGTGAGACAAAACAGTTTAGTAGCATTTGAGACTGGTTTTCTAATCCCAGGTCTGCTACCCATTAGCCAAATAACCTTGGCCAAGTCACTTAATCTCCCCATCTTCCTTTTCCTTATAAATTTGTGATTGTTTTCAGAATTTAGAAGATAGTGTAACTAACTGATCTTATCATCTTTATAGTAACCATGCATGCAGAAACGTTTTGTAAATTCTAAAGTGACATACAGACAATACTGTTGCTAAGAGTTTCTTAAGGCCAGGGCCATGGGTTGGTCATCTGTGTAGATGATACATGCCAACAGCACAATATTTATTTGTTGACTTAAAATATGAATGTAAGTGTGAATGGATTTTTAATTGTTTTCTGACAGTTCATTAGCATAATAATAATCTAAGTATCATTTATATACTATGTTTTGTAATAATGAAAAGGCACAGTCTTTGCCTTTAAAAAAATTAATAGAGCACCATTTTTTCACTTTAGTTATATACAATTTACAGTGTACTTTTGGGTTTGTTTGAATATAACAATTGAAGTCTTCTTGTCTTATAATTCTTGTAATTCTTACTTGTCTTGTAATTCTTATTTACATTTCTACATTTAAGCTAGGTCAATAATAGACATTGGCTTATTAGGTCTACTAATAGACATTGTTTTCTTTTTCTTAACTTTCAGTTCTAAGACATTATTAACTATTGAGAGTTTCGTGGGAAAAAATGTAAATGATAGAATATTATAGTTAATTTTGCTAACTATCTTAATATAGGCATATCTTTTTGTTTTTTTCCATAAATTTCCTAAAGACATGGATTTCAGAATTTAAAAAAGAGAAAGAGATAAGGAAAGAAAGGAAAGAAAAGGGAAAGAAATTAGAAGAAATAGAGCCATGTCCTTTATTGTACAGGAAATGATTCTTATTTCTCAGTATTTTTTGTATTTCTTTAATTGACATATGTATAGTTGTATTCTTTTGTATTTGTTTTTCAGTATTTTTAAAAATTTATATTTGAACTCTGAACATTTACTTTCATTATTCTTCATCCTCTTAACCAATTTAAAGTCTTACCTTTTCCAAAAACAAGCAGTTTTATAGTTGAAAGTTTGAAATTATGACTGAGTCCATTGTTTAAATGTATATTTGTGTATTCTCCACATTCTCAATGCTGTCTCCACTCCTAATGGATTTGTATGAATCATTTCTATTGCTGCCACCCCTTAAAGGAACCCATACATGCAGTCTGCCTTCAAACCTAGAAACCACTTTATCAGCCTAGACATAACATGCTTGGACAAAGTACATATCATTTCTGTTCTTAAGGAGCTTATATACTTGTGGTCCTAAGTGTTATGGAAAGGAACAAAGCAAAAGAAAAGGAAAAGGAGGTATTGGAGAGTGGGAGGCCTTTCTAAGGAGGCGATAAAGGAAAATTTGTGAGAAGAACAATTAGGAAAAAGGAACAACAACCATTGCACAGGTTGTAAGTCAGAAGCGTAGTCAGAGTATATACTGATAGATTCGCAAGGATAACAGAAAGCGGTAAGCAAGAGGAAGAATGGTAGGAAATAAAGTCATATCATGTAAGGCCTTATAAGCCATGGTTAAGATTTTAAGCAAACCAATGTTAGAACATTTGCTTATTTAAGTGGGTATTGTTTTAAAGAAAAGATACTGCATATAGCAAGTACATTTCTTCTGAAATTATTGTGAAAATTTTTAATAAAAAGCACCATTGTCAGGTTTTTCAACTTGTACTGAGGATAAAATGGCTTGTACAAATTATTGTTGTATATTTCTTACATGATTGCAAGTATACATATATGTGGTCCAACTGAAATAACATTTGAAAATTGGTTTTGAAATTTATTTGACAGAGAGAAGCCCATCTGGAAGTGCCTTTGGAAGTCAAGAAAATTTGAGGTGGAGGAAAGATATGACTCACTGGCGTCAAAACACAGAGAAGCTTGACAAGTAATACAGCTTTCTATTTTATGTTACTGATGGGTGTGTTGAATTTTAAAATGTAAGAGGAAAATGATAACTTTTACTTTATATTTACATTTAGTATTTACACTTAATAAATATATTAAGTCTTAGAGAACAAAATATTTAATTTAAAAATTTTAGATTTAAAAAGATTTGGAGGAAGAACTTCTCGTGGTATAGTAAGGCAAAATATTATATTTTAAACTCCATTTTCTTTAAAACATCCTCTTGGAAAATGCATTCAGCAACTATTTTTTGAACATATTTTAGGTGTCACATTGAACTAATATTTCAAATATTACAAAGAATCAGAAACCTGACATTTGTCGTTATGGAGCTTATAATATAATTCAAGAAAGACAAAACAATACAGGTCTTCTGTTTCTAGCATAAAGGCAGACTTGATACATTGACTGATCCTACTGCCATAAACACCTACAATACACTTACATGAATCTTCTTACTGCCCAAGTGGCTGCAGGTAAACTTTTCTGGCTTGAGATTTGGCACTGAGTCAAGGGGCTAAAATTTTTTTCTTGAGAATTTCTAATTATAAGTTAGCCCGCAAGTAGCTTCACTGGCCCATAAAACTTTGAGAATGGAGTGACCAACTCATTTCAGGTTTGCCTAGCACTCTCCCAGTTATAGCACTGATTGTCCCACATCCCAGGGAGCCCTTTAGTCCTGTCCTAAGGCAAACCAAGATGATTGATTACCCTATCTGAGAACCATCATCAGCCCAAGCCTCAGAAGATTCTCACAAATAAACTTTCACAATATTTTCTCACAGACAGTAAAATCATAAAACAGAGGAAACAAGTGAGAGCCAGCAGAGAAACAAGTTTCAGTACCATATGTATGAGAGCTTGAAATAATCAGATATTGAATGTAATATAAATATATTAAAATTCTTAACCTTGGAATGTGTGCTTTCCTTTCTTTTTCTCCGTCTGTCCAAATCTATTTCTCTGATGGTTTTTCTACATGTGTTATTTTTTAGAAATCACAGAGTAGCCAGGTACTGTACTATCAGTATAGTAGTGCTTTATTTCTGCATTTGTAGAATGTGTTCTCTTGGCTTATCTTGCTGTGTTTTGAGGGAGACTTTTTTGGTGTTCTCCTGATTCTTTTTGTTTAAACCATCTTATGTTTCTTTATAAAATGTCACTGGAAATTTTAAGTTTGAACATTAAATATTTTATTTTCCAGTTTAATTTTGATAATTGTATTCTTTTTTTTTTTTTTTTTTGAGACAAGATCTCACTCTGTCACTCAGGCCAAAGTGCAGTGGCACAATCATGACTCACTGCAGCCTTGACCTCCTGGGCTTAGGTGAGCCTCCCACCTCAGCCTCCCAAGTAGCTGGGATTATAGCTGTGCACCACCACGCCCAAATAATTTTTGTAGAGACAGGGTTTTGCCATGTTGTGCAGGCTGGTCTCTTAACTCCTGGTCTCAAGGATCCCCTACCTCAGCCTTTCAAAGTGCTTTTATTCTTAAATTGAATTTGTAAACTGTAAATTAATGAAGTATTCTCTTTAGTGGTAATAATAAAGACTCACAGACTTACAGATCTAAAAACTTAGAAAAGTTAGTGTTTAATATGGCCTTGTACTTTATGTGTTATTTTGTCTACTTTGGTGTAATATATAGTATCTGTATATCTATTATTGCTAAAACAAAAATCTCAACTATATTCATAAATCATGTGTAATTATTCTTACATTTTTATTTGCATTAAATGATACTTTTACAAATATTAGTATTTAAGTAAACCACTTTATTGCATCAAACTGTTTTGTTCTTTTTTCTTTATTATTTTTCTAGCTTTATTGAGTTATAATTGACAAAATTGTATATATTTACAGAATATAACATGATCTTTTAATATATGTGTACAATTGTGAAATGATTACCACAGGCAAGCTAACTAGCATATTCGTCACCTCACATCCTTTTTTCCCCAAATTTGTTGTGTTTCCAATGAGTAATTCCATCTAGTCTCACTGAAGAGTTAAATTATCATCTGAGCATATTTATATAAAAAAAATTGGGGGAAAATTAGATGAAACCTTAGACAAATTAAGTACATTTATCCTGAATACAGACATTGGAAATATTTGAAATAGTAAGATGAATACTAAATATTTGAATGTTGTTTTCCATGAAGCAGTCCTAAATACAAGCCCACATAGCACCACCTAGTGTCAGTGTCACTTAGAATAAAACTGTCTGCTGCATGTTTGAAAGCTAAAACATAAACATTTATGCTTTTAGTGGCATTACACTTCTGTAATGGGGTGAGAAAGTGTGTATTGTTGTGGTTAACAAAAAAGCTGCATAAATGTGTAAACTACTGCCTTTTTTCTTATTCTCTTGTAATTTTTTATCAGGCAAATATTGAAAATGGTTTGAAATTTTTTATTTCTATGCATCCTTAAGTCTTTTCAGAATTGTAGTTTTCAAAAAGATAAATATAATTTCTTACAATATTTTGTATTAGATCAAGAGCAGAGATTGAACACGAAGCACTGATTGATGGAAACCTGGCTACAGAAGCAAACCTAATCATTTTAGATACATTAGAGATTGTTGTTCAGGTAAGAATGCAAAGAAGAGAAATTTAAAATACGGATTTGGTAAATTGAGGTTGGAGGGAAAAGTGTTTACTGTGAGCCATAAAATTACATTTTATTAAATATTGGTAGTTCCTAAAAGTTTCGTTCCAAGCATTCTGAGATTCTCTGTAATTATAAATTCCCATAGCTTCAACTGTTTCTTCATGGAGGATGATTATGAAATCTTTATCTCCTTGTCTTTCCCCTTGATGGCCTAGTCTTGCATTTCCAAATATCCTCTGAGTATTTATAGGTGGAAGTTCTGCCATCAGGTGAGATTCAACATGCATGTATAGCTATAGCTACATATAGATAAACTGGGTTTATGCAGTATCCTCTGTATACCACAGCAATGTTTCAGGCTTTTTATCTATAATCATTGTGTTGGGTCCTAACAGTTGCCCTCTGGGCAGTATTCTGTAGTAACAATGTGATAGCTGACATTTATTTAGTTTTTTCTGTGTTAAACATTGTCCTAAGCACTTTACAAATATTAACTCATTTGATCCTTCTAAGAAACTCATGACATTGAAACTGTCAGTATCCTCATCTTGTAGATGAGAACACTTAGGCACAAAGATGTTAAATAACTGCCCATAATGACGCAGCTAGTATGTAGAAGAGCCAGGATTCAAATCAGTTAGCAAGATCTTTCAGATGTTTTAGTAAATATATCTCTCACCTATTCCTTCCATTCCTTTTCTACTACCACTACTCTGCCAGGTTCATATTTCCACGCTATTACAATGGCCACCTACTTCATAACTCACTCTGTATTCTTCCCACCATCCATTCTGTACATTGTTGTGAGAATTTTCCTTTAAAAGTATTTTATGGCTGGGCACGGTGGCTCATGCCTGTAATCCCAGCAATTTGGGAAGCTGAGGTGGGTGGATCACTTCAAGTCAGGAGTTCAAGACCAGCCTAGTCAACATGGCAAAACCCTGACTCTACTCTATTTTATTTATTTATTTATTTATTTATTTATTTATTTTTGAGGTGGAGTTTCGCTCTTGTTGCCCAGGCTGGAGTGCAGTGGCGCAATCTCAGCTCACCACAACCTCCGCCTCCCGGGTTCAAGTGATTCTCCTGCCTCAGCCTCCCAAGTAGCTGGGATTACAGGCATGCGCCACCACGCCCAGCTGATTGTGTATTTTTAGTAGAGACAGGGTTTCTCCACGTTGGTTAGGCTGGTCTCGAACTCCTGACCTCAGGTGATCCACCCACCTCAGCCTCCCAAAGTGTGGGGATTACAGGCGTGAGCCACTGCACCCAGCCAACCCTGACTCTACTAAAAATAAAAAAATTAGCTGGGTGTGGTGGCGCACACCTGTAATCCTAGCTACTCAGGAGGCTGAGGCACAAGAATTGCTTGAAGCCAGGAGGCGGAGGTTGCAGTGAGCCAAGATCAAGCCACTGCACTTCAGCCTGGGTGACAGAGTGAGACTCCATCTCAAAAACAAAAAAAAAAAGATTTTATCAGTCATTATCCTGACTAAAGTTTTAAAAATAGAAAAAATTTAATAAGTCCAAGATAACTGATCCCAAGATGGTTGCTTGAGCTGCGGCCATCATGTCTGTATTTCATTCAGTGAAAAGAAACAGCAGGGACAGAGTACATTTCTTTTTTTAAGGGCATGACTCAGAAGATGTAACTTCTCTTTTGTTCACCTCTCTCTGTAGCCGGATTCAAAGTCTTCAGCTAAAATTCAGGATTTCAATTATTAAAGAAGAAAAGAATGGTTATTTGTGTACCACCAACATTTTTTGCTCTAGGCACCACTCAATTTTTCAGCCTTATCTCTAGTTATTTTCTACATGAACCTCAAGTCAATTCAAATTTACTTACTAATTTTCCTAAAACACACCTTATGATTTCTTGCCATTGTATCTTACTCCTGTTTTTTCTCATTTAAATTATATTTATTCTTTTTCCCCCTTTTCTTATTCAAATCCTGCTTAGCTCCTTCTTGAAGCCATCCTAGATCTTATGTTATCATTTTTTTATCTTTTAAAACTTTACTTATACATACAGGGAGGCCTTTATTTATACATAGGGAGGCCTGTAACATCCATAACTAAATTGCAAGTACATCTCTATTTTATTTGTTTATTTTTAAATTGCAGACCGTTTCTGTAACGGAATCCAAAGAGAGCATTCTTGGTGGAGTGCTAAAAGTGCTACTACACAGCATGGCCTGTAACCAAAGTGCAGTTTATCTACAACACTGTTTTGCTACACAGAGAGCCTTGGTTTCAAAGGTAGGTTATTTTGTACCTGCAGTGTTGTCAGACTTTGTTTTTTTTATTAACATTGTCTAAGATCATTTGACACATTCATTGGTTAATATATGTAGTAATATATTAATGAATATGTGTAGTTAAAATTTAAATAATAACCTAAGACCCTTAATTCTTCTTTGCCTCTCTACTGCTGCCTGCCTTTTAGAATTTTTCATTTATTCGAATCACCTTTAACCAGTTCTGGTTTGAAAAACAGTAACTTGGATGTGGAGAAGGGCCTGAAATTAATAGCCAATCTTAAATATGGGGCTTCTCTTGTTTTCTCTTCACTTGGTTCTGTTTTTATAAAAAACTCAATTTATAAAGAATTCAATATATAAGCAATTCAACCCACTGAAATTATTTTATGATGAATGGAAAAGAAGGTATGTGTTTGTTCAACTGCTTTAAATGTTTACTTCTTATATTTGTTTTCCCTTAGAAATATGTATATTCTTAAATTTTGAAGGTAGCTATTTCATTTTAATCATCCTAGAGGATGGAATGCAGAGATGTTGATGAAAATAACTTACGTATTATTTTGTAATAAATATAGAATTCATATATGTTGATTACTAAGTGTTTTATGCACATTCTGATAGAAGCTTCACAACAATCCCTTGTAGATATATTATTAGGCCTATTTTGTGGATGAGAAAACTTGTCCAAGGTCCCACTACTAGTTAGTAAGTGGAATAATGAGCATTCGAACCCAGTTTGACTCTGTGTCTCACACTATTAACCATTAGCTAATATTGTCCTAACCATTCTTTTAATTTCTGGGCTATACTAACAAGTCTCCAGTTCAGGTTATATTAACATATCTCAGAAACTTTTACTGTAAAAATTCAGTGGTGGTTTGTTTTGTTGTTTTACAGTTTCCTGAACTCTTATTTGAAGAAGAGACAGAGCAGTGTGCTGATTTATGCCTCAGGCTTCTCCGACACTGTAGCAGTAGCATCGGTACAATACGGTCACACGCCAGTGCCTCCCTTTACCTACTAATGAGGCAAAACTTTGAGATTGGGAATGTAAGTATTTTATCATGAAAATTCTCTGTATTCATAATGAAATATAACTTCTGCTGATAGTTATTAAATCAGTTTTTGGGAGAGCATGGAGTTTTTTGTATATTTTTAGTCTAATCATAGGCTATCTTGATATTTCTCATTCTGTGTATATCTTACAAAAATCCAAATCTCCAATTGTGTGCATATCATGTGTACGTATGTATGTATGTATGTATATTAATACAGACTTAGAATATAAATGTACATTGAGCAGTTTTAAATTTTAATTGTCCCTAAGTAAAAAGAAATACAAGTTTAAGTATCTTGGCTTGATATTTTACAATTACATGTCACAGCCTTTGAAGAATTCCATTTTTTCATTTGTCTTTTATTATATGTTATATTCATGTGTTATATTTTTCCTTTTTGAGTCAAATATTTAGTTCATTTATTTTTGCTTATGTAAGTATTTAAGGCCTTGAATTTTCCTTTAAGTGCTATTTTTGGCGTCTCCTTGGTTCTGATATTTAGTAATGTTGTCATTTCAGTTTGTGTTTTCTTTTTAACCCAAAGAGTTGACTAGCCTTATTTTTTTTTTTTTTTTGAGACGGAGTCTCACTCAGTCGCCCAGGCTGGAGTGCAGTGGCGTGATCTTGGCTCACTGCAAGCTCCGCCTCCTGGGTTCACGCCATTCTCCTGCCTCAGCCTCCCAAGTAGCTGGGATTACAGGTGCCCGCCACCACGCCCAGCTAATTTTTTGTACTTTTAGTAGAGACGGGGTTTCACCATGTTAGCCAGGATGGTCTCGATCTCCTGACCTCGTGATCCGCCTGCCTCGGCCTCCCAAAGTGCTGGGATTACAGGAGTGAGCCACCGCGCCTGGCTGCTAGCCTTTTTGTTTCAAAGTTTTGGCTGGCTCCAGTGGCTCACACGTGTAATCCCAACACTTTGGGTGGCCGAGGAAGGAAGATTGCTTGAGGCCAGGAGTTTGAGGCCAGCCTGAGTGACATAGTAAAACCCTATCTCTACAAAAAAATAAATAATACTAGCCGGGCTTGGTGGCCTGTGCCTGTGGTCGCAGCTACTCGGGAGGCTGAGATGGGAGGATCCCTTTGAGCCCAGGAGTGTGAGGTCGCAGTGAGCTATGAACACACCACTGTACTCCAGCCTGAGTGACAGAGTGAGATCCTGTCTCAAAAAAAAAAAAAATTGTTTATGTTAATTTTCAGCTTTATTACATTGTGATTGTACAATGTGTATTCTGTTTCTCCCTTTCTTTACTGTGGATCTGTGTATTTGTGTGTCTAAATATAATCCATTTTTATGAGTGTTCTACAAAAAAACTTTAAAAAGGAAGTAGTTCTGTTTTCAGAATATTGAGTTAAACATATACTAGATAAATACACCTTATTAATTACATTATTGTGTCTCTCTATATCCTTGTTTTTGTTTCACTTGGTAGAAGTAAATTAAAGCCTATTACTGTGTTTGTCTGTTTCTCCTTTAGCTTTTATTTGGTGTACTAATACTCATAACTACTGTATCTTCTTAAGAGTTTTTCTCCTTTGGAATTTAAAAGAACTCGTCTTGGTTTTACTTAAAACCTTTATTCTATTTTATTTTTTGGCCTGAATTTCATCTCTTATGGTATTAAGATTTTGACCTCTGCTTTCTTTTTAATTTGAACTTAATTTAATTGCCTTTGCCTGTTCTTTAATTTTCACTTTATTTTAGATGTGCCTCTCATATACAACATAAGAGTTGAGTTTTGCTTTGTGATCCAACCTCTAATTGAATTAAACCTTTCATACTTGTTATTATATTACATACGTCCTGGAATTCTATTATTTTGTTATGCCTTTCCCTCTTGCCTCCCCTTTAAAAAAAATTGTGTTGGTTGTTTTCATCTTACACTATATGGTCTGTTTACCTTGTTTTGGGGATGTAGTGTTTATCATATTTAGCAAAATTTCTGGTTTTGCTCTAATGGTTGCCTTTATAGTTATGTAATACCCCTAGTACTCTATTTCTTTAGATCATGCATTCTCAACCAGGGCAGTAATTACCACCAAGGGAGTGAAAATTCGTTTTTGTGGAGGATGAGAAAAATCTTAGCTTATGGTCCTCCAAAGCTCAACACTACCCAACAACATGGCATTCCTTAGTATTTATTTGTCTCATTGGTCTTATTGGATATCACATGAGCAGCATTGACATTAAGTTCATGGAAGATAAACAAAAAACAAAATGTATGCGAAATTGGGCTTATAAAACTGGAGAATAGATGACTGTGATAGGGAGACTTTTAATCAATTGCTTGATCTCAGTCATATGGCAAGAGGTTGCTTCCATTGGCTGCCTTGTGGATATTGTTTATGTTTGGTTCTCAGTGCATTCGTGTGTGACTTGGGCTTTGAAAATTAAGCCCAAGAAAAAAACTTTCCAATTTATTAGTTCATTCTACAAAAGTTATTCAACCCATTTTTAATCATGTCATTTGCTGAAAATAAAAAAAGTCAACAATATCTGAATGAATATCTAGTAGCCAGAACTTATTTCCTTCTATCAAGCAAATAGTGAAAGTTCACTGAAATAATTTTTAAGAAATTAATTTTTAATTCCTTTCTTTTGCTGAATAAATAGCAGTTTTGAATGGTTTAAAAAATTGATTACATTGCTGCTTTTGTTTTGTAGTTATATAAGTTGCTAATTTATTTGTGTAATTTGATACATTATAGTTTATTTAAGCTAAAAGATTATATTAAAAGTTTTTCAGAAAACCAGCCTATAAACATAAGCTAAATGTAAATCATTTTCAGATTTTTAACTTAAAATTTTTATCTAGTCATTCATAACCTTGCATCAAGTAAAAAGAGTAAGCTTTATATTTACTTTCTTACGTGTATATAAATCCAGAAATACATAGAGTGCATAAACAGATGTATACATCTCTGATATTAAAATATCATAGGGATGTAATTAGAAAAAATGTTCAAAAAGATTTATTAGGGGGACAATAATGAAAAAAATATTGAGAAACTCTACTTGAGACAAGTATCTATTAACTCCCTTTAATGAACAGTGATAAAATTGCTGATTTTCTTTTCTCTCCTCCACCCTGTCATTCTTTGTACCTCAATATTTCAAAAAATTATCTTTCTTACTGTTTACATCTGTATTGTTGAATCTGCATATACTTCACTTGATTTAATTGCCACCTTCAAATAATATTATTTGTTTTATGTCTACTGTAGATAGTTAAGTACTTCTTTCTATCTCCTTTCTCACCCTCCTAGTGTTTTTCTTAGCTGTAACATTTCAGTCTTAGTTTGTAGTCTTAGTTGTAAAATGAAATATTGCTTACCACCAGTTTTTTAGGGCTGTAATTATCTTTTATTTAGCTAAATATTGTCCTCATCAAGGTTCTTAGGAGTAATATTCTCCAAGTGTTTTTTTGTTTGTTTTAGTCGAGACAGGAACTCACTTTGTTGCCCAGTCTGGTCTTGAACTCGTAGGCTCAGGCAGTCCTCCCTGCACGGCCTTCCAAAGTGCTGGGACTGCAGGTATGAGCCACCTCGCCCTGCCCACCCCACTCACCCCCCCTTTTAAAAATAGAGACAGCGTTTCCTCCTGTCACCCAGGCTAGACTGCAGTGGCATGATGGTACTTCACTGTAGCCCAGAACTCCTGGGCTCAAGCTGTTCTCCCACCTTGTCCACCCAGAGTGTTGGGATTACAGGCAGTAACCATTGCACCCAGCCAGTTTTCCAAGTTCTTGATTGTTTAAAGTTGTCTGTACTTGTAGGACAGCAAGGGTGGTTATGAAATCTTTGCCTTATACTTTGAATAATAATAAGCACGAGAAAAATCAGCAAAACTTATCAGATAAAGAACACCTCATAGGAAAAAAAGGGTACTTGAGTACCATTGTCTTCTGACATTAAATATTGTTGTAGATATATTGAAAGGTATTTTTCTCCGTTTTAAATAACATTTTTCCCCCAGCTGCTCATGAGATTTTCTTTATATTTATAATTAAATGACTTTTCTAGAATATTTGTCTTAGTATTGACTGATTTGTGTTAAGTTTCTCAGGTACATGATGTGTACTTTTAGTTCATTTATTTCAGAAAATTTTCTTGAATATAAAATACTTGTTTTGTTCCTGTGTTTGGGGTTTCTGTGCTGGGTTCATTATACATATGTTGGAACTTTTACTTTACCTATCATTTTGTCTTCTCCTTTTTAACACTTTTAAAATTTCATCTTCATTTCTGTTTTTTTCTTACTTTTCCAAGTAAAAAAATTTCTTTTGCCAGCTCACATGTAATTGATTATATGTTATTGTTTTCTGATTTTTGCCATCTTTCCTTGACTTCTTGTATTTCTGCCTTTTTTATTCTAAAGATGTCTTCATAAATTTTGTATAATTTAAATCAAAATATTTCATTAGAATTTTCGTCTGTTTTATGACATCATTTGTCTATTAAGTATTCTTTATCTGGTGAGTTTTGCTGCTCTTCCTTACCTTTTTACTACTCAACATAGGATAAGCTGGGTTATCTTGGCCCAAGCATTTATAGGGAGTTCCTTCAGAAATGTGTTTTGGCTGGGATTTTGCTATTGCAGGCACATCTTGCCTAACTGCCTAAACTTTCTGGATGATCCATCTCTGTCCAATTTTACCAGATTTTTAGCTCATTTTTTTTTTTTCAGAACAGTTTTACAACTTCAAGATGGGTTTCTTGTGTATTTATTTATTTATTTTTTAGAGACAGGGTCTTGCTCTGTTACCCAGGCTGGAGTGCAGTGGTGCAGTCATAGCTCATTGCAGCCTCAAAACTCCTGGGCTAAAGGGATCCTCCCACCTCAGCCTCCCAAGTAGCTGGGGCTATAGGCACACACCACCATGTCATGCCTGGCTAATTTTTTTTTTTCTTGTAGAAACAGGATCTGTCTCTGTTGCCTAGGCTGGTCTTGAAATCCTTGCCTCAAGCAGCTCTCCTGTCTTGGCCTCCCAAAGTGCTGGGATTTCAGATGTGAGCTACTATCACACCGGGCTAAGTTTCTTACTTAGAGGAAATATTTGTTTCCCTCATTAGTTCTAAAATCTGTGCCCTAGGATTCCTCACTCTTTGCTTTCCTTTCCTTGCCTTATATTGGAACTGCTTCCTAACTTAGCTTGTGTTGGCAACCTCCCATTTTTCTAATAAATGAATTATATCTGACTCCTCATTTTGATAAAGATAGAGTTTGTGGGGTTTTTTCTATTCCCCCATCTTTTATTTTTACATGAAATCCAGAAGTGGGAAATTGCTATCTCATACTGTCCTTTTTTTACTGGAAGGGAAGTCTTCTGTCTTAACCCAGAATAGAAGAATATGGTTACTTTATTGATCTTACTTTGTTTATGAAATAAAGTCTCTAAAATTTGACCACACTCAGTTTTCTTGATACATGTTTCTGTTATTTTGGAAAAGCTTTATATAAAAGAAGAAAGGACAATTTATAGTATTAGTATCAGGCAGTGTTTCCAAAAAGGAATAGGTGGCTGGACGCAGTGGCTCACGCCTGTAATCCCAGCACTTTGGGAGGCCGAGGCAGGTGGATCACCTGAGGTCAGGAGTTCAAGACCAGCCTGGCCAACATGGTGAAACCTTGTCTCTACTAAAAATATAAAAATTAGCCAAGCATGGTGGCGGGCGCCTGTAATCCCAGCTACTTGGGAGGCTGAGGCAGGAGAATTGCTTGAACCCAGAAGGCAGAGATTGTGGTGAACCAAGATCACGCCACTTCACTCCAGCCTGGGTGACAGAGTAAGACTCTGTCTCAAAAAAAAAAAAGAAAGAAATGGGTAATTTAAAACTGGCAGTGATATATATGTTTATTCAACAGATGCAGTATTATGTCTGTATATTGTACAACATAGTAAAATATGGAACTGTGTCTTGGCTGCTTTGGTAGGCATTGGGCAGACATAGATAAAAGGACAGTTTTTTGTTTTTTTTTTTCAAGTAGCTTGGCACCTAGTGGGAGAAGAGGATTAGAAAGTGATGTTCATTTAATAACAGATGAATCTAGTTCAGATGGTTTTGTAAGTGTTACATAAATTAATATTAAGTAAAACATAGCAGTAGATGGCACTAAGCAAGTGCTAAATAAGTACTTGGTGTTGTTAATATAATGCGAGATAAGCACAGGGTACTTCATAAGCACATAGAAAAATAGCTTATGATTCAGGGATGGGTTTTCAGAAAGAAGAGATGTTTGAAGTAAGAATGAAGAATTACCCAATCAGATGGCTAAATGGATAGAGCTTTTTAGGTAAAGATAATGACACATACATAATTAGAAAGGGATGGAGATGAAAGAAGGAAATGGGCAAACACAAAGACAGTTTTTTAGCACTTTTTTTAAATTTTGGGAGATGAGGTCTTACTCTGTTGCCCAGACTAAAGAGCAGTGGCACAGCTTTGAACTCCTTTGCTCAAGGGATCCTTCCACTCAGCCTCCCAAGTAGCTGGGACTACACGCATGTACCACTACATCTAGCTAATTAAAAAAAAAAAATTTCGTAGACATGCCGGTCTCAAACTTTGGGCCTCAGTGAACCTCCTGTCTTGGCCTCCCAAACTGCTGGGATTACAGATGTGAGCCACCATGCCCAGCCCCCTTTTTTTTTTAAAAGCACTTTTTGATGGTTATGGCTGGAAGAAAGAGTAAGGGATAAAGGTGTAATTGAAAAGGCCTAGCCAACTATGAATTATTTTATCACTATACTCTCAGTGCCTACTATGTAGTGTGACATATTTACTGAGTTGAATTCTTTAATTTTATCCTCAAAACTTTGGACAGCTGCCTTAGGAGCATTTTAAGGAGAGGAGGAACATGTTCAGATCTGCATTTTACAAAAAGTTCCGTGGTGCTAGGTAGAGGTTAGACTGAGAGATATGAAAGAAAAAGGCATGGAGATTGATTAGGAAGTTATTACAGTAATCCAAATAAGAAATGGTGAGGGTGTAAAATAAAGCAAAGCCATTTGGAATGGAGAAAGGATATATTGGAACACATTAGGAGATGGTGTGGATTTGGATTTATGGTATGAAAAATGAGAGGGGAGGATGAGTAGGGGTGACCCCTAGATTTTTGGCATGACTACAAGAATAGTATCACTTTTTTAGATAATCAATAGGGAGAGAAGGTATTTTAGACATGTTGACTTTGTGGTACCTATGAGACATCCAGATGGTGCTATCTAGTAAAATATAGTAGCCTGGAGTTCTACAGACAAATATCAGCTGGAGACAGAAACATGTGTATATACTGGTTGAAGCAAAGACATGGATGAGGCTCTTTAGAGTATGTTAAGTGAGAAAAGGTTTTTGACAGAATCTTTGGGAATACTGGTATTTAGGAAGAATAACCAAGGAATAAAATAGAAAAAGAGTCGAAAAAGAATAGGAAAACCAGGATAAAGTGGTGCCACTGAAGATAAGGTAGGAGATTTTCAAGGTGAAAGTAATTTAAATATACAAAGATGTAAAGTAGAATATTGACCAAAAAATATTGGATTTGACAATTGATATATTATCACCAATAATCTCTTCAGAGTGATTTCATGGTAGAAAATGGTGGAGCAGAAATGAATTTACACTAAAAAAAGGAAGAATGTAAGTTATAAACTGTTAAAGGCATCACTCCAAAAGATTCTACCTTACATTACTTTATGCATGATGTGTGTTAAATTACTTTCATCATAGTATGGATGTCATGAAATGGACTAGAATTTAAATACTCCATCTACCATTTAAGAATTTTATAATGTCAGTCAAGCTATTTAACCTCATCTGTAAAATGTTATATTAATAACATATGCCCATAATAAATAAATGTAAAGAGATAAGCAGAATTTCTAATTCAACCCTTAACACATGACTTCTTAAAATCCTGTTTTGTAGCACATTATTCACAACAAAATTCTAAGTTTTACAACCTTTCTAAAATAAGATTTTGATATGCATATTTTATTACTTTAAAAAATATTTTGCTTAGAATGGTATTTTTTCACTAAATATACTTTTAGCAAGGAAAAATAGCAGACTTTTTAAAGCTTTTCTATATTAAGTATTGACTGGACAATTTCTCTGTTACAGAACTTTGCCAGGGTTAAAATGCAGGTAACAATGTCACTATCCTCCTTGGTGGGCACATCTCAGAATTTTAATGAAGAATTCTTAAGACGTTCTCTAAAGACTATATTGACATATGCTGAAGAAGATCTGGAATTGAGGGAAACAACATTTCCTGATCAGGTCAGAAATGCTGCTTTCTAGATCATTAATTGAAATAGGCTTGTTAAATAGGCACTTTCCAAATTGTTAAATCAAAAGTTGATTTTTGCTGGAGGATCATTTATTTCATTTTCAATCCACACATCATGTGCCATAGATAGGACTGAATCTCTTTGTTTTATTAAGCTACCCTTCTTTTTGGAAATAATTAATTCTGTGGTGTTTAATTCTGTGCATTTATAATAAGTAGAACAGCAGACTTGGACAGTGCAGACAAAGCTTTATGATGAAACGTTCCTACTTATTAATCAAACAATAATATGCCTTAAAAACTAAAGTTTCTACAAACTACCTTTTAGTAAAATCAGAAATATAGGAGAGAATTTTCCTTTTGTATTCTTGTATTTCCCATATCCCTCTGTTTTATTTCTACTTACAGTTCTGCTTGTTTCCAGGTGAAAGAACAAAAATAAACATAGTCTGCTGAGGAATTTATATAAAGTTTACTACCCTTCACTTACCATATCCCCACATACCTATACTGTACAGAATCATATCAGTATCCTACAACTTGTTTTGAAATCTTTAGATATTTATCTGAAATATCTCTGAAACTAATTTGGTGATTATGGATGAATGACAATTCAAGAATGTTTTTCATATAATTCTCTGCTGCAGGTCCAGGATCTGGTTTTCAATCTCCATATGATTCTTTCTGATACTGTGAAAATGAAGGAACACCAGGAGGATCCTGAAATGTTGATTGATCTAATGTACAGGTAGCATTTATTTGATTCATTTATGCTTTGTATAAGGGACTTAGTAAGACATACAGTAAGCATTAGATGAAAAAAATAAACACACAAAAATGATTTGTGATTTTTCTTTATTTACATTCTTTATTGTTTTTATTTTTATTTTTTACTTTTTTGTAGAGATGGGGTTTTACCATATTGCCCAGGCTGGTCTTGAACTCCTGGGCTCAAGAGATCTGCCTGTCTTGGCCTCCCAAAGTTCTGGGATTACAGACGTGAGCCACCGCACCTGGCCTTGAGTGATTTTTCTAATGGTAGATTGAAAGTCCAAATGCACTTTTTCCAGGTGGCATCTTTGGATCTTCTGTGTCTCTTCTTTTAAGAACAATGCAAATGTACTTATTGATTATCAAAAACGAGGATTTTTTTAAGTATTCATAACACACATTTAACACCTTGGTGTCCTGGGCCCCAGAGTTCCTTTGAAGGCCCATACCAATATTTTCAGTGTAAAACTCAGTCTTTTCAGAAGAAAATACAGTATATGAATGTTTTACGATAACATTAATTACCTGATTTTCAATACAGTTATGACTGAAGAATGATATTTCTAAGGGCACATTTTGAAAACTCCATAAATCGTATTGTATTAACACCTTAATAGATACAATAGTAAAACTTAAGAATTTTTCTCTGTCATATGACCCTCTGTTCCTGCAGTTTTGGGGTTCATTAAAAGCACAAATAAAACAATTTAATCTCTTTGAAATAAAGTAATAAAAGTACCTTTTAGAAGTTTTCTTTTTCCCTTGTGTATAAAACTTCTCTATGTTTCTGTAATGAACACATAAATTTCCATACTTTTTCCCTTAACTGGTTATTTTCTTAAAAGTCAGAATTTAATATGGCGTATTTCTTTTTTGCCCCTCCTGCCCCCCCCACCAACTGATATTATCCATTCCATAGGCCACAGTTATTTCTCTAGGCCTGCATAGCGACATTTTCATACTACTTTAAAACTAAGTAGGTTGTGCACAGTATCAAAAACCTTTCTAGGTAAACTCTGAGCGAGCTATCTAAACTCCCTCCCAGCTTGGGAAGCACATACTAATGGAGAAGAATTTCTGTTCTAATTAGAATTGCCAAGGGTTACCAGACCTCTCCAGATCTGCGATTGACCTGGTTGCAGAACATGGCAGGCAAGCACTCAGAACGAAGCAATCATGCTGAAGCTGCACAGTGTCTAGTCCACTCAGCAGCACTTGTTGCTGAATATTTGAGCATGCTGGAGGACCGGAAATATCTTCCTGTGGGATGTGTAACATTTCAGGTAGGAATCTTCCAGATGTACATTAAATCAAGGTATATCTTTTTTTGGTTTTAGCTTTTCTCACTGGTGTTTAGATTTTTTTAGTTTATAAGGAAAGCTTAAAGACTTAAGCCAATGCTTCACAAGGTGAATTAACATTTCACAGTGATTGTCATTAATACATTTTTAAGGAGTACTTCTTGTTGATTCTCTTTCCACAGTTTCTTACCTCTGAATTATCAGCACTATGCTTATTTATTCTCTTTGTCTTTACTGCCTTGTAATCCGTTACATACTTTAACATCTATGGAAATGTATTACTGATAATCAGAATTCAGTAGAAATTCTTAATTGGCTTTTACTTCACATAGCAGATATACCAACATTCTCTATTCCCTACATAAAATATTAGATTATTTTATGACTAATACCATGACTCACAGATGAGTTTGCCCTCTAGTAGGGTACATAATTCTGACCCACTAGTTGAATTCTCTGCTTACCAAGAGTCAGTTATGCTTTGCTTTTCTTCAAAACCTGTTAATAGTAGGTTTGAGATATTATAAAATTTAGTTAAATGTTATATCTTCTGATGAAATCAGAATGCAAAAAGAAAGTTATCGTTTCTCGGAAAACAAAGTTGAATGTTTTACAAAGACTCAGGAAAGGTGAATCTCCAAAACAATTGCTGTTGAATTAACTGTGGGCCAGACAAATAGATTGGGGGAGGGGAAACTCCTAAAATTCTAGAATAATTTGATAATCTTTTAAGTTTTCACTCAAAAGAAACCAAAACTTGAAATCTTTAAAAAGAGTGTTGCCTTATCGGTATTTACCCAAAAGAGATTCCGTGGAAATCTGATCTGGAAACCCATACACACAAAGAAAAGGCCTTAGATCTACTTCAAAAGTTGATGAATGAGTGTACATCTACTGTAAATGTTTAGGTTAAAATAAAATAGGGTATGTATGTATCATTTCTTTTTTAGAAATAATGGCTGATTCCAATCTCATTGAATAAGAGGGCTTTTATTATACCTGACTTTTTTCATTAACTCCGTGTACATTAGATAAGTCAAGAGACCATTTTTGTACCCTTTTTCCTTTACAGAGAGTTTTGAAAAGATCAATTAAATAAATAAGAAAGACTATTGATGTCTCCTTAGATGTCTTATGTTATATTACAATTTCCTTTAGCCCATGATTTTTCTTAATTTTCTTTCATACAACTTTTTATTAAGAGAAAAGTTATCTAGCAATGGTGTTTTCATTTTATTATCATCTTCAAAATACAGAAAGTTTTTAGAGATTTATCTTTTACCTTTATATCACTCTCCTTTTTTTAACCTAACCTGATAGTTACAGTTCATCTTCAGTTATTTCTTCTTATACATTTTTATGCTAGAAAATTCTGTTTCAAAAACCTTTTCAATATATTTTTTCCCTAGAATATTTCATCTAATGTTTTAGAAGAATCTGCGGTCTCAGATGATGTGGTATCTCCAGATGAAGAAGGTATCTGCTCTGGAAAATACTTTACTGAGTCAGGACTTGTGGGATTACTGGAACAAGCAGCTGCTTCCTTCTCTATGGTAGATGACTCTTGTTAATTCTTTTCCCACAGTTTCATACCTCTAATTATCAATGACATGTGTATTTATTCTCTCTGGCTTATGACCCTACTTTTCTTTAAAGATAATTTATTCTGGACCCAGTATGGTGGCTCATGCCTGTAATCTCAGCACTTTGAGAGGCTAAGACGGGAGGATTGCTTGAATCCAGGAGTTCAAGACCAGCATGGGGAACATAGTGAGATACCGTCTCTACAAAAAATTAAAAATTCACCAGGCATGGTGGCTCATGCCTGTGGTCCCAGCTACTTGAGAGGCTGAGGTGGGAGGATTGCTTGAGCCCAAGAGGTTGAGGCTGCAGTGAGCCATGATTATGCTGCTGCACTCCAGCCTGGACAACAGAGTAAAACCCTGTCTCCAAAAAAAGAAAAAAAAATTGTTTTTTATTTCAAGTCCCCTAAAAACTATCTAGGAAAAGATTTTCTTTCTAGATTCATTATTGGCTTACTCCTTTTCATCTTAATAATCTGTCACTTCCCCCAGTGTTCCAGTGGTTTGGCTCACTGCGGCCTCAAACTCCTGGGCTCAAGATATCTTCCCACCTCAGCCTCCTGGGTAGCTGGGAATACAGGGGCACAGGGGCACACCATCACACCTGGCTAATTGTTGTATTTTTTGTAGGGATGGGGTTTCACTTTGTTGCCCAAGATAGTCTCAAACTCCTGACCTCAAGTTATATTCCCCTCATCAGCCACCCAAAGTGTTAGAATTACAGGCATGAGCTACTGTGCCCAGACCCACCAGTGTTTTTCGTTTGCTTGTTTATTAACCAGCATGTGATTTGTAGCAGATTTTTTTTGGTTAATAAAACTGTTACTGCCAAACATTTTCTAAAACCTTTAAGTTAAAAAACGTAGCAAAACAAAACAGAAAGTCTCTGAGTGATATAAGTTCCTAGTTGGTAGACTGACAGGGCTCTATAAATAGATCTTGTCTATTGGATGAAATGGAGAATCTTTTTTCCAGTATGATGGGCATTGCCCTGGTGTCCAAGAAAGTTATGACCACTCATTCCATTGGTTGCATAGTAATCCTCATTAGGTAGTTATTGGAGGCCTGGGCCTTACTCTTTAGTTTTATGAACTGCATCCTGAATCCTTTACCTGACTATGCTGTCATGCTATAACCCCAATCTTGTTCCCTTCCATCCGTATGTGAAGAATTAAAGCAGTCAGATGAAACCCAGATGGGATGTTTATTGGAGAAAGAAAAGATAGTTAGCTGAATTCATGCTTACCTTCTTAAACCATGTTGATAGGATCAGTTACTTCCTCTGACTTTTCTGCTAAATGTTTAGTGTACCAGCACCGAGGTTTAGGACACGCTGAGGTTCATGTTAGGGTAAGAGAGAAGCTTGAGGTAATATGCAATGCTGCCCTCTTTCCCCATTTCTACTGCTGTTGGGAATTGATTCGTTCTTCACCAGGCCTTATCCCTATCCTGCAATATATTGATAAAGGGTAGATTTAGAAGGCATACTGCCAAAGTTCAAATCCTGGCTCTGCCATTTAGTAGTTGTCTTACTTCAGGCACAAATTATTTAACCTGTTGGTGCCTCACTTTTCTTATCTATTAAATACATCTAGTAATAGTACCTACCTCATAGGAATGTTTTTAGAATTAAGTAAGTTCATGTATTTAAAGTGCTTATCACAGCGCCTCGTTCCAAGTAAGTACTAGTGTGTTTACTGTTACCATCATTTTCATCATTATTGGCAATTGTGAGACTCTTAAGAGTGTTTTTGCAGAGTTAAAATATTAGGTGTCGATCCTCTTTTAAAATGTTTGCCTCTAAGGACCTTGACCATTCCAATTCCAGTTCCATCCCTACACTTGTCTAAGCTAGCAGGGGGAAAAATTTTTTTGTTTTTGGAGGAATATTTTAATTAACATAACTCTGTGTGTTTGTATATGTGTGATTTTTAATAATTCACAATAGTGCATTTAGATTGGGGGACAGTAACCTATATTATTAAAATTCTTTTGCAGTTGTATATAATTGTAAATTTTATTCTTTTTCAATTAATCTGATTTTAGTTAAAATAATTACTGGAGCATTTTAGTTACACTAAACATATTTCACTAGTACAACTACATGATTGTTTAAATATACTCCTACGAACTTACTGGGAAATTCAAGGACCATATGTTTTTCTTTGGGAAAATATGTTTGCTGATCTGTGAACCGATGAGGACTCGGTGGCTTTTGGAAAACATCTCTCTCTTCTCTTACTACAGCACCAATCCATTATTAAAGATAAAGGCTGGGTCAAGCCCAGTGCCTCACACCTGTCATTCCAGTGCTTTGGGAGGTTGCATAGTAATCCTAGGATTACTGTGCAAGGTGGGAGGATTGCTTGAGGCCAGGAGTTTGAAACCAGCCCGCTCAATGTAACAAGAGCGTCATCTCTACAAAAAATGAAAAAATTAGCTGGGCATGGTGGTGAGCACCTGTAGTCCTAGCTACTTAGGAGGCTGGGGTGGGAGGATTGCTTGAGACCAGGAGTTCAAGGCTGTAGTGAGCTATGATCACACCACTGCACTCCAACCTAAACAATAGAACAAGACCCTGTCTCTTATTATTTAAAAAAAAAAAAAAAAAAAGGATAAGGGATAGAAGACCAATACAAAGACATCTTGTCTCTCACTCTGATTATGTGATTATAACCATAGCAACCACTGGCCAACTAGCCCACAGTGGAAGGAAATCTGGTGGCTCAAAACTTTCTATGCTTTGTTAAAGATTTGTGATTTTTCCATAGGAGATTTACAATAGGAGATTGCCTTCGTCAGCTTAATATTTTGGAAAAGTAAATGATTTTTATGTCCCAGGATGCTATTATAGGAGAATTGGGTATCTGTGACCAGTGTAATATTAAATTTATTTTTCTTCTGCTCAGAATTAGTTTTTGCAAAAGATTATAAGCATAGATAAGTACACATACACACATTAACCTTAGTGAAGTAATTATTGGGCAGATAAAAGGAAAATGCCCAATTCAAATTATAGAAATATAAATATGCACATATGTGTATGTATATATATTAATATACACACACATACACATATCTACATACATACCCATTTATCCAGAGGAGAAGATACACTGGAAAATTCTTTTATTAAACCTTAATACAGTTAAAAATTAGTAGTATTTGTTTTTATTTTCTATTGGAAAAATTTCAGTGGTATTATTACTATTATTATTTTTCCCCAAGATGGAGTCTCGCTCTGTCGCCCAGGCTGGAGTGCAGTGGCGCGGTCTCAGCTCACTGCACACTCCGCCTCCCATGTTCACGCCATTCTCCTGCCTCAGCCTCCTGAGTAGCTGGGACTACAGGCACCCGCCACCACGCCCGGCCAATGTTTTGTATTTTTAGTAGAGACGGGGTTTCACCGTGCTAGCCAGGGTGGTCTCGATCTCCTGACATTGTGATCCACCCGCCTCGGCCTCCCAAAGTGCTGGGATTACAGGTGTGAGCCACTGCGTCTGGCCTCAGTGTATTATCTTAATAGAAATATTGCGAATTCATATAATTACTTTTCTTTCTTATTGATGTAAAAGAAAGCAACATCTTAACAAAATTTTTTCTTATAGGCTGGCATGTATGAAGCAGTTAATGAAGTTTACAAAGTACTTATTCCTATTCATGAAGCTAATCGGGATGCAAAGAAACTATCCACAATTCATGGTAAACTTCAAGAAGCATTCAGCAAAATTGTTCATCAGGTAATGATTCCAATTTCTAGCTTCACTATAAAGGGAAAAAACTGTCTGAAAGCATTAATGTTGTTTTGCACTGATGTCAAACTAGATCCCGTGAAATGACCATTTTAATCAGACTACAAATGAGCGGTCAAAATGATAGTTCATGGCCAAAGCAAAGCTCATTAACAATAAAAATGAATTCACCTAAAGTAAATGGTGATCATCATAAACTTTCTGCATAGCTTTTTTTTTTCATTTTTGAATTATTAATTAGCAAGTTTTTAAAAATTGTGATTTTCTGTTTCACAAGGTAGATCATAGTTGTGAATCTCATTTTAAAATTGATACCTATTCCTTTGCTGTGAAAATGAAGTTTTTATATTTCAGTTTTTTAAATTAAATGATGTGAAACTTTAATAATTAAACTACTAATATTTTTAATGACTGCAACTGAACTTTATTTTTCCTAGATGTTTACAATCATCCTTTGATATATTTCTAATACAAAAATATTATTTTGTGAAAATAATGAATAAAATGGTTGTCTTAATGTATATTTAATTCTAATAGTATTTCATTACTTAATCTTTGTAGTTCATTATGGAATCTACATATTATCACTAAAATTAGCATCAAATTAAACTTAATTTTAAAATGAAGTACACTACTAGCAGTTGATTTCTTTGAAACTAAATCCTTGGCTTCATTGAAATACTGCAAAATATCCTATCGAGTCTCCTCCTCCTCCACTTTTCTGTTCCCTTCCCCGTGCTACCCTACTGTTACCTACTGCTGCTAGTGTCAAAGGAGTTGGAGTATGACTATCCACTTTTGTATTCAGTATTAGTCCTACTTTGTTACCTATCAGCTTGACCTCTTCTTTTTTGCAATGAATTAAGCTGTTCTAAATGAACTGATTAATCTGAAAAGCCTTTGACAGTCTAAAAATAGGGCTGCTATCCTGTTAAGTCAGGATTTTATTGTCATCTATTAAAATGTTAAAGTTGAAAAATATTGATTAGGTTTCATGACCATGACAGGTAGGTCTTTTAATAATCAGTTGTATATATACTATCACAGGAACCTCAAGCCAGTTTCTAGAGCTGTAAATTGCAAATTATAAATGTTAGGTCTGGAACATTTAGAGCTAGTCGTTTCTGAGAAACTTTTAGCCATTTGTGTCGTTGGCATTTGAGCAGAGTTGCAGTTTGTATTTTAATTTATCCTGGATACTTGGTGAAGTGCAGCTCACCTTAGTTAGAGATCTTACTTAAACATGTAAATGGAACAAGCTGCTGGCTCTCTTTCCCTAAAATTTGTACTTTCACTTAAAGTTTTTAAAAGGCAAAATTTTAGCCACTGGGTTTTGACCAAGCAATTTATGAAATTATTGCAGGTCTTAAGTAAATGAATATGCTGTTTAAAATATCCTGCTGTCTTCTGTTTGTGGAGAAGAATTTATGGTATATGGTGCCTTTGGCCTTTTTTGTTCTTTCAAACAGTTTTTTTATGACTTGCCCTTTTTTACTTTTTATTATACAGAGTACTGGCTGGGAGGTAGGTAATGTTTTAGTTAGTTAAAGACACTAATAGATTGATTTTATCAGATTTCTTATGCCAATGCTTTGCCCACATGTGCTAGCTGTGGGCATTCTGTTGCTATCTGCTATCAACTGAATTCATTAACCAAAGAAATTTTGTTAAAATATTGTAAGTTATTTTAAGAAATATCTTATTATGAGGTCGTAGGCAGTGCATGGAAATCCATATGTTACACTAATGAGATTCTTTGGTAAATGAGCCACTTTGTCATCACTTTAGTTTTTACCCTTTGAAGCATTTCTCTCATCAACATTTATACACAGATTTCTTTTTTTAACCATATTGTTTCACCTCATTTTACAGAGGTCGATTTATGTGTTATTGCTCAGAGGTGTAAATAAAAAATACTCTATTTCATCTGATCTCAGATGGCATCAATTACAAAACATACTAGTATTTTATATGCCTTTAAGAAAGGAAAAAAAAAATCCCTGTGTATTAAACCAGGATATCCTATTAGTTGAAAGATGAATACCAACTACAAAAACATTAAAATGTGAGCAAAAAAAGTACATTTTAGAATTGATGAGATACTGTGTTAATTTGATCTTGAGTCACTTCACCTTGACTATGAGCACTACTGAGGAAAGAAATTCACTTTTGTCATTTAATTTTTGTTGGGGAAAGGGATAAAGAAATTAAGAGAACTTATAATTTAATTTGACCTCGTATTCTGACAGCATTTGATATATTGTTTGATAAGACTACACATGCTTCCTTTTATGTAGTAGTTAAGACTCACAAAAAGTTATATGTAAATACAATCTTACCCGAAAAAAATGCCAGGAAGAATTGATTACCATTATTTTAAACGTTTCTGCAAAGGAAATAATTCTATAAAATATGCCCTAATTTATTTTGATGAGGTAAAGCAAGGTAGTAATAAGTCAGGTTTATTTAAAGCTAGGTATATTTGTAAAGTTGTGTGCTTTGCCTCTCACTTGTTGTCAGATTTATGTTGATCGAACACTTAGGCTTCTCTTTTTGGGTTTGCATTGCAATCCTTGTTTTAAGACCCAAATAGAAAACCTTGGGAATAAATATTACTACTGAGTTTTCCTCTATTTCTGAAATAGTACCCAAGTCTTGTTTTTCTTTAGATGAAGCCAGTACTTTTATAAATCTACCTTAATTCTCTAGATTAAATGTATATGACTGTATCAATACTCAAAATATAATCCTCATTCCTATGGCTCAGTTAAGACATACATAAAGAGACTTGCCATGGTTATCTATGAATGATAAAACTCCTTATAAATTTCCTAACATTAAATAGAATTAGTTGAAAATTAGGCATAAAATAATAAATTGAAACCTCTGAGCAGTTTATTACTAGTTTCCGTGATGCTAAATCGACCCCTGAAAGGTATAATTTTCACTGGTTATGACATTAATATCATTCTGTCATCATGTTTATTGCATGGTAAAAGTCTCACAGACTTTATTTTCTTGTTATATACTTGTCACTACCTTTTACTGGACCTTTAGCTTTGTAGCTGCTAAATTTGTTGCACGTTTGTTTTTTGCTTTTCCTTTGTAAAACTTAAATGGATGCCTGCATTTAAAAAATGTGTTTTCTACCATTTGCTGCTTATTTGTTTTGAAATTTCTGTAATTAAAATGCTTTCTGTTTTCTCTTCTCTCTTGTCCCTGGTTGCTGACCCTACTCCCCACTTTTACTATTGTCTATTGTGGTAAGTTCTATCTTGTGTATATTTTTCTTTTTGACTCGATGAAAACTTCAGTAATTTTGTTTTTTCTAAAAGCAATGTTTCCTAGCTAATTTTCTAGTATTCTGGTAGATCTTTCACTGGATTGAAGTCCAGTAAGGATAATCTGTGCATTGTAGAAAGGCTCTTTGAATTGATAACTTGCTCCCCAACTTACAGGAAAACCCCATCTGGGCTTATATATTAGTCACATGTTTCATTTTTTTATTGTGCTCCTTGATTTAGTGCAAATTATTTGAGTTGGCAAAGCTTTTTAGAAGGGTGTGTGTGTGTGTGTGTGAAAGATAACTCTAAAACTTAGTATTTCAGTAAAGTCTTTACCATGCAAAATAATAAATCATGAACCTTTCGGGAGTCATGTGGCTGTTATCTCCTCTGGTAGTTTCAGTTCTTTAATGGCTGTTTAGTGTTCACTTTTATTTTTACTTTTCCCTCGAAATAGTAGGAAGTAAAAGCATGTTTGTTGTCTTTTAAAATTTTTGTTTATGAGATGGGGTCTCACTCTGTAATTCAGACTGGAGTGCAGTGGCACGATCACAGCTCACTGCAGCCTTGACACCTCCTGAGTTCAGGTGATCTTCCCACCTCAGCCTCCCGAGTAGCTAGGACTGTAGGCGCATGCCACCAGCTAATTTTTTGTATTTTTGTAGAGACAGGGTTGTGCCATGTTGCTCAGGTTGATCTCAAACTCCTGGCCCCAAGCAATCCACCTGCCTCAGCCTCCCAAAGTGCTAGGATTATAGGAATAAGCCACCATGCCCAGCCTAAAAGCATGTTTTGAACTCTTCTTTTTTTATGATTCATATTTAATTATTTTTAGCAGAAAGAGAAATGTTAAATTTCTGTATGAAAATTTTTATAACCACTTTCTATGTTATGTATGTATATATACATATATATTTTTGTAATTATGTTTGTACCAGCCTGGACAACATAGTGAGACCATCTCTACAGAAAATTAGAAAAATTGGCCAGGTATGGTGTTGTGCATATGTACTCCCAGCTACTCGGGAGGCAGAGGCAGGAGGATTGCTTCACCCCAGGCATCAAGGCTGCAGTGAGCTATGATGGTGCCATTGCACTCTAGCCTGGATGACAGAGTGAGACCCTATCTTAGGGTCAGGGTTAAAAAAGAAAAGTTTGTTCAGTTATCAAATAGTGACGAATTTGTATTCAGAAGTACACTAATACAAGTTTAAATTTTTCAGAAAAATCAATCCCCAGTGATAACATAGTCATGTGATACTTTTTTTTCCATTCAAAGATCACAACATATTTCTTTAAAGAACACCACTACTCTAGTAAAGTATATCTTACATTTTCTGGAAAGGCTAGAGAAGATCTCTACTAGATCCCTAAGGAAATATAGATTACCCTAACTTTTGAGATTGACAGATGCAAATTGACTATATCTTAACTCTCATTATTGGACTGAATGGACATGAATGTGAGCCAGTATTTTGGTTTTTATATGTTCAGAAATACTGGCCATAGTTCTGGCTCAGTGGCTTCTGTTGGATTTTTATTTTCTTCAATCCACACTAAAGCTGAGTGACATAAAGTAACACATCCAAGCAGTTAAAAGATAGAACAGGATTAGAAACAGCAAATTATAATGAGCAGGGCGATCAACTCTGAAAGAGGGAAATGAAATAAAAATTCAAGAATAGAGCATAGTGAAAACAAGTACTTTTGGGTAGTCAAGTGGGTAAATGTGACACTCTAAAGGAGAAAGTAAAACAGGTCAGGCACAGTGGCCCACACCTGTAATCCCAGCACTTTGGGAGGCCAAGGTGGGAGGATCGCTTTAGTTCAGGAGTTTAAGACCAGCATGGTCAACATGGCAAAACCCATGTCTCTACCAAAAAGAAACAAAAAAAATTGCTGGGGCATGTACCTGTGGTCTCAGCTACTTGGAAGGCTGAGGTGGGAGGATTGCTTGAGCCGGGAAGGTAGAGTTTGCAGTGCGCTGAGACCATGCTACTATGCTCCAGCCTGGGCAACAAAACGAGACCCTGTCTCAAAAAAAAAAAAAAGAAATCAGAACATTGTAGGTATAAAACATCCATGAGCCTTTACCTCAGAAAGGTAAAGTTAGATATGAAGAAAGTTAAGGAAAACATAGTAAATGGGAAGAATCTTAGTATCTCTAAGAGGAGATACTTTCTGGTAGTTAGTGACTCCCTGATGACTGGTATAGACCCATAACTGAGCACCTGATAATATATCCCATACCACTGATTTTTTTTCTGCCCCTTATGC
Source organism: Homo sapiens (assembly GCF_000001405.40). Classification (NCBI taxonomy): domain Eukaryota; kingdom Metazoa; phylum Chordata; class Mammalia; order Primates; family Hominidae; genus Homo; species Homo sapiens. The sequence goes on along the minus strand of NC_000001.11, from coordinate 62,483,360 downwards.
TACTTTTGAGAAGAAAAAGAAAGATATGAAAGCCCAGCATGGTGGCTGACACCTGTAATCCCAACATTATGGGAGGCCAAGGCGCGATCCTCGCTTGAGGCCTGAAGTTTGAAACCAGTCTGGGCAACACTGAGATCTCATCTCTACCCAAAAAAAAAAAAAAAAAAAAAAAAAAAAAAAAAAAAATTAGCTGGGCATGGTGGTGTGTACCTGTGGTCCTAGCTACTTGGGAGACTGAAGCAGGAAGATCACTTAGGCCCAAGAGTTTGAGGTTACAGTGAACTATGATCACCACTGCACTCTAGCCTGGGTGACATAGTAAGACCCTGTCTTTTAAAAAGAAAGAAAAATATGGACAGCAAATATTTACTATGTAGATGATATTAGATGTGGTTTCTTTTTTTCGGACTGGGACATAAAATGGTCAGATATGTCCTTCTGATAAGAAATGGAGTACAATATATCTTGGAAGAATGTGTTTTGTCAGTAAGCCACCAACCTGATTTTTATGCTGAAGTATAAAGGATATGCAAGCATGCAAAAATAATTGCAGTAGAGGATGAAATATAGAGGAAAACAACATAGGGAAGGAGGTAATCCTCAAAAGAATTTCTTGAGGAAATTTGTAAGAATTCTCAAGAAAACACCAGAGAAGTGGATGATAGTTCAGGGGTTATGCTAATGTCCTGGTGTTTATACCAGTATATATAGAATATGGGGAACATAAAGCTTAATTAAGAGCTTGAGGCCGAGCGTGGTGGCTCATGTCTGTAATCCCAGCACTTTGGGAGGCTGAGGCAGGTGAATCACCTAAGCCTGACCAACATGGAGAAACCCTGTCTGTACTAAAAATACAAAATTAGCCGGACATGGTGGTAATCCCAGCTACTTGGGAGGCTGAGGCAGGAGAATCGCTTGAACCCGGGAGGCGGAGGTTGTGGTGAGCTAAGATTGCGCCGTTGCACTCTAGCCTGGGCAACAAGAGTGAGACTTTGTCTCAAAAAAAAAAAAAAAAATGCTTAGAGTCGGGTGTCAAATATATTAGAGTTTAACTTCCCACTCCACCACTTACTAACAGCGTGACCTTGGGCAAGATACTTTTCCTCCTCTATAAAATGAGGGTGAAAATAATTTAATCTATCACATAAAGTTGTGATAAGGATTGATATAATACATGTAAAGTGGTTAACCAGTGTCTAGCACATAGTAAGTACTCAAAAAATGTTGAAAGTTGTTATTTTTGTTGTTAATATGATTTAATCATAATTACTATTAGAAATCTTAACACTAGTTAATAAAATCTAAGAGGTTTTATATTTCCCAGTTGAGATCTGCATCTAGAAGTGAACTGGTAAATGCTCTTTAAGAGGAATAAACCTAGTAGAAGGAAAGAAAGATCACCATTGTGTGAAATACTGGTATGCCTATATGGAAATCAGTTAACTTAAAGGAAGCATTGTGGAAAACAACTGGGAGAGGATAAAAGAAGTTAGAGAAATGATGTCACTGTGGAAATATACAACTAGTCCATCGGAATGTTTCTTGCTAAATAAAGACAACAAAACTAAAATAGATTTATGATATATTTGTCATAAGAGGTTTGAACCATTTAGAAACATGGTAGATGGATTTCTTCGTCCCGGACATAGTCTTATCACCCAGAGGATTGTGGAAGCAGTAAGTAGAATCGCTAAGGAAGAATAAGCTGTATTGTGAGGAGTGATAGAAAGTTCAGAAAGGATTCATAACAGTAAAGAAAGGTAATGCTAGAAAAACAGCCTAATTTATAGGAAAGTTTTTTGTTTTTGTTTTTTTTTTAATTCAAAAGAAAAACAGGTATCATCCTGTGGTCCAAAGCTCTGAAGAAGAAATAAAGATGAAGTGAGTTTTTCCTGCAGGCGAAGCAATATGACTGTGCTTCCGTGAAGCATACTTCCGTAGTAGTTTGACACTAGAGGGAGTGTAAGTTGAAAATAGTCAAATTCTCAGCCTTTCTTTCTCTCTAGCCTCATCCCCTGATGCTCTCTCCTCCACTCCATTCTGCACACAAACATTTATTTTTAAATATCCAGTAACTCCTTGTAGTTACTTCTCTAACCTTATCTCATCCGATTCTACCTGTTTGCTTACTCTGCTCCAACCACACTGCTTACCTTCCTGTTCCTCAAACACACTCGGTAGGCTTTAGCCTCCTGATCTTTGCACTGGCTCTTTCCTCTGCCTGGGATGCACGTCGCTCAGGGATTCACATGAATAAGTCTTCCATCTCCTTCAGTCTTTGCTCAGATGAAACCTACCCTGACCATCTTCTTTGTCCCTTTTGTTCACAGATTTTTTTTTTTTTTTTTTTTTGAGACGGAGTCTCGCTCTGTCGCCCAGGCTGGAGTGCAGTGACGCGATCTCGGCTCACTGCAAGCTCCGCCTCCCGGGTTCACGCCATTCTCGTGCCTCAGCCTCCCGAGCAGCTGGGACTGCGGGCACCCGCCACGGCGCCAGGCTTATGTTTTGTATTTTTAGTAGAGACAGGGTTTCACCGTGTTAGCCAGGGTGGTCTCGATCTCCTGACCTCGTGATCCCCCCCGCCTTGGCCTCCCAAAGTGCTGGGATTACAGGCATGAGCCACCGCGCCTGGCCTGTTCACAGATTTATCATAAATATCTAGAACAGTTTGCTAACACATAGTAAGGGCTCAATAAGTATTTGAATGGATGAACGCTTTCCCTAATATTTGTATCTGCCTTCCCCTGACCCTCTATCAGTGTTCCTTCCTTCCCTTCCCTGTCCACTTGGCCGTTTATTTTGAGTAGAACCCTATGCATTACCTCTGTTGTGACTTACTTGCAACAAGATTAATCTTCCCTTATACCTCTTTTTAGTATAGCATATATCCCTTTGTTTTGTAATTATTTGAATACATTTTTTACTCTCTTGGGAAGCAAGTCTAACTTATTTTTACTTTCCTATTACTGAAGATGAACAGTGGCTAACATAATAAACACCCATTAATTATTTTTCCTTGAACCGAATGTCATGAGAAAATATAATAAAAAGAGGTAGGTTAGTTTTAAGCTACCTTAATAAAATTCAGTGTTCAGATTGAAGGTGACATTGAGCCCAGCAACACACCTTCATTGGTCAGATCACATCAACAGTATTATGGTTATATCTGGGATATCACACTTTAAAGGATGGCATTGTAATAAAGTGTCAACAGAGTAGAAATTACTGTCATATGAAGATTGAAAACTGGAAAGTTTAACTAAAGGGAACAAGTCCTAATTGTTATCTTCAAATATTTAAAGGGCCACAATATTGAAGAATTGGAATATTGTTTTAAACTGGAAACCTCTGAGAGGAGGACAGCCAGAGTAGCAGCATATTAATATTACAGGTCACACCTGTAATCTCAGCACTTTGGGAGGCTGAGGCAGCTAGATCACTTGAGCCCAGGAATTCAAGACCAGCCTGGGCAGCGTGGCAAAACCCCATCTCTACAAAAAGTACAAAAAATTAGCTGGGTGTGGTGGCATGCTTCTGTAGTCCTAGCTACTCAGGAGACTGAGGTGGAAGGATCGCTTGAGCCCAGGAGACAGAAGCTGTAGTGAGCTGTGGTTGCACCACTGTATTCCAGTCTGGGTAATGGAGTGAGACCCTGTCTCAAAAAAACTAAAAACTAAAAATAAATAAAAAACAAAAAGTAGGAATGTATATGTATATATGTGTATGACATGTTTTGAAAAAAATGACAAATTTTTAAGTAATTTTCTTAGGTTCTTTTTTTTATTTTTCATGCAGTGCCTTTATTACTTAAGTCAGAATTTACTATTATTATGTTGTTCTTTTGGCTTACTTATGGTTTTAATCAGAATTTTAGTTGAATCATTCAATCTATATAGATGGATTAATTTGCTGTAGAAATCAGTTAATTTTTATGTGTGTTAAATTTTGAAATAAAGTAACTGAAAAAATGTTTTTAAATTAGAAGCCTCAACTTTCTTTAGCTCCAAATACATTTTTCTTTAAAACTTTACATGTTTTTGGACAAAAATGTAGGGATATTTTTCATCACTATACCTTTTTTTTTGGTATTATAAAACTGGTAAATTAAGGATTAGAGCTTCCCATTTTGCTTAATTATGTGTGGCATTTCTAGCTTATTTTATATGCCCTTTTGCTTTTTCAGTATAGGAAAAATAAATATAAAGCAGATTAGGCTTAAAGAGAATTCAGAGGTATTTACTTACTTGTAATGCGCATATAGGCACCACCAGAGAATCCTAAAATAATTTTGTATCTAAATTGTAAAAATTAGCTGAGCAAGGTGGCACACACCTGTAATCCCAGCTACTCAGGAGGCTGAGGTGACACTTTTTTAAAAAAAATTGTAAAAATTGCATAGAAAGTGTCCAAATATTTATCTTTATTGAAAGAATTTGTCTTCTGATATGCTGTGTGAGAGTTAAGGTGATCTTAATGTACTTTGTACCTGACATGAATGTGTAGTTAATGCATGCCAATGGGTGGTTTGGGTGATTTAGAATAACCAACTCATCTCAAAAATTTTTTACTTATTATCTTTCACTCATAGATTTTTTTTTCCTTTTCTGTTCCATTTTTAGTAACTCTTCTACATAAAAATTTTTTACTGGGCTGGGTGCGGTGGCTCACGCCTATAATCTCAGCACTTTGGGAGGCTGAGGTGGGTAGATCACCTGAGGCCAGGAGTTTGAGAACAGCCTAGCCAACATGCTGAAACCCGTCTCTACTAAAAATACAAAAATTAGCCAGGTGTGGTGGCATATGCCTGTAATCCCAGCTACTCGGGAGGCTGAGGCAGGAGAATCACTTGAACTTGGGAGGTAGAGGTTGCAGTGAGCCAAGATTGTGCCACTGCACTCCAGCCTGGGCAAAAGAGTGAGACGCCATCTAAATAATAATAATAATAATAATTTATTGGCACAGGGCTGCTAATTGTAGAATTTTTGCATTAGTGCTTCTGGAGGGTCTTGACATTTACATTGCCTGCTCTATGCCAGGTGCTATCTTTGACTCCTAACTTTTACAATCTCATTTAATACGTGAAGAGGTTATATAAAGGCTAATGCTAATTTAAAAATATGTAAGTGTTGTTTTAAAATTTAACTTGACCTAGTATGCTCTAGTATCAGTACAATTAAGACAGTTTATATCAAGCATCTTTTCTTGCAATAAGGAAAATGAGTTAATTTATCTCAGTTATATAGATTTAAAAAACATAGACCAATGTGATAGAGGCACTTCGTACAAACTCCGAAAAATATTATATGTGATTTAGTCACTTGTTAGTAGCCCTATTTGCATACTTATTTGTTAGAAATAATGAAAAAGGAAAGACTGTTTACTTTGTTTAAACCTTCATTTAAAATATTATAATTTTGAATTAAAACTTTTTGCAATGTTTTGGAAATTTTATGCTGTAACAATCTAAACATAATGTGAAAAACAGGAAGATTTCATATTAAAGTTTCTCCATTTTCCTAAACCTAGGATGGTAAGCGGATGTTTGGCACCTATTTTCGTGTTGGTTTTTATGGAACCAAGTTCGGGGATTTGGATGAACAAGAATTTGTTTACAAGGAGCCTGCAATAACCAAACTTGCAGAGATATCTCACAGATTGGAGGTGAATGCTGTGGTGGTTCATAAAATGTCATCTTTAGTTTGTATTCTCTCTGATGATTAGACTTTCAGATCCAGATCTAATCATTTAGTAAGCCAGATCTTGCCAAGTAAACTACTCCGTTAGAGAATAAGGACTTTTAATAGTTACAATAATACTCTTTCAAATCTTTTATGGCAGCAATAAAATAGTAATATTGTCTATTTTTTGAGACTATTTTCACACATATTTTAGAAACCCCTGTATCCTTCAGAATTACTGCGACTTAACGGAGAAATATATAGTATAATCCCACATTTTGTTGAAAAAGACAAAGAATTAAGTAGTAGCTAATAATTGAACTAGAACCAGAACCCTAAGAAATTTCTGACCCAAGCATATTATCTCTTTGGCTTAACTGGTTCCAGGTGAGGTATCTTTAGAACGTAAAAGCCTGAAATCACACCTTAAAAACACTTCCTTTAACCTTTATAATTTCTTAATTTTCACCATAAATGATTGCGTTTTATATTTACTGGGCTAACTAGTATTTTCTGTTATAGTTATTCTTTCCAACCTTTCTCTATTTTTGTTACTCAAAGTGTAGTGGATGGACCGGAAGCATTGGGTTCACCTGGGAGATTGTTTGAAATGCAGAACCTCAGACCCCACCCCAGCCCCTGTGAATCAAAGTCTGCATTTTAACAAGATCCCCAGGTGATTTGTATTCACAAAGAGAAGTAGTGCTCTGGGCTTGTTTTTATTCTCACTGATGTTAATTTCTTGAATGTTATATTCCTATTGGTGACTTCTCTGGCCAAACTGACATAAATTGGCTCAAACTGTGACTTTTTATTTTTCAAGAGGTTAGGTGTAAGTCTTGGGAAATATTAATTGAGACTTACTCAATTATAAAAATTACCTTTGGGATAGCAGTGGGGGTTTCTCCTTTGAAGATTCAAATTCGATTTTTCCTTTTGAATAGCTTCATCCTTTACCCATGCTGCTGCTACTCAGTGTCATATGGAGTAGTCACTATATTCTTGACCTAAGGTTGCCTTTTCAAAATGTAAACCCATAGAGAACTGCAACAGGTCAATGCTTTTATTTGAAAATTCTGGGATTAAAAAAATAGTTCATAAAAATGAATGTTTATTCATTAACCCATGGTCTCTAAGAAATCAAGCCACAATAAACTCAGTAAAACTAAGATTTTTATACATCAACAATAATGAGTTTCTTTTGTCTTTGCTTTCTGTTCCCTTTTGTTTCTCTTGAGGACTTCTTGTGGAATCCTGTATTTTTACTGGAGAAAATTGTTGTTTTCTGATATTTTGTGTTATTTAAAGTTTGTGGATGGGAATAATGTCAAATAAATATGGACCGAGACCATGCTAATTTATAAGCTAGTATAATTTTTGTAAGCCTAAATCATTACTTTTAATTATTGATATGATTGTACAGAACTCACTAATTCTCCTAATTTTGCTCAGGAGTCACCCTCAGGCCTTCTCTATTTCGCAGTCTTTTTAACTTCATATAAAATGTTTCTTTTTCTTTATTGTAGGGATTTTACGGAGAAAGATTTGGAGAGGATGTGGTTGAAGTAATCAAAGACTCTAATCCTGTAGACAAGTGTAAATTAGATCCTAACAAGGTATAGTTGATTCGACTATAATGACATATAGACATCTCTTTGAAATCCTCTGTGCAATTTTGTTTGAGAAAGACTAAATGATGACTTAACAGTGAGGAAATGAAGGACTTTTTTCTTTCCTAGGCATATATTCAGATTACCTATGTGGAGCCATACTTTGACACATATGAGATGAAGGACAGAATCACCTATTTCGACAAAAATTACAATCTTCGTCGATTCATGTACTGTACACCCTTTACTTTAGATGGCCGTGCCCATGGGGAACTTCATGAACAATTCAAAAGGAAGACCATTCTGACTACGTCTCATGCCTTTCCTTATATTAAAACAAGGGTCAATGTCACTCATAAAGAAGAGGTAAGTCCATTAATGGGCAAACAGCATTAGTGAAGCAAATACATTCAAGCCATGTAACAACAACTCAGATGTACCAGAAGATATGTACCATCCCTTATACCATAACATATTAGAACTTTACCCATTTTTGAGTCCTCAATTTTTTACTTCTTTTCTAAGACCCTAATTCACCCCCAGCTTTTTCTTTAAAAGGTTGATTTTTTTTTTTTCATTTAGGAATCCAAGTTTGGAATTTTATTGTTACATGAAAGTTTACAATTGATCTTTTTTTTTTCTAATTTCAGTTGATTATACATAAAGTTCATTAAATAGTTTTCAGTCAGTACACTGATTTAACAGATGCTCTTTTACTCAGATCATCTTAACACCAATTGAAGTTGCTATTGAGGACATGCAGAAAAAGACACAGGAGTTGGCATTTGCAACACATCAGGATCCCGCAGACCCCAAAATGCTTCAGATGGTACTCCAGGGATCTGTAGGCACCACAGTGAATCAGGTTAGTGCTTTTTGCTAGCACTGTGTGATTTAAGCTGTAAATACGATTTGGGATAATTTCAGATCAGAAATAATTGTTAAGTCAGATGAAAAGGATCTGCCTTCTCTACTGCCTGTATTTTTCTACCTATGCGATCTTATAAATTCTATTAAGAAGGAATTGATTCACTTAAAATAATATTTCCTTAAAAAGCTTGTACAAAAGAATGTGATCTTTAAAACAAGGACTCATTTTCAGAGCTATGTACATATTTGCGAACCTCTACTATGTTAGATTCTCCCTGATGTTACCTTCCCCAGATCTCCTTTACAATAAGTTGTGAGGATTAAATAAGTGATATGGAATCATTTTTTTAATTTGAAAAATATATTGACACAAGAAATTATTGTTCTTTTGTCATATGCAGATTAGAAGCCATCCCCATTAGTCCTTGTGGTTGGTTCATTAAAATTATCTTGTTTATGATTTTAGGCATGGCCCCAGTCTTAGGAATATTCCATGATAAGGGAAAATACAGAAAGGCTTCAAGTAAGATTTCCTGTACCATGTCTTAACTACTTTTCAGATTAAAAGAACAAAGCCAAAAAGTGCCCCACCAAAACTGAAATAAATACCTTAAGACCTTTACAAAAGCTCTTAGAAACATGCACGATTTTAAGGTTTTGTCTCCAAATGATGTAGCTTACAAAAGATTATCTTCTTTAACACAATGTCCGGAATACCTTTGGAATACTGAGGGAACCTGTTTTAGCAAAATCAACTCTGATAATCAGCGGATTGGCAGATGTAGTAGCTTGACAACTTTTACATCCAGGATACATTAAAGAATGTGAAAAATACAAAGCAAAATACATTAATGAACATAGTAGTCAGTCCTTGAGTTCCTATTCTGTTTCTTTGAAGAATAAACTCATAAGAAGTTAATTCCACTAGATAAGAATGTAGAATGAAATTAGAAAATACTGAAATAGTCTGTGGAGTTTTAATATAGGCATAGGCATATATGCATTAAGCTTAAATGCAGCCATCTCAGAGCTAAGAAAAATCATTTGAGTAAATTCTGTCTCTGTGATTTTAGAGATAACAAAAAAACACACTTCTTATTTTCTTATTTTGCAGGGGCCTTTGGAAGTTGCCCAGGTTTTTCTGTCTGAAATACCTAGTGACCCAAAGCTCTTCAGACATCATAATAAACTGCGACTCTGCTTTAAAGATTTTACTAAAAGGTATTCAAGGCTTTCTGCGTAAAGATCTTCAAATTGAGACTGTCCAATACCACAGTATGACATAAGGGCCTTAAGGAACCATTGAAAAGAGAAAATAGGCTAGGCACAGTGGCTTACACCTGCAATCTCAGCACTTTGGGAGGCTGAGGCAGAAGAATCATTTGAGGCCAGGAGTTTGAGACCAGCCTGGAAAACAAAGCAAGACCCCATCTCTACGAAAAAAATTTAAAAATTAGCCAAGTGTAGGTTGTGCGCCTGTAGTGCCAGCTACTCGGGAGGCTGAGACAGGAGAATTGCTTGAGCTAGGAGTTGGAGGCTGTAGTAAACTATGATTGTACACTGCACTCCAGCCTGGGTGACAGAGCAGGAGCCTGTGTCAGAAAGAGAGAGAGAGAGAAAACAAAAAAACAGAAAAGCGGTTGACAATAATAAGTAATCTGTGTAGAATTTACTACTCTTTAATAGCATATACTTATTCCCCTCTCCCACAACCCTACCATACTCTATAGTGCCATGTATTTAATTTTAAAAATTAGAAAAGCCAAGGCTCAGGAAATTTTATTAACTTGAAACTACTATTAGATCATTTAATTTAAAAGCTACTATTTGTTGTGAATCTTCAGTATTTGAGTTTCTGCTTCCCTCCCCCCAGAATACTTACAAGCAGTAAACTTGGAAGCAAAAAACTTGTGTTCAGATCCTGACCTTATCATTAATTGTGCTTTTCCAGGTCACTTAATTTCTATGATCCTGCATTTTCTAATCTATAAAGTAAAGATAATGATATCTACCTCCCGTAGGGAAGCTGTGCAGATTAGGTGAAATAATTTATGGGTGTGTCCATCCCCAAGACTATCCCCAATTTCAGTGATTTGCTAGGAGGACTCACAGGACTCAGCATATAGTTATACTGGTGCCTGTGATTTATTGCACTGAAAGAATACCAAGTAAAGTCAGCAAAGGAAAAAGGTGCGTGGAGTGAAATCTGGAGGAAACCAGGAGCAAGCTTCAACGGGTCCTCTGCCAGTCAAGTCACACAGGACTTGCTTAATTCCTCCAGCAATGAGTTGTGACAGCAGGTGTGAAATGTTGTAGGGAACCTCATTGGAGACTTAGTGCCAAAAGTTTTTATCAGGAGCTGGTCATGTAGGCACTCTCTCTCTGAGATGTACCAAAATTCTAGACTCTCAGAAGGAAAGCAAGTATTTAGCAGGTGAACTGTGGTAGTAATAGAAAGAAACCTGTTTCCTGCTTTTAGAATTGACTGATTTCTGGCATTAATTTTATTATTTGGGAGGTGTAAGAAAACAACAACAAAATACACCCTACCATCTTTGTAAACCAGATGATTATGGAACAGTACATACTTCTTTAGGTCATAGACATTTAGTAACAATCAAGTGCTTTGTTTCTTGCTTTTGTTTTTGGAATATTTTGCCATGACTACAATTCTTAAATGTCCTTCTTTTTGTATACATTTACTGTAGGGTAATGAATTCCTGTAGTCAACAGGTCTCCTTAAGTGTTACTATCTGTAGAGAAGGTTTTCTCCTTTTATATTGCAAAAAAACAAACAGGTGGGGCGTGAGTGGCTCACGCCTGTAATTCCAGCACTTTGGGAGGCCGAGGCGGGTGGATCACCAGAGCTCAGGAGTTCAAGACCAGCCTGGCCAACATGGTGAAAGCCCTCTCTACTGAAAAATACAAAAATTAGCCGAGCATGGTGGTGGGCGCATGTAATCCCAGCTACTTGGGAGGCTGAGGCAGAGAGAATTGCTTGAACCCAGGAGGTGGAGGTTACAGTGAGCCGAGATCATGCCACTGCACTCCAGCCTGGGCAACAGAGTGAGTACTCCATCTAAAAAAACAAAACAAAACAAAAAAAACGAAATAACAGCAACAAAAATAAAACTACATAATATAAACCTTACAAAGGAGTTATAGCCAATACTACATTTTTTATTTTTGTGTGTTACCATTCAGTATGGTAACTAAATAGTATACCTTTATGCATATGTATTTTACAATAGTCATACGTATAATCTTAAATTATTTTTCAATTAAAGTTTAAACTATTCTAATGGTTATATTCTTCAAATTAATATACTGTAGTCATAATATACTTATAATCTTAAATTCTTATTTTTCAATTAGAGTTTAAACTATAATTTTAATGGTTACATTATTTCCTAAAATTAATATACTGGAATTTAAGTTGAATTTGAATGTGGTATAGTTTATACTACAATGGATCTTTTTCTTTTGTTAAATTAAAATTTCCAGCATGAGATGACTGAGGCACAGTACATGAACATTTTTTGTTTTAGAGACAAGGTCTCACTTTGTCGCCCAGACTCTGTAGTGCAGTGACACAATCACAACTCACTGCAGCCTCAAACTCCTGGGTTCAAGGGATCCTCCTGTCTCAGCCTTATGGTGTGCACCACCATGCCTGGTTATGTTTGGTTGGCTGGGTGTTTTTGGTAGAGATGAAGTCTCGCTATGTTGCCCTGGCTGGTCTCGAACTCTTGGCCTCAAGCTATCCTCCCACCTCAGCCTCCCAAAGTACTAGGATTACAGGGAAGAACCACCATGCCCAGCCTACATGAACATTTTTATTGGCTCACAGTATGTAGTACATTCTAAAAAGTTTCTAAGTACAGTTGACCTTGAACAACACAGAGGTTGGGGTGCTGTCCCTTGTACAGCTGAAAACCCATGAAAACTTTTGACCCTCCCCACCCCAGAAACTTAACTAATAGCCTGCTATTGACTGGAAGCCTTACTGATAATACAGTCATTAGGTACATAGTTTTTATGTTATATGTATTATATACTGTCTCCTTACAATAAAGTAAGCTAGAGAAAAGAAAATGTTATTAAGAAAATCATAAGGAAGAGAAAATATATTTTACTCTTCATTAAGTGGAAGTGGATCATCATAAAGGGCTTCATCCTCCTTGCCTTCATGTTGAGGAGTCTACGGAGGAGGATAAAGAAGTGGGGTTGATCTTGCTGTCTAAAGAGTGGCAGAGGCAGAGGAGGTGGGGGAGGTAGCAGGGGAGGCAGAAGGGGCAAGCACACTCAGTATAACTTTACAGACATCATAATTTTTTTTTTGATTTCCATAGGTTTTTGGGGAACAGGTGGTATTTGGTTACATGAGTAAGTTTTTTTGTTTTGTTTTGTTTGAGACGGAGTCTCGCTATGTTGCCCAAGCTGGAAAGTGACACAATCTCAGCTCACTGCACCCTCTGCCTCCTGGGTTCAAGCGATTCTTCTGCCTCTGCCTCCTGAGTAGCTGGGATTACAGGTGCCCACCACCATGCCTGGCTAATTTTTGTATTTTTAGTAGGGATGGGGTTTCATCATGTTGGTCAGGCTGGTCTCGAACTCCTGACCTCATGATCTGCCTGAGTCGGCCTCCCAAAGTGGAGTAAGTTCTTTAGAAGTGATTTGTGAGATTTTGGTGCACCCATCACCCAAGCAGTATACACTGAACCCAGTTGATAGTCTTTTATCCCTCATCCCAGTCTTTTATCCCTCATCCCTTCCCACCCTTTCTCACCGAGTCCTCAAAGTCCATTGTATCATTGTTACACCTTTGCATCCTCATAGCTTAGCTCCCACTTAATGAGTGAGAACATAAGATGTTTGGTTTTTTCATTCCTGAGTTACTTCACTTAGAATAAATAATCTCTAATCCCGTACAGGTTGCTGTGAATGCTATTTACTCATTCCTTTTTATGGCTGAGTAATATTCCATCGTATGTATACACCACAGCTTCTTTATTCATTGATTAATGGGCATTTGGGCCAGTTCCACATTTTTGCTATTACAAATTGTGCTGCTATAAATATGTGTGTGCAAGTATCTTTTTCATGAAATGACTTCTTTTCTTCCATTTTACTGTCAAATGGTAGTTCTACTTTTAGTTCTTTAAGGAATTAGTTCTTTAAGGAATCTCCACACTGTTTTCCATAGTGGTTGTACTAGTTTACATTCCCACCAACAGTGCAGAAGTATTCCCTTTTTACCGCATCCACACCAGTATCCATTTTTTTTTTTTTTTTTGAGTTTTTGATTATGGCCATTCTTGCAGGAATAAGGTGGCAGGTATTGCATTGTGGTTTTGATTTGCATTTCCCTGATCATTAGTGATGTTGAGCATTTTTTCATATGTTGGCCATTTGTATGTCTTCTTTTGGGAATTGTCTGTTCATGTCCTTAGCCCACTTTTTGACGAAATTATTTGTTTTTTTCTTGCTAATTTGTTTGAGTTCATTGTAGATTCTGGATATTAGTCCTTTGTCAGAGGCATAGATTGTGAAGATTTTCTCCCACTCTGTGGGTTGTCTGTTTACTCTGCTGACTGTTCCTTTTGCCATACAAAAGCTCTTTAGTTTAATTGAGTCCTGCCTATTTATCTTTGTTTTTATTGCATTTGCTTTTGAGTTCTTGGTCATGAAATATTTGCCCAAGCCAATGTCTAGAAGGATTTTTCCAATGCTATCTTCTAGTTATAGTTTCAGGTATTAGATGTAAGTCCTTGATCCATCTTGAGTTGATTTGTATAAGGTGGGAGATGAGGATCCAGTTTCATTCTCCTGTATATGGCTTGCCAATTATCCCAGTATCATTTGTTGAATAGGGTGTCCTTTCCTCACTTTATGTTTTTGTTTGCTTTGTCGAAGATCAGTTGGCTGTAAGTATTTGGGTTTATTTCTGGCTTCTCTATTCTGTTCCATTGGTCTATGTGCCTATTTTTATACCAGTATCATGCTGTTTTGGTGACTATGGCCTTACAGTATAGTTTAAAATCAGGTAATGTGATGCCTCCAGATTTGTTCTTTTTGCTTAGTCTCGCTTTGGCTATGTGGGCTCTTTTTGGTTCCATGTGAATTTTAGGATTGTTTTTTCTAGGTCTGTGAAGAATGATGGTGGTATTTTGATGGGAATTGCATTGAATTTGTAGATTGCTTTTGGCAGTATGGTCATTTTGACAATATTGATTCTACCCATCCATGAACATGGGATGTGTTTCCATTTGTTAGTGTCGTCTGTGATTTAGTTCAGCAATGTTTTGTAGTTTTCCTTGTAGAGGTCTTTCACCTCTTTGGATAGGTATATTCCTAAGTTTTTTGAGGTTGTTTTTTTTTTGCAACTATTATAAAAGGGGTTGAGTTCTTGATTTGATTCTCAGCTTAGTTGCTGTTGGTGTATAGCAGAGCTACTAATTAATGTACATTAATTTTGTATCCTGAAACTTTGCTGAATGTATTTATCAGTTCTAGAAGCTTTTTGGAGGAGTCTTTAGGGTTTTCTAGGTATACAGTGATATCATCAGCAAACAGTGACAGCTTGACTTCATCTTTACCGATTTGGATTTGCTTTATTTCTTTCTCTTGTCTGATTGCTCTGGCTAGGACTTCCAGTACTATGTTGAAGAGAAGTGGTAAGAGTGGACATCCTTGTTTTGTTCAGTTCTCAGAGGGAATACTTTCAGCTTTTCCCCATTCAGTATTATGTTGGCTGTGGATTTGTCATAGATGGCTTTTATTACATTGAGGTATGTCCCTTGTATGCCAATTTTGCTGATGCTTTTTTTTTTTTTTTTTTTGAGACAGAGTCTCGCTCTGTTGCCCAGGCCGGAGTGCAATGGCGCGATCTTGGCTCACTGCAACCTCTGCCTCCCGGGTTCAAGCGATTCTCCTGCCTCAGTTTCCTGAGTTGCTGGGATTACAGGCGCCTGCCACCACGCCTGGCTAATTTTTGTATTTTTATTAGAGACAGGGTTTCACCATGCTGGCCAGGCTGGTCTCGAACTCCCGACCTCAGGCGATCTGCCCACCTCGGCCTCCCAAAGTGCTGGAATTACAGGCGTGAGCCACCGCGCCCGGCCTTGATGCTTTTAATCATCAAGGGGTGCTGGATTTTGTCATTTGCTTTTTCTGCATCTGTGGAGATAATCATGTGATTTTTGTTTTTAATTCTGTTTTTGTGGTGTATCACATTTATTGACTCATGTATGTTAAACCATCCCTGCATCCCTGACATGAAACTCACTTGATCATGGTGGACTATCTTTTTGCTATGCTGTTGGATTTGGTTAGTTAGAATTTTGTTAAAGATTTTTGCTTCTATGTTCATCAGGGATATTGTTCTATGGTTTTCTTTTTTTGTTATGTCCTTTCCTGGTTTTGGTAGTAGGGTGATACTGGCTTCATAGAATGATTTAGGAAGGATTATCTCTTTCTCTGTCTTGTGGAATAATGTCAATAGGATTGGTACCAGTTCTTCTTTGAATGTCTGGTAGAATTCAGCTGTGAATTCATCTGTATGGATATCATAATTTCTGTCTGACATTTTTGCTTTTTCATTTTTCTAAAAATGTTTCCATATGGTACAGTCATTCTTCCACCACTTGCTTTAGTTTCTGTGCCCTTATCATAAACAGTCCATATTGTAAAAGAAGTCAGAAGCAGTCTTAGGTTATTGAAACCCTTATGCCAGATGGTCTCATGTCAGTTTGTTTTCTGGCACTGCTGCTTCCATTTTCTGCCTTATTTTCTGGCAGTGGTTCAGAAGCATTCATCTCCATCAAGTCATCTTCTGTTAATTCCTGTGGTATAGTTTCTATTAGCTCTTGAATTTCTCCAAGATCCATATCTTGAAACCCTTCACTCTCCACCTTTTAAGCCATATCTACAACTATTTCATGGTTTCTTTGATTGGCCCTGTTGTAAAACCTGTGAAGTCATGCATAACCTCTGGACACAGTTTTCTCCAGCAGGAATTGATTGTCTTGGGCCTGATGGCTTTCTCTGTAAACAGTGATGACATTTTCAATGGTATAATCCTTCCAGACTTGTGATGTTCTCCTTAACAGAGTTCTCTTCCATAGTGCTGACACTCCTTTCTATGAATATAAAGTACATGTATAATGAGCCTTATAGGTCCTTACGACCCTTGATCTAGAAGCTGAATTAGGAATGTATTTTGTTGTTCTTGTTTTTTGTGTTGTTCTTGTTTTTTGTTTTTTTTTGTTTTTGTTTTTGTTTTTTTGAGACAGAATCTCGCTGTCACCCAGGCTTGATTGCAATGGCGCGATCTCGGCCCACTGCAATCGCCTCCCGGGTTCAAGTGATTCTCGTGCCTCAGCCTCCTGAGTAGCTGGGATTATAGGTGCCCACCACCACACCTGGCTAATTTTTGTATATGGGGTCTTGCCATGTTGGTCAGGCTTGTCTCAAACTCCTGACCTCAGATGATCCACCTGCCTCGGATTCCCAAAGTACTTGGATTACAGGCGTGAGCCACAGTACCTGGCCGAGATGTTGTTTTTACGGGGGCAAGTAGACCACTTCAAGACCTTCGGTGTTAAACTTGGGGTTCTGGGTGGCCAGATGCAATGTCCAATATCAAAAGAACTTTAAAGGGCATTCCCTTAACTAATAAAATACTTCTTGACTTCATGGACAAAGCACCCATGGAGCCAATCCATAAATTGGGTTCTCATCCAGACCTTTTTGTTGTTCAACCAGAAGCTTTTACCTTTTCCCTTCAAGGTTCAGGCGTTAGCAGCTTTGTAAGTAAGGGCAGTCTTGATTATAAACCTGACTGCATTTGTACAAAACAGTAGAGTTAGCCTATCCCTTTTTGCCTTAAATCCTGGTGCTCACTTCTCTTTTTTAGTAACAAATGTCCATTGTGGCATTTTTTTTTCTAAATAGGGCACTTTTATCTGCATTAAAAATCTGTTCAGAAAAAACAACAACAACAACAAAAAAAAACCTGTTCAGGCAAATATTCCCCTTCTTCAGTGATTTTTGTATTGGCATCTGGGAGCTTGTCTGCTGCCTCTTGGTTGGCAGAAGCTGCTTCTTTGTCAGTAGAAACTGCCTCTCCTGTTTACTGGCATTTTAAAAAGGCAAACCTCTTTCTAAAATTATCAAACCATCCTTTGCTGGCATTAAATCATCCAGCTTTAGATCCTTTACCTTCCCTTTGCCTTGTCGTGTAATGACTTCACTTTTTCTCAAATCATTAATCTACAGATACACTTTTCTTACAGCAATCCTATACCCACATAAAAGCTGCATTTTTGATATGAGATAAAATGGTATTTCTAGGCCTGGTGCAGTGGCTCACACCTGTAATCCCAGCACTTTGGGAGGCCAAGACAGGTGGATCATGAGGTCAGGAGTTCAAGACCAGCCTGGCCAAGATGCTGAAACCCCATCTCTACTAAAAATACAAAAATTAGCCAGGTATGGTGGCACACACATGTAATCCCAGGTACTCCGGAGACTGAGGCAGGAAAATCACTTGAACCTGGGTGGCAGAGGTTGCAGTGAGCTGAGATTGTGCCACTGCACTGCAGCCTGGGTAACAGAGCAAGACTCCATCTCAAAAAAACAAACAACAACAACAAAAACAGTATTTCACAAAAAGTGCAAGGTTTTCATGCCTACGGGCTTACAAATTTTTTTTTTTTTTACAGTGTTCTTTACACTGGATTCATATATCTTGAGATGGTGGGCAACTGTAGCTACAGATCTCAATCTATAATACCAAGCAATTCACCTGTTTCCTGTAATGTAACTTTTTTCTGCTGCTTGGGAGCACTTCCAGCATCACTAGTGGCACTTCATGTAGGCCCCATGGATTATTCAAAGTTTATGGTTGCACTAAATACAATGAAAAATACACAAGAACTATGAGAAATCACTCTTTACTGTGATATGCAATTTACTGCAGCAACAACTGCTCACCTGGAGATAAGTAGCATCACATGGCATTTTAAGCAGATACATTTGAGCTCACCACAGTAGCAACAAGAGGTGGCTACAAAATTATGGCAGTAGTACAGTATGTACTGCAGTTTTTTTCAGTTGTGACTTAATGTATCTTTACATCTGTTTACATTTTTCTCTACTACAAATGGTGCCATGCAGGGTCCGTGTTTATGTGGGTAAGTTTTGTATATATTTTATGATAGTAAATAATAAAATAGGCTAGTATCTTCATATACTTTATGCATTCATGACATCTTTTTCTTTTTAAAATTTTTCTCAACTACACAATTTGTTTTCAAGTCTTTTCGCAAATCTCCAAAGAGTTACATTCATTGGAAAAAATCCACATATAAGCAGACTTTCACAGTTGCAAATTATGTTGTTAAATGGTCAGCTGTATTAACAGTGCCAACAGTGCACATTTATTAGTCTCAATACACCTTGCATTTAAATAGGATTTTTTTTTTTGGTCAGTCTGTTTGTTTTTGTTTTTGTTTAGGGGGGATGGATTCTCTCTCTGTCACCCAGGCTGGAGTGCAGTGGCGCGAT
The DNA here is from genome assembly GCF_000001405.40 of Homo sapiens. NCBI lineage: Eukaryota > Metazoa > Chordata > Mammalia > Primates > Hominidae > Homo > Homo sapiens. Next base: position 62,464,633 of record NC_000001.11, on the reverse strand, counting down.
CTCGGCTTACTGCAACCTCTACCTCCCGGGTTCAAGCGATTCTCCTTCCTCAGCCTCCCAAGTAGCCGGGATTGCAGGCACGCACCACCACACCCAGCTAATTTTTGTATTTTTAGTAGGGACGGGGTTTCGCCATGTTGGCCTGGCTGGTCTCGAACTCCTGACCTCAGGTGATCCACCTGCCTCAGCCTCCCAAAGCGCTGGGATTACAGGCATGAGCCACTGCGCCCAGCCAATAAAAGCAAATTGAGGCACCATTTAAAACAGACTGATGGCTAGGCATGGTGGCTCAGGCCTGTAATCCCAGCACTTTGGGAGGCCGAGGTGGGTGGATCACCTGAGGTCAGGAGTTCGAGACCAGCCTGGCCAACATGGCAAAACCCCATCTCTACTAAAAATACAAGAAATTAGCCGGGCATGGTGGCATGTGCCTGTAATCCTAGCTACTCGGGAGGCTGAGGCAGGAGACTCCCTTGGACCCAGGAGGCAAACGTTGCAGCAAGCCGAGATGGCACCACTGTGCTCCAGACTGGGTGACAGAGCGAGACTCCGGCTCAAAAAAAAAGAAAATGGCTTTTATTACTAAAAACAGTAAGCACTTTTCCATGTGTTTACTTTTTGTTTTGGGGTTTTGTTTTTTTAAAACGTTTTTCATTAAATCTTGAATAGATTGAAAATAATATTTATAACATTTGCTGTTAAAGAATAGGAAGAAAAAAGTCATGTGTCTACCACCCAGCCTAAGAAACCAAGCATGACCATGACTTTGAGATCCCCTCCCTATGTTTATTTATCTGATACCATTTCCCTCCATTCCTTCAGGGGTAACCAGTATCCTGAATTTCATATTTATCATTTCCTTTCTTGTCTTTATAGTTCTATCATAAATGGTTCCCTAAATAACATATTTTGTTTTGCATTTTTTTAACTTTAACAGTGTATACAATGTTTTGTGAGTTGCTGTTTTCAGTGTTTGTGAGATATATCTATGGTAAATGTTGCTTTATTTTTACATAATCCGTTTTATGAATATGCCATGATTTATTCATTCTTCTGTTGATGGATATTTTGGTTGTTTCCTGTTTTGTTTTGTTTTTAGTTACAAAGAGTGCTACTCAAATATCCGTCTACCTTATTTCTGGACATACATGTACAAGAGATTTTCTAGGGCTTAAAATTAAGAATAGTGTTGCTGGTTCATAGGTTCATCCTCAGACGATGCCACATTTTTTTCAAAAGTGTGTAAGCCAAATTTACATTCCCATCAGTAGCATTTGAGTTCCTATTACTATATATCCTAACCAATACTTGATATTATCTAACATTGTAACTTTTACCAACTAGTGGATGTGAAATGATAGGTAGTCGTGGATTAAATTTGCATTTCCCTGATTACCAAAGAGGTTGAATATCTCTTTACCAAAGAGGTTCATGTGTCTGTTAGCCATTTCTCTTCCCTCCTCTGTAAAGTTACATATTCAAGTCTTTTATCATTTTCCTATTGGATTCTTTTCCTTACTGATTTCTAAGGGTATTTGTGTGTTCTGAATGCTTTATCATTTCTTAATATCACAAATATCTCCTCTGAATTTGAGACTTCTCATTTTTCCCCTACAAACAGAAGTTCTTAAATTTAATGTAGTTAAATGATTCAGTCTTTTCCTTTATCAATATAGGTTAAACAAAGGGTGGGGGAGGCAAAAAAAAAAAAAAAAAAAAGCTTTTTCTACTTTAAAAAAATGTGCCTGCAAGAGCCGGTGAGTGCCTGTAATCCCAGCTACACAGGAGGCCAAAGTAGAATGATGGCTTGAGGCCAGAAGTTCAAGTCTACGTAGTGAGACCCTATCTCTTAAAAAAAAAAATCCATTTGCAATTGATTTTTGTGTATGGTTCAAGGTAGGGATCAGTTTGATTTTTGTCCATACTGATAACTGATAATGATCTCAGTGCCATTTATTGAATATGGTATGAGATATGGTTTAGGTTTTTTTTCCCCTTACAGATATCCAGTTGACTCATTACCACTTATTTAAAAAGCATTCACAGGTTTGTGGTGAAAGTCTGGTTTGCTGTGTCATCACTATTATAAATTTCTTTCTTTCTGGTTTGCAGTGTCATCACTATTATAAATTAAGCACCCGTGTTTATGTGCCTATGTTTTTGGGATCTTTATTCTCCTACAGTACTCTATTTATCTCTCTTTCAGCTAATGTCATGCTCTCTTAACTACTGCCGCTTTATAATAAGCTTTGCCGTGTGGCAGAGCAATTCCTCTCACCTTGTTTTGTTGAAGGACTGTTTTTGGCTGTTTTCAATTTTATATAAATTTTAAATTTTAGAATCAATTTTTCACTCCATGCACCCAAAAAATAACCTGAATTTATAGATCAGTTGGAAGAGAATTGACATCAGTCCATGAATATGGTATATTTTTCCATTTACTTAGGTCTTTTAAATGTTTTCTTAATACTATTTAAATTTTTTGTGTAGAGGTCTTGTACATTTTAAAATTTATTCTTTAGTATATAATGCTTTTATGATTTTATTAATTTTTTTTTTTTTTGAGATGAGTTTTGTTCTTGTTGCCCAGGCTGGAGTATAATGGCAAGATCTCGGCTCACTGCAACCTCCGCCTCCTGGGTTCAAGCGATTCTCCTACCTCAGCCTCCCAAGTAGCTGGGATTACAGACATGTGCCACCACGCCTGGCAAATTTTGTATTTTTAGTAGAGATGCTGTTTCTCCATCTTGGTCAGGCTGGTCTCGAACTCCTGACCTCAGGTGATCCGCCCGCCTCTGCCTCCCAAGGTGCTGGGATTACAGGCATGAGCCACTGTGCTCGGCCTTAATGTTATCTTTCAAAATTGTGTTTTCTGTTTCCTGCTCTACCAAAAATCAGTTGACTTTTATTTTATTTTATTTTATTTTATTTTATTTTATTTTATTTTATTTTATTTATTTTTTGAGATGGGGTCTCACTGTGTCACCCAGGCTGGAGTGAGTGCAGTGGTGTGATCATGGCTCACTGCAGCCTTGACCTGCTGGATTCAAGCGATCCTCCTGCCTCAGCCTCCCAAGTAGCTGGGACCACAGGTGTTCACCACTATACCTAATTTTATAGTGACAGAGTCTCACTATGTTGCCCAGGCTGGTCTCTCACTCCTGGGCTCCAGCAGTCCTCTGGTCTCAGCCTGCCAAAGTGCTGGGATTGCAGGTGTGAGCCTCTGTGCCCAGCTGCAGTTAACTTTATATATTACTTTTACATGAGAATTTTACCAGACTTACTTATTAATTCTAATAATTTATCTTATTAGAATTATTATCTTAATAGACTTATTAATTCTAATAATTTATCTGTAGAATCTTTTTCTTGTCTTATAATGATATTTAGGACGTCCAGTACTCTGTTGACTAGGAATAGAGAGGACATCATTTTCTTGTTCCTTCTCTAAAAGGGTTTTCACCACTAAGTATGTTTGCTACAGGTTTTTTGTAGATTTTTAATTATGGTTAAAGGACTACCCACCTATTTGTAGTTATGCAAAGAGTTTTTAATATGACAGGTTTTAAAAGTTTGTTATCAAGTGCTTTTATTCTGCATCTCCTTTAATCTTTTAATCTAAAAACTTAGTGATTTTATAACCCAACTTTTCATTTATTCCAGGAATTAATAAACTTGGCCAGTGTGGTACCTTATGCCTGTAAATCCCAGCACTTTGGGAGGCTGAGGCAGGCAGACCGCTTGAGCTCAGAAGTTTGAGACCAGCCTGGGCAACATGGCAAAACATTATCTCTGCTAAAACTACAAAAATTAGCCGGGCATGATGGTGCACGCCTGTAGTCCCAGCTAATTGGGAGGCTAAGGTGGAAGGATCCCTTGAGCCCAGGAGATCAAAGCTGCAGTGAGCTGAGATCGTGCCACTGCACTTCAGCCTGGGCAAAAGAGCAAGACCCTGTCTCAAAAAAAAAAGAAAAAAAGAAAAATACTTGGAGGGTGTGTGTGTGTGTGTGTGTGTGTGTGTGTGTGTGTTCAATACATTGGCACAAGTTTTCTGCTAAAATTGTCCATCAGTGTGCCTTCTGTGGATACCAAAATCTGAAGACAAGTTTAATATGTTATATAAAATGGTGTAGTATTTGTATATAACCTATGTACATCCTCCTGTATACTTTAAATCATTTTAGACTACTTAAAATACCTAATATATAATGTAAATAGTTGTTAATATTGTATTGTTTAGGAAATAATGACAAGAAAAAAGTCTGTACATGTTCAACACAGTTTTTTTAATTATTATTTCAATCCATGGTTGGTCTAATTCATGCATGCAGAACCCACAGATAGGGAGGGCCAACTGTGTTTTGTTTGGAAGTTTTACAATTATTTTTATGGGTGAGCTTGGATTATAATTTTTTTCTTATAGTCTCCATTAGGTTTTGGTATCCCAGCCTTGAAATATGAGTTGGGAACTCCCCTCAAGAATAGTTCTTTTCCCCTATACTCTGGAATCTTTTTTTTTTTTTTTTTTTTTTTTTGAGACGAGTCTTGCTCTGTCACCCAGGCTGGAGTGTAGTGGCGAAATCTCTGCTCACTGCAAGCTCCGCCTCCCAGGTTCATGCCATTCTCCTGCCTCAGCCTCCCAGTAGCTGGGACTACAGGCACCCACCACCACACCTGGCTAATTTTTTGTATTTTTTCTTAGTAGAGATGGGGTTTCACTGTTAGCCAGAATGGCCTCGATCTCCTGACCTCATGATCCGCCCGCCTTGGCCTCCCAAAGTGCTGGGATTACAGACATGAGCCACTGCACCCGGCCTGGAAGCATTTTTTTATATACTCTAGAATAATTGCATTACATTCGGGTATTGGTCCCTAGGATGTTTAGTAGAAGTTAGTGTTTTCTTTGTAGATAGATTTGTGACAGTTGTTTCAACCTATTGGATTATTTTAGGATTATTGCCATTTTTTTCTTCATTGAGTCTGTTTTGCTAAATTATATTAATCTAGATTAACAGATTATTAATAATTTAGCAAAAAATCTACATTAATCTATTAATATCAATGAATATAAATTCAGAGGGTTTTTTTGTATGAAATTGTACAGTTTTGTAAATTGTACAATCCCAACACTTTCGATGGCTGAGGTAGGCAGATCACTTGAGGCCAGAAGTTCAAGACCAGCCTGGCCAACATGGAGAAACTCCATGTCTACTAAAAATACAAAAACTAGCCAGGTGTGGCGATGTGAGCCTGTAGTCCCAGCTACTCAGGTGGCTAAATACGAGAATCACTTGAACCCAGGAGGCGGAGGTTGGAGTGAGCAGAGATCATGCCACTGCACTCCAGCATGGGTGACAGAGCAACACTGTCTCAAAAAAAAAAAAAAAAAGTACATTATATCCTCTCTGCCTTTTAAAACTTCTGCTGTATTTAACTTTATGTTCCATTTTAAATTTCTGGTAGGGGATATTTGACCTCTTTCATTTAATCTTGCCAGAGCTTAGTTTGTTTTTTTAGTTTTTTCAAAGAACCAACTTTTGCAATTTTTGATACTCTATTTTAAAATCTTATTTCCTTTCTAATACTTTAAGTTGCTTAACTCTTCAGTTTTAGCCTTCTAATATAAGCATTTGATGCTATGTGTTTTCTACTAAGCATCACTTTAGTGGCATTCCACAAATATGTAGAGATATATATATTATTTGTAAATATCCTTTCCTTCATTGTCTGTCAGGGTCCAGATACTTTTCTCAAATACTTGAATTAACTTGGATAAAGGACTGTCATCAAAATCTATTCATTTAGCCGGGCACGGTGGCTCACGCCTGTAATCCCAGCACTTAGGGAGGCCAAGGCGGGTGGATCACGAGGTCAGGAGTTCGAGACCAGCCTGGCTAAGATGGTGAAACCCGTCTCTACTAAAAATAAGGAAAATTAGCTGGGCGTGGTGGCAGGCGCCTGTAATCCCAGCTACCCAGGAGGTTGAGGTAGGAGAATCGCTTGAACCTGGGAGGCAGAGGTTGCAGTGAGCCGAGATCGCGCCACTGCACTCCAGCCTGCGCTACAGAGTGAGACTCCATCTCAAAAAAAAAAAAAAACAAAACCTATTAAGAAATATTTGAACACAGGCAGACACTGTGCCAGATGACATTGGTGCCACATAAATGAGCATGATTACATCCCTGAAAGAGCTTCTAGTCAAGTGGTGATGTGAAAAAAATGCCTTCAGATAATTTTCAATTTAATGACACTGGAAGTAAATAGTAGATTTTACAGGAACTCAGTTGATTATCTGTTCCCTGCCTTAAACCTAAAACAAAAGATGATTATTTAACATTCAGCTGAAAAACTAAATGTCCTCATCATGGTGAATACACACACATTTGTTTCAGATAGTCCCACTCGGTTGCCCAGGCTGGAGTGCAGTGATGCAATCTCAGCGCGCGCGTACACACACACACACACACACACACACACCCACGTTTGAGACAGTCCCACTCTGTTGCCCTGGCTGGATTGCAGTGGTACAATCTCAGCTCACTGCATTCTCCACTTCCTGGGCTGAAGCATCCTCCCACTTCAGCCTCATGAATAGCTGGGGCTACAGGAGTGCACCACCATGCCTGGCTAATTTTTGCATTTTTTTGTAGAGACGAGGTTTTGCCATGTTGTCCAGACTGGTCTCAGAACTCCTGGGCTCAAGTGGTCCACCTGCCTTGACCTCCCAAAGTGCTGGGATTACAGCCATGAGCCACCATGCCTGGCCTATATTTTTGTGTGTATGTGTGTGTGATTAGGCCCACATATATAGTCTGTGTTGTGTGTCATTAAGCCCACATATATATGTATATGTATTTTGCGTGTGTATGGCATTAAACCCACAAACTATGCCAGAAGTAATATCTTGATAACATCCTGTTTTTCCTAGGTGTGAAGATGCCTTAAGAAAAAATAAGAGCTTAATTGGGCCGGATCAAAAGGAGTATCAAAGGGAACTGGAGAGAAACTATCATCGCCTTAAAGAGGCCCTACAGCCACTGATCAACAGAAAGATCCCTCAGTTATACAAGGCAGTATTGCCTGTCACCTGCCACAGGTATGCTTATTTTTAAGTGGTTTTAGATATTCTTTCCTCTGAAACCTAACATGTTAAACTAGTAGAAGTCTTTTTACAGCTCGAGCATCTGTCATCCGAAAAGCTTAGGACCAGAAGTGTTTGGGGTTTCAGATTTTGGAATATTCGTGTTACACTTACTGGTTGAGTATCCCTAATCCAAAAATCTGAAATGGTCCAGTGAGCATTTCCTTTGAGCATCATGTCAGCGCTTAAAAAGTCTCTGATATTGGAACATTTCAGAATTTTGGATTAGGGATGTTCAACCTGTATCATCTATAATCATTCTACAAGGTAAATAACTTGAGAATCAAAAAGTTGGTACTCATTAACCGGGACACCACACAAAGTCTTGTCATTAACTTGGAATTTTCTACAACGAAATCCTAGTTCTATTATTTAAGCAGATAATTTTTTTAGATTTCTCCTCTGTATAATGAGATAGAACTTAAAGAGGTTTTTGTGGAGATTAAATGACATTACAGATGTGAAGTTCTTAGGACAGTGCCTGACATTTCACTTTATAGTACCGGAATTCTGGAAAGGACACAATAACTGCAGAAAGTAAACTTTCTTGCATTTTGAAATCGAATTTACATACAAGTATTGAAGATGGTTTCCTCTCAAAATTCCCAATGGGAAACATACTAGTCCCCTCCACTTTTGGTTTCCCCTTCAATCTTTTTGAAAGTTTTTCCTTCTTGCTGCTTCCACTCCCCCTCTCCCAGTCTTATACCCACCAGGTCAGAGATCCCAGAGAGCCAGGGTGCTGGGTCCCTGAGATAGGCCTAATCCTCATCTCAGTTCCTTCAGATCTCCATGGAAACTCCTTTCCATGGAAAGGCTGTATTCTTCCTGACCAAAATTTTGCCTTACAACATCCGAGTTTTTGCCGTCCTCTATGATCTACTTTTTGGCCAATCCTCCAAGCTTTAGTTTTTAACATATGTAGGCAGTTTTGAAAAACTTTTTCTTGATGAACAGTATCTAGTTTTCAAGACTGCTGTTTCCCTTCAAAGCAAGCTTTGAGATTTGAAGCCAATGTGATCTCTTTGTACTTGGCCTTTTCCTTTCCTGGAGATATTAAGCCTCATGGCTTAACCTTAATGGCACGAAGGATAAGTAAAAGAAACCAACTGATAATGGAAAATATGTTAAGAGTATTCCAGGAGTATCGTTCCCTTCACTCTTTTTTAGAATTTAAGTTTAAAATTCTTCTTTAGCATTTGAATTTTTAATTTTGCTGGTTTATGAAATCAGGAATATTTGCAGTAGGGATCCTGGACCCATGAGAGGGGAGTCCCTAAGACCCTTTCAGGAATTTCCCTAAGTCAAAACTAATTTCATATTAATGCCAAATATTGGCCTTTTCTCACTTATTTTCTTGTGAGGGTACAGTGGAGATTTCTACAGGTTGAGATGTGACATTGGAAAAGATTGACTATAGAAGCACATGTGAGAACATAGGCATTAAGCCACACTCCTACATGAGTACCACTCTCCTAAAGCTTCTTGCAGATCATTTTTAATAAGCAATGCTATTTATAGTAACATGTAATGGGTTATTTTATAGTAACTTAAGATGTTCTTAGTTTTAATTTCTGATATGATAAACATCCATATATAGCCCACATAAAAGATTCCTGGGGTTCTCAATAATTTTTAAGAGTGTAAAAGGGACCTGAGACAAAGTTTGAGAACTGGTTTAAGACTTAAAATTTAATAAACACCTGCCTTTTGCCGTGTAAAAAACCCCAAATCTTTTCCTAAAATCTCTCCCATTATCCCTTAAGTCCTTGTCTTGTTTATTACAATATCTGCAGCATCAGTCAGACAAACGAATACAAAAGACCAGTAAGTGGTGACTGTAATACACTTCTATAGCTAAATCTATAAGCCAAAATATAAGGCAGAGTAGGTAGGATGAGCATCCAACTTGGAAGTTAGTAAGAAATGGTGGCAAAACTTTAAGGTAACTGGCAGAAAAAACCATGTAAGACATTTAAAGGTATATGCAAAAATTGTTCTCTTTAACTAACTATGTCCTCTCATTTTTTTCCCAGAGATTCCTTCAGTCGAATGAGCCTTCGCAAAATGGATCTCTAAACTGAATGCACTTGTTTTATTCATCTGCAAAGAGCCATGTATTCAACATCGAGTGTGAAAAGATCTATTGGAAAACAACATGGAATGGAATTCTGGAAATTATTATTCATTGAAGAATGCAGTGGCCAAGAAAATATCAAATGTAGATTGTTAACGCTTGAGAATCATGGCTATGGTTTCTAATGTTCTGGTAACAAGCTGTTATCTTTTAAGACATTTTAATGACTCAAAGGTACACTATACATTTACCATTATTTATACCATAGCTAAGGTTAAAAATTTATTCACTTTAAGTTCGTATTTTTTAATTTATATTACCATTTATAGATTCATTTTGGAACCATTTTAAATGTAGTAATGCTTATTTTAAAGGTACTATTAAATATGTGAATGTTTACACTAATTTTACCGAGTGGGACTTCAAAATTTTTATTATTGACAATGGCAGAGAACAATTAAAGGGTTGACTCAAGAACTAGTTCCAAACCTAGCAGAATAAAAATCATAGATAGCCCCAAATTAATGAGTTTGGTAACTGTTTCAAAGTTATTTTCCATTTACATACCCAAAACAGGAATTTAGAATTGCAGAACTTTACTTAGTAAAACCTTTGTGTAAAATAATTTAAATACGGGGATAACTAATACCAGTGACAACACCTTAACTTGATTAAATCTTATTACACCAATGATAGTAGTAAGAACTTCATGATTCTTAGCAACTAAAATGAATGATTTCTCTGTTTCAAATTAAAACCAGCCATCAGTTTTTGACGATGTAAACCAGTAAATTAGAATCTACTTAAAGCTATCTTGTAGCACCATGAAGGTAACACAGCTGGAGTTTGAGAAATTACCTATTTTCTGACACTTGTAAAGTTTAGAAGCATATAAAAAGTAAAATTAGGTGCTTTAATTCATCTAAAATTATATGCAAGTCATACAGAAAAAAAATTTGAGAAGTAACATTTTAATTCTTGGCAAGTTTTTCCAAAACGATGCATAGTAATGATTTCCAGAACAGTTTAGAACAATGGTTTTTGGGTAGTAGTGCAGTTTACAGAATGGCATCATTTATAATCCTTTTCTTCTACTGACCAGTTACATGAATCACTTAAGAACTAACCAGATCTGGGTGCGGTGGCTCACATCTGTAATCCCAACACTTTGGGAGGCCGAGGCGGGTGGATCACGAAGTCAGGAGTTCAAGACCAGCCTGGCCAAGATGGTGAAAACCCGTCTCTACTAAAAATACAGAAATTAATTAGCCAGGCACAGTGGCAGGAGCCTGTAATCCCAGCTACTTGGGAGACTGAAGCAGGAGAATCGCTTGAACCCGGGCAGCAGAGGTTGGAGTGAGCAGAGATGGAGCCACTGCAACTCTAGCCTGGGCGACAGAGACTCCGTCTCAAAAAAAAAAAAAAAAAAAAAACTATCATCTGTACACACACGCACACACACATACATACATACACACACATATATATAAAAGAACTGATCAGATTGGCTGGGTGCAGTGGCTCAGGCCTATAATCCCAGCACTCTGGGAGGCAGGGGCAGGCGGATCATGAGGCCAGGAGTTCAAGAACAGCCTGGTCAATATGGTGAAACCCCATCTCTACCAAAAACACAAAAATCAGCCAGGTGTAGTAGCCCGTGCCTGTAATCCGAACTACTTGGGTGGCTGAGGCATGAGAATCACTGGAACCTGGAAAGTGGAGGTTGCAGCGAGCCAAAATGGCGCCACTGCACTTCAGCCTGGGCGACAGAGCAAGACTCTTAAGTCAAAAACAAAAACCAGCACTTTGGGAGGCCGAGGCAGACAGATCACGAGGTCAGGAGATTGAGACCATCCTGGCTAACAGTCAAACCCCGTCTCTACTAAAAATACAAAAAATTAGCCAGGCGAGGGGGCAGGAGCCTGTAGTCCCAGCTACTCGGGAGGCTGAGGCAGGAGAATGGCGTGAACCCGGGAGGCGGAGCTTGCAGTGAGCTGAGATCACGCCACTGCACTCCAGCCTGGGTGACAGAGCTAGACTCCGTTTCAAAAAAAAAAAACAAAAACTGGTCAGATTTAACGTATTGCCTTCATTCTATAGTCAATGTAGTAAATATTCAAAATATACTAAAAAATATCTACTTCTGAGAGCCTAAGTGATGGTTGATATCCCACACTCCATGTACTTTAATGGGCAGTATCATCTCAAATTCCTCTTATCTATATCAATTCAAAGACTGAATCACAAAAACATTTTTCAGATGAGTCTACATTGTTAGACCAAATCTGAGTCAGAAGGGCATAACCTCAAAACTCTATTTGAGGAGCCAAATGAACAATAAGGAAAGGTAAGGAGTCAAGAATGGAAATCCCTCCCCTCCAAAAAAAGTGACATTTTCCCTTCTTCTTTGGGGGTCAGTGGTGGGTATAAACATAAGGGAGAGAATAAGGAACCACTGAAGGGTCACTTCTCATTAGGTTACATTTATATAACAGTTTGGACAAAAATCTCAGAAATCTCAGTAATATCAAGGACTTTATGATTTATATAATTATGCAAAACCAATTATTTTCTGACATCCTTCAGAACAGAGGCTTCCTCTTAAACATTCGTATGATACAAACCTCTTACAAACTTCATTTTTCTTAAAATGGAACTTTCTCACATCAGGAATTTGTGTTAGTTCTTAGAACTGGCTGTCTCTCGAGTATTAAGAGGCCCAGTGTCTATCTTAGACCCATTCCATTCAAAACTTACAGGTAGCGCTCAGGACTGTTTAAGGATTTCCATTAGTGATTCTGAAAGGTGGGGAGAACCATGACTTTATTACCATCTCATCATCCTATGAAAGAATATAAGACATTATGTAACTGTGTTTTTTTTTTTTTGAGACGGAGTCTCACTCTGTTGCCCAGGCTGGAGTGCAGTGGCGCAATCTCGGCTCACTGCAAGCTCCGCCTCCTGGGTTCATGCCATTCTCCTGCCTCCGCCTCCTGAGTAGCTGGGACTACAGATGCCTGCCACCACGCCCGGCTAATTTTTTGTATTTTTAGTAGAGACGGGATTTCATGTGTTAGCCAGGATGATCTCGATCTCCTGACCTCGTGATCCACCAGCCTCAGCCTCCCAATGTGCTGGGATTACAGGCGTGAGCCACCGCGCCCAGCCTACTGCGATTTTTTTTTAATTGAGAAGGTACTCCTTGTTGAAATGGGGTATTAAAGTGTTACCCCAATAGCATTTACATATTTAGAATCATTTCTAGGAAAAACTTAGTACCAAGAATGTCCATTAACAAGTCATGAAATCATTCATCACTTACCACTTCAGTATACTAGTTTAAAATGAAATTTTAACCAAGTTTTTATGTGTGCCCAAAGCATCATCTTAACTTTTCCAGTTTTGGATTCCATTAAATCATGTCTACTTTAAAGGACAATTAGATGCAACAGATTTCATTATAAACCTCTTTTAAGTATGACAGCTTGGCTGGACTAAGCACAATTTCTCCTCTTTGAAAAACTCCTGCACTGTCAGAAAGTATTCAGTAATAAAGGTAATTATGCATGCTTATTCTCTCATATATATACATATATATATACACACACTTATTCGCTTTAAGAAAACTCAGCTGTATTTATAAAAATATACAAGTAAAAAATTCAAATATTCATATACATAGTTAAGCAGTTTAAATTTTATTGACCTCCCAGTTTTTAAAAAAAGTTAAATTTAAGGTCACACCTCTAAGTTTGATGTACTATATACAGATCGTGCAGAATATGAGTTAAACAGATACAAATTAGTCCATGCCCAAAAAGATATACTAGGGTACAGAATCATCTTCATAAATACATATAAAATTCTTGTGTAGAAGCGAACTGTCCAGGTTTTCTGAGACACTTCTAAGTGAATCAAGGCACAAAATGTACATACACCATTGTGAATACACACATTCTAGACTTTGTGCCTCTGACATAGCCCAAGGATTTAGCTTCATGACTCTTATAAAACTAAATGTACTGAATGAGATTCTGCTTCTTGGGTGAAAAACCACAGGAACTATAAACATCATGTAGATAATTACTCCAAAATATGGAGAATACAAATACGAGCACTTTATTTTAAAAAGCAAACACAAAAGACTGGTGTAAATCCAAGTGTTTAAATGCCTCCGTTTTGGATAATTTAATTAAGAACCGATACAAGTTTGTTCCCAGAAGCTAATGCATCACTAGTCTCTACTGAGGAAAATGAGTTCTAAAAATTAACATGGTTTTCAGTAATTCAAATTTCACTATTTATATAAAAACCTAGAGAGACCAATAATATCCAGTAGCTTCAAAAGATAAGCTAAAGATTCTTTGATGTAATCAACTTTACCAATGTTTGTATGGGTGTGTTTAATATATACACAAGGAAAATACACTCACTCTATAATTTCTTATAAAATAGCAAGTAAGGAGTAGAAGTAGGAGATGTAGAAGGGGAAAGAGAATTCAGAAAGTCCTTCTCTTCAGTAACTTTGACTTCAGAATCATCAAAAAGCAACCACTTCCCCTCATACTCCTTTAAGCTTTGCACTACGTATGAAATTTTGTTCTCAAATCCACTAATATTAATGCCTGTTTGGTCACTGGATTCCTTGTTTCTATCAGATTCATGGGTCCCAGTAGTATCACTAGTCTCAGAATTTCTATTTTCAGCAAACGCTGTACTAGCAACCTTATCAGGATTAGAGGCTTTGTTGTATAGCTCATAATCTGCTTTGCTCTTTTGTCCTCCAAGAAGTCCAATAGCTTCTACATTTTTTTTGTTCAAAACTTTACTTGGCTGTGTATTTCCACCAACTCTAATTGACACTTCTTCATCATTATAATTCTCAACCACACCCCTTGCTTCCTCCTCATTCAATGGTTCTGGCTTACCTATTTCACACATTTGGTCAACCACAAAATTTCCTTTATCTAGTTCTAAACTGTTAAGGTCAGTGACTTTAACAGAAGCAGTGTAATGCCCACTACTAATTGTAATGCCACTATGCATCACAACCGCAAATAATCCATAGCTGTCGTTAGTTGGCTTTGTGCTCCATTCTTCTAGTGACAATTTAAGAGGTGTCAATAAAGGAGTGTTGATCTTGGAAAGTCCACCACCATAACAATCAAACCTTTGGGAGGAAAAAAAGAAAAGGTTTCCTGCAGTTCTATTTTAAATTCAAAATGTTATACCCCAATCTGAAACCAAGTAAAAATCTGAATGAACCCTTAATATCCAGTGTTCATATATCAGAAAAGCAGAATCAAAACAAGACCCCAACTTTGAATAATATTTATAATATATGCAGAAACAAAAAAATAAATAACTGCTAATATTCAGGCATTTCTGTGGAAGAAATAATTGTATTTTTTCCTTTATTTTCCTAATTTTGTGCAGTTAAGAAAATAAATGGTATTTTAAATAGACTGAACCGGAACCAAAAATGTTACGTTTTGGGTTTTTTTTTTTTTAAGGCAGGGTCTGTCACCCAGGCTGACTGCAGTGGTGCAATCATGGCTCCTTCTGGACTCAAGTGATCCTCCCACCTCAGGCTCCTCCTCCTCAGCCTCCTGAGTAGTTGGGACCACAAGTGCCCGCCACCACGCCAAACTAGTTTGTGTATTTTTTGTAGAGATAGGGTTTTGTCATGTTGCCCAGGCTGGTCTTGAACTCCTGGGTGCAAGCCATCCATCTCAGCCTCCCAAAGTGCTAGGATTACAGGTGTGAGCCACCCACGCCCAGCCCATTTTAGTCATTTTTAGTGTGAAGTTTTTCTCTACCAAAATTTGGGAAAGTAAATAAAATAGTATTTTATACTATTAGCAAAGGGAAGGTCCACTGAATAAGGGGCTATATGTTATCTTTTGACATAATCAAGTGTGAGAGAGCTACTGTGAAGCCCTCGTGGTAATTTCAAACAAGCAACTAATGTACAAAGGAGTCACACATACAATGACATTACACATGTCAGAAAAAAACAGACTATCCAAAACAATCAGCATTTTTTTTCAAACTGTTGAAAGACTAGTTTGATTTCCTGGCTTACCTTAAAACTAGGAAGAATTTAGCCTTTCCCGCCCCTTCAAAAAAATCTTGATGTATACAAAATTTGTTCCCTGCTTTAGTCAGTTCTACTGAATTCTGCTACTAACATCTAAGAGGGAATGAATATGAAAAGATGAATAAAGAAACTGGCCGGGCATGGTGGCTCACGCCTGTAATCCCAGCACTTTGTGAGGCTAAGGCAGGTGGATTGCTTGAGTCCAGAAGTTCAAGATCAGACTGGGCAACATGGTGAAATCCTGTCTCTACTAAAAATACAAAAAATTAGCTGGGCATGGTGGCATGCACCTGTAGTCCCAGCTACTCAGAAGGCTGAGGTGGGAGAACCACCTGAGCCTGGGAGGTCAAGACTGCAGTGAGCTGAGGCTGTGCCACTACACTCCAGCCTGGACAACTGGAATGAGACCCTGTTTCAAAAAAAAAAGGAGAAGAAATCATACTTAATAGAATATGTATTCATATCAAAAGGATTTAAGTTGTTTCATTTTTACAGGGAAACTGTTAATAAGAACAAAACTTTACTGAAGCAATCTTTACAATCTACTTCATTTCAGTACTTTATATTCCTACTATTACAGCATTTTGAACAAGACTTATCTTCTACAGCAGCTCATTTTCTTCATATAGTTCTTATTTACAATACTTACTCCAAACCACTAGCAGCAAAGCACTTCAAATGAATAGTTATAACTTCAGGCATTTTGTCAAACAAAAGACTTCGTTCAGCTTCAGTATAATGATGGCAGTTTTCACAGAAATATTTATCTTCTCCTACAATCCTTTCTACTGAAGCAAATTGTGAAATTGCCCATCTCAGGGTCTTCATTTCTGTTTTTGGCTCTGGAGAAACTAAAAAAGAGAATCCTTTCACTCAAATACTTCTCTCAGGCATTCAAAAAATAAACCACAAAGTTTCAGGTTCAAAATTAGCATTTAATTTCAATTGACCGACCCATTCCTAAATAACTAAAGAGATTTTTACTTTCAGAAACTACTTTCATAAGTGCATCCTCAACAGTATACATACCTTTTAAATATATTTGATCGGCCAAAAAATATGATAGACAGCAAAAACAAAATAAGCCTAGTCTGTTTACATTTAATTGCCAACTTTCAATATGTGATAGGTAAACCTGTCTCATGATTATTTCCTATGGTATTTCCATATTTTGTGGTATGCTCTAGACACAACAGTGGCTCAATTATTGTGTTAAAAACAACCTCAGTAGGCCAGGCGCGGTGGCTCACGCCTGTAATCCCAGCACTTTGGGAGGCCAAGGCGGGCGGATCACGAGGTCAGGAGATTGAGACCATCCTGGCTAACATGGTGAAACCCCGTCTCTACTAAAAATACAAAAAATTAGCCGGGCGTGGTGGTGGGCACCTGCAGTCCCAGCTACTCAGGAGGCTGAGGCAGGAGAATGGCATGAACCCAGAAGGCGGAGCTTGCAGTGAGCCGAGATCACGCCACTGCACTCCAGCCTGGGCAACCGAGCAAGACTCCATCTCAAAAAAATTAAAAAAAACCCTCAGTAGCTCTGAAAGACTCAGGTTCCCAAAAGTACACTTATTAAAGCATTTCAGTTTTCCATTCTAACACACTCTACATCAAAATCAAGATGTCACAATTTCCCAAATGCTAACCATTTATAAGTGAAGCCAGATAAGCAGAAAGGTTACATTAGACACTAAAAGCTAGCTTTTTTCCCCTCCCTAATTACACCAGCTACTATTAAACTTTGTGTTGTTAAAGAATTATAAATATTCCATCATGGTCCACACAAGACTCCAATTTTGCTTACTTTCAGAACTCTCCTCTACTTTGGAAAGCTCATCTTCTTGTACTGGCACACTGATGTCTTGAAAATCTTCTCTTCTTTCTGTTAAACTTTCACATTCCAAGCAACGCGTCCTTAATACCAGCTGACCTTGAAATAATTTCTCCACTAGCTCAAAACCAATTTGTTCTTCACCTAAAATGAAAATAGGAAAATGTAAGTCTATACAGATTAGTTTCTCATTATAGTCCAAATAACCAATTTTCCATTTAAATAAAGTATATCATGAATAACAGTTCCATTTTCATAGATCAGCTTATTAGCATTATTAGCTTATTAGAGGTACCCTATTAATGAAATTTAAGGTCCCTGTAAAGATAAAACTGACTATGAAATTACTGTCTTTAAAAGAAGTCAGTTGTAGGCCGGGCACAGTGGCTTAAGCCTGTAATCCCAAGACTTTGGGAGGCTGAGGCGGGCAGATCACCTGAGGTCGGAGTTCAAGACCAGCCTGACCAACATGGAGAAACCCTGTCTCCAGTAAAAATACAAAATTAGCCGGGTGTGGTGGTGCATGCCTGTAATCACAGCTACTCGGGAGGCTGAGGCAGGAGGATCGCTTGAACCCGGGAGGTGGAGGTTGCAGTGAGCCAAGATCATGCCATTGCACTCTAGCCTGGGCAACAAGAGCAAAACTCTGTCTCCAAAAAAATAAAAAAAATAAAAAATAAAAAAAAGTCAGTTGTATTGTAACTCCCTTCCTACAGACACCTCCCCATAGAATAAACCCAGAATAAGGATGACATTTTTGGTAAAACTATTCACTATATCAATATTACACATTTTCCCTGATATCTGTAGATCTGGACAAAACTAGGTAAAAATCTAGTTCAAGTATCGTGTAACTTACAGTTATGCACCACCTACCAACGTTTCAATTATTTAACAATGGACCGCATATGACAGTAGTCTATGATTATTTTTACTGTACCTATGTTTACATATCTATGCTTAGATACGTCTTAGATACACAAATACCATTGTGCTACAGTTGCCTACAGTATTCAGTAGTTATATGCTATACAGGTTTGTTGCCTAGGAGCAATAGGCCATGCAAAGCTTGCCTGTAGCCCGTAACAAATTCATAAACTTTCTTAAAACATTATGAGACTTTTTTGATTTTTTTTTTTTTGGCTCATCAGCTATCATTAGTGTATTCTGTGTGGTGTGGCCCAAGACACTTCTTCCAGTGTGGCCCAAGGAAGCCAAAAGATTAGATACCCTGGTCTATACCATATAGGCTAGTTGTGTAGTACGCTCTAGCATCTAGTTGTGTAAGTACACCGTGAAATTCACACAATGAAACAGCACATTTCTCAGAACATATCCCTGTTGTTAAGCAACACATGACTGTACTTAGTCTTTACTTTTAAAATTTCACTAAATGCAATGTCCTTCATCAGTTTATGTCAAACACTGCATAAAGGGAAATGTACTCTTAAATGTACATTAAAATATACTGAACTTCCCTACTTTATTATTATTTGTTTTTTTTTGAGACGGAGTCTTGCTCTGTCGCCCCAGGCTGGAGTGCAGTGGCATAATATTGGCTCACTGCAACCTCCACCTCCCGGGTTCAGGCGATTCTCCTGCCTCAGCCTCTCAAGTAGCTGGGACTACAGGCGTGCGCCACCATGCCTGGCTAATTTTTGCATTTTTAGTAGAGACGGGGTTTCACCATGTTGACCAGGCTGCTCTTGAACTCCTGACCGCAGGTGATCTGCCCGCCTAGGCCTCCCAAAGTACTGGGATTGCAGGTGCGAGCTAACATACCTGGCCGAACTTCCCTACTTTATAAGCTATAAATTAAAATTACTTTAATGACATTACACACACACACACACACATATATATGCATACAATATATACACACACACTAATCTAAGCATAGCACTTAAAACACCATAGTTCACATTCAGTGTTAAATTTCCTTCTCTTGAAACAATTTTAGCCAGAGATTATATTGTACATGTATCTAGGAAGAGAAAATTCTAATTCTGTAGCTGCTAATGCTTCTACCTATCAAAGTCTAAGAATTATACTAACCTTTGTTTATGGGTTTAACTTCATTAACATTTACAGGTGTAACAGTATTTCCTGGAGATTCAAGTCCACAACCATTAGTTGTGTTATCACTTTCACACTTCCCCAAGTCCTCTTCAGGATCACATTCATTTTCTTTAGATTGTCCTTTGACTCCTTGGTTTGTTGTTATTTTTCCCAGACTACAAAATTTAGAAAGAATGCTGGGTTGCTTAGTTGCAGACTTTAACCAATTTATTTTAACTCTTGATTTCTTTTGTGAGGGTCTTGGACTCTCATTTTCAGAAATATACTTGGGAATTATTTTAGGAGGACTCTCTAATGTATCACTTGTAGCTTTTCTTTTTGATCTAGTTTGTCTCTGGTTCTCTTCCAATGACTGGTGTTCCTTGGATAATTTAACTTTTTTCTTCATGTTACCAAATTCAGTGTCACTTTTTCTTTTCCCATTTCCTTTTGGGAGTTTCTCTTTAAAGTCTTCAGAATGCCTCATACTGTCCATCTCTATGCTGTTAATACCATTCATTTCCTCTTTCGGATGAGGTATTTCTTCTACCTTAGTAGGTAATTCTGCCACATTTTTTACTTCTTCTTTTTTTAGGAGTTGGCATGTTTCTTGAATGTTTCCCAAAATACATTGTAATACTTCCTGTGCATCATGCTGTAGATATCCTTCATACATAGGGTTGAGTTCCCTATAAATAAAAATTTCCATTTCATCTATTCTAGTTTTGAAGATACAGTACATAAAGCCTATATAGAAATTAATTCATGTAAGGAAAATCATAAATTATTTCATTTTTTAAATGTCAAGACATTTATTCAGCACTAATTTGGAATTTCTTATCTGTAACTAAAAGTAAGAGTAAATTGTACCCTATTTTCATTATAATACTTTGATCCTCTTCTAAATATATTAATAACTAATACTTAGATAATGCTTACCATACACCAGGTTTTAGTCAAAATGTTTTTTATCTCCTATGTATACATTATCTTCACAATAACCCTATGAGGTACTATTATCACCATTACTGACAGATACAAGCACTAAGGCACAGACAGGTTAAATAACTTGCCCAAGGTCACAGAACTACTTAGGATGAAAAGCCAGTATTCAAACCCGCTCTTGGCCACCACGCTACAATGGCCTTTTTTTTTTTTTTTTTTTTGGAGACAAGGGTCTTGATCTGTTGCCCAGACTGGACTGCAATGGCGCAATCTTGGCTCACTGCAACCGCCGCCTCCCGGGTTCAAGCGATTCTCCTGCCTCAGTCTCCCGAGTAGGTGGGACTACAGGTGCAAACCACCACACCCAGCTAATTTTTGTATTTTTAGTAGGGGCAGGGTTTCACCATGTTGGCCACACTGGTCTTGAACTCCTGACCTCAAATGACCCACCTACCTTCACCTCCCAAAGTGCTGGGATTACAAGTGTGAGCTGTGACCGGCCTACAATACCTCTTAACTAAGGTATAGCAATATATTGCACCTAGTTCTATTTTTAAACTAAATGCTTAAGTGATTGTTTTAAAGACTTGCCCTATAATTGTATTTGAATAAGGCTATTTTATATGTAAAGTTTCATTTTTAAGAAAATACCAAAAAGCAATCTAATCCAGTTAGCCAACAGTTCTCCTCTAATCACATATAAAAATAGAATATTTGGAATTTACAGTTCTTACACATATTTTGAATATAGTCCTATAATTCTTAATGTGAAATCCTTAGGACCACGCATTTAGAAATTCAGACATTTTCAGATTCAATGATTATATGGCATATAAGTAAAATATTTATCACCGACTTGATATGGGAGTACTCTATAACTAAACACATTACTACTTCTATAGAAGCATGTATGAATATTCACGTTAGAGATAAATATGAATGACTATAAAAAGCCTCATATAATATGTTCAGATCTAACGAATTTAGCACCAAATTTATGAAAAAAATTTCCAGTATTCAGAGTCTCTGGGATATAAAGGACTGTGGACCTAGAGTTTCTACTTTCCTTGCCCTTTATTCCTGTTTCTTCGCATGTCATTCTCCTCCAAGGATATAAACAAGTAGCTAAATTGAAACCCTAAAATTATATTATAGGCTATACCTCAGTGTGTTAAGCAGTCGCCTTGGCTGAGTGGCAAGTTCATCAGTATATTTCTCTGGATTTAAGAGAAAACTAGCCTGGAGCTGTTCAACCGAAATGATTAAGGACTGTAAACTGCATATCAATTCATAACTTGCCAAAGAATCTTCTTTGCAATTTCCCTGTCAAGAAAGAAACACACAAACCAATAATTTTATGAACAAATTAAGTACCTTCCCCCTTTGTCTTTGTCTCACTTAAGAATACTAGATTTTCTAAGTTGCATAATAGCACTAATTTTAAGGGATGTACAAATAAGCCTTATTTTTTATTTTTTTATTTTGAGACAGGGTCTCTGTCGCCCAGGCTGGAGTGCAGTGGCTTGATCGCGGCTCACTGGAGCCTCAACCTCCTGGGCTCAAGCAATCCTCCACCTCAGCCTCCCAATTAGCTGGAACTACAGGCTCACACCATGACGCCCTACTAGTTTTTGTATTTTTAGTAAAGACAGGGTCTTGCCATGTTACCCAGGCTGGTCTCAAACTCTTGCGCTCAAGCAATCCACCACCCACCTTGACCTCCCAAACTGCTGGGATTACAGGCATGAGCCACCACGTCTGGTCTTTTTTGTAATTTTAAGAGGAATTATGAATTACTATTTATGTGAATTACAATGGTTTTTTAATTATGGAAGTTAAAGATTTCTTTAAATACACTGTATTTAAATTTTAACTCAATTTGAAAACACAATGGGTAAATAAGTTGTACATGGGTATAACATATTGTGATTATAGTATACAGTAATATATAGTATACAAGTAACAAAAGTTTGATACACAGATTACAGGAGCAAACATTGTAAAAGGGAATTATCTAGTTAGCCACCTTGAAAGAATGAAAAATAATTGCCTGACAATAGCTCGCTAACAGAGAAATAATCTTTGTCATCCACCCCCCCAGTCCTCTTCATTTCCAGGCAAGTAAATTTCCATTAATTTACTTTTGCTTTTTACATTATTTTCTGTTCTTTATTTTTCTTACCTTGTCTTTTTGATTGGCTTCATCCTTTAGAGCTTCTTTCTTCCTTGAAATAATATTAAATAAGTGCTTTACTCCAGATTTAAAACCGGGACAAAAATATAATACCTATAAAAAGTGAGATTGTCTTAAGTGTTTACTGAACAAACAATACACGTAAAATCATTAAAACAACATCATGCTTTCTATAGAGCACTTTTAACATGTATTACCCTAAAATTCTGAGATTAAGTTTTGTGTCAAAATTTGTTCTCCACTTCATCAGTAGTAGCCCAGTGTCTTCCCTCATTAGCACAAAGCACTGCACCTGGGCAGATATTGCTAAGACTTTAAGGTTACAAGGACACACAACACAGCGCCAACGGACACACAACACAATGCCAACGTTACTTCCAAGGGATAAGACATATATCACACTGTAGCACCAGGAATCAGAGAAAGAAATTAAAGGTTTGACCTTCCACTTAAGGTCTACTCAATTTTGCTATCCCACCTTTATTTAGTCTATCATTTTCTCTTACCCCAAAGGAAGTTTAATAACATGTAACTTATTATTTTAGCCTATTCTGGTTTATTAACAATCAAAGGCAAAGACAGTATGGACATTAAAGTCCTCCAATAACTCAAAAACATTAAATGCTACATCAATCTTTGCCTACTAAAGCTTTATGATATAGCAAAATTGTCAATTTACCTGAAGTATACTATTAAGATAGCAAGTATTGCCGAGATTATTCAGTCCCACAAATGGTAACAAGTTTTCTCTCTTCTCACAGTTTATAGGTGAAGACTGTGCTGCAGGAACAACTTGATCACTATGAAATATAGAAGGGAGAACGATAAGTAGTTATCTTAAAGAAACAAGGTGAAAATATTACTTCTGTAGATTTAGTCTTTTCCCAAAAGTTGTATAATCTGAAAAGTATGTGAATCTTGTTCAGATGACATTTTAAGAAATACAGGCTCAAAAATTGCTATATGCCCAGAATAAAAGTTTTAAAAGCATTTAAAAACATTATTACACATAACAAGCCACAGAACAATTCCCTTAAAAGGATGTTAATCCTATTTTACAGAGTAGAAAATTGAGGAACTGAGAGACTATGATTTGTTTCATCTACTTTGACATTTTAATCAAATAGTTTAACTGAACAGAAACCTGGGAATAAACTAACCATGACAATATTTGGGAGAGGCTGCACTAAGTAAGATTCTATTAATAAGAATTCAGAGGAAAGAAAGTCTGTGAAGAGAATTATATATGACTTCCTGCTGGTAAAAAAAAAAAAAATATGTAGCTATCCCTCACTTAAAAATAAAATGTTCAGAATGTGGGTGTGGGGGCATTGACATGTAATTCCAGCTACTTGGGAGGACTGCTCGAGCCCAGGAATTCAAGACCAGCCTGGGCAACACAAGGAGACCCCATCTCAAAACACAAATGCTTTAAGTTTACTATTCTTTTACTTCTTTAACAACAACAACAAAAAAACCACTAGGTCCTTCCAATATTTTCATTTATTTTACGATTGCTAGCTATTATTACTCTAGCACCTCAAAGTATTCAGAAGTATGAATGCTGATAAACAAAAGCTTCACTCTCACAAATCTCCTCAACTGGTTATTGATAGCTATTAGGAAATTAACACATGGGACCAAATCCACCTTAGTCACCCAGCAGAGTGCCTATATGTTAAACAGGGAGTAGTACAGACTCCAGCTAGAGCTGCTGGTGGTGGAATAAAGTATTCCACTTTGTTCTGATTTATTTTCTGTAGCTAAATAATTTATTTGCATCAAAAGCATTACTTAAAGTTTATTTTTATAATTTGCAATCATATGCCTCCAACAGGTATGACTAGTTACATGACTAGAGTTTAAAATGTCTTATAACTGTCAAGTCTTCTGAACCAAACAAATATATATATATATATATATAAAACCTTTTACCCCTACACAGATGTTTTGCACTACAAATAATCAAATTTAAACTCAGAAAGACAATTTTAGTCAACAAATATTTCTCCAAGTTAGTCTAAATGGCTGAGCACAGTGTTAACATGAGTTAAACATTATCGATGTGATTCCTACGGGGAACCACCAGTTTTGCTGTTCCTACTATAAACTGCTAGATTTGACTAAGAAGTACACTGAAGCGTACTTTTTTGTGCCGCTACAGACTATCAAGTCAGACTGGAGTTGTCAACCAAGTTCACTGCTGCTTTACTGTAGAATTTTTAAAGTACAGAAATGTAAGATACATACATTTCAGATGCTCTATATTCAGAAGCTTTTTCTTCATTTTCTTGAGAATCTGTGAAATCCAAAGCTCTCTTAGTTTCCTTTTTCTGAAAAAACTTTAAGGAAAGTCTGTTTTTCTTTGAAGGGCTACCTCTTGAAAGTCCATTACTTTCACTAGGTATGACACCAGGCATTTTTTTCTTCAAATCCCAAGGAGTGTCAAGAGTTAATTTATAGAGGAAAGTTGTAATCACCAATTATATCTGTTAATCACAGAGAAAGTTTCATTAGTTTTTGGTTATCAGTTTTGGCAACAAAATCATCAATTTTGAAAACAAATTTACCAAGGGAATGGTACAAATTAGAAATTAACATTTGAAAACCTAATGCCTGCCAATAAGCACTCAATATTTATTGCTTAAATGAAGAAGCATACCACACTGTTCTTAAAGAACAAAAAACAGAAGCTACTGAATTTTTAAAATCAGCCTGCTATGGATTAAGGGTCGCATTACAAAATATCCTATTTAGTAGACCTACAGTAAAATAGTATAAGTAGTAAAAACTTATTATTTCAAGGGCCGGAAGCGATAGCTCACGCCTGTAATCCCAGCACTTTGGGAGGCCGAAGCGAGTGGATCACGAGGTCAGGAGTTCGAGACCAGCCTGACCAACATGGTGAAACCCCATCTCTACTAAAAATACAAAAATTAGCCGGGCGTGCTGGCGGGCGCCTGTAATCCCAGCTACTCAGGAGGCTGAGACAGGAGAATCCCTTGAATCCGGGAGGCGGAGGCTGCAGTGAGCCGAGATCGTGCCATTGCACTCCAGCCTGGGCCATAGAGCAAGACTTAGTCTCAAAAAAAAAACAACTTAATATTTCATTATAATGATTCATTCAGAAAATATTGACTGAGCACTACCACCTCTAATTCTCAAGTACAAGGTAGGAAAGGATGAATGGAAAATCAAAGTAGTGCTGGACGATGAGTCCTCTCTTCCAATGCCTTTTCTAGTTATTAACATGGATATATGAAAATAAAGTACCTAAAAAGCTTATTAAAGAATAATTTGCATTCAAGGCATAGAGATGGTGTTAAGTTATACCTAAAACCGTAAGTGAAAGATAAAACACAAGCAAAGTTGAGACCGTGATAAAAAAAACTGTTCGATGCACTTTGTGTAAATCCAATTCTTAATGCACTAGAAACCACAATACTCGTTTTCCAAACTTTTTAAAAAACTTTGGATTTTAAAAATAGTGCTTTGAGTAGGAAAAAAAGATGATTTGGTTTGCCATTTGCAACTTTCCCACCCTGTTTTAAAGTAAAACTTGCACGTGAAAAAAAATGGCAACATTTGTAGGAGTGTAGGAGTTAATATTTTCTACATCAGGCCTATTTTTCAGGACATGGGAGGAAAAATTATCTGACTAGAGTATTACCATAAAATTACTTAAAGCCCAAAACTTCAGCAACGAGTTTCAAATTTAAAATGCAGAGTAATAAAATGAACTACACAAGACTCACTCAAATTTCATCCTTAATAAGCATTTCACATGGCTGACACTGATCTAGGAATTCATACTGAACTCAGCACACTGAAACCATTTCTGAGACCCAAATCAGGAAGCACTGGAAAGCTGATCCATCTCTCCATTCTGTCTCCAACTTCACTTACTCTCCTGTCTACCTAATGCTTCTGAGGAAGCGCTGTCTTCTGAATGATAAACCAACCTGCGCTAAGTTCTCAGGGATCGCCAAGCATTAATGATTCTGATAAAAGGTTTTTCTCGAGAGCCAATTTAATGGATGACAGAAACTGGATCTCAAACCGACAGAGTAACCAGACTACACAGAAGGGAAGAATGATTAGGCAGGTGAAATAGCGGATCGTCAGCTTAATCAAAAAACCAAACCTCCTAGCCCCTCAAAGCAAAGCTCACACCGAGAATGTAACATTTTGCCAGGTGCAGTATCTTCCTTGCTATTTCTTGCTCCTGGCTTTCCTTGTAACTGGGGGGCTGTTACATCCAAAATATTTCTCCTGTAACTAAATCAACTTTCGCAGAAAGCACGACGAATCGACCATTATCTGTTGACAGCGTGAACACTCAGTCCCAATAGTTTTAAATTCTTTATAAGATGACACGACTCGATTCCGATTTTTCAACAAAAATCTACAAGGACATCTTCGCCAAGGTTTAAGACACGCGGCGTTCTAAACACTTCTTGAAAAAGTGTAAGTGAAAGAAAATGCGCGGTAAAATTTCGCAATTACCGACACAGGGCAACCTGCGTGGAAACGTTTCTTTCTCCCCATCCTTCACCGCTCTCGGGAACGGAAAGAAAGCTGGAAGGACGAGCAGCGACCAGGCTGCCCGGTCGGGGGAGGCTGGCGGCGGCGTCCTCGGCCCACACCCCCGCGCCGGGCGCCCTCGCCGCGGAGTTGGCCTATTTACGCCCAGCCCGCACCTGCCTTCTCGCGTCCCGGCGGCGGCAAGACAGGCGCCACGCCCGAGGCACACACGGCTCCCCCTGGCAGGTCGACCAGGGTGCGAGGCCAACACGGTCCCGGGGTCTCCCCGGCAGCTCCTCTCCCGCGCCGGCCGAACTTGCCCCCGCGCCCGGGAGCCGGCCCCTCCTCCCAGGCCCTCCTTACCTGGTCATGGCCCAAAGCGAAGTCCGCGGCGGTGACGCCGGCAAGTCCAACCCGAATGAGTGTGGGTGCGACAGGTGAGTCCCTGCCCCGAGCCCGCCGGGTCCCCGGCCCCAGGAAAATCTGGTCGGCTCGCCCTCCCCGCGGGGGAGTGACCATCCGCTCCCAAGAGCGGGAACCCCGACCGCCGCTCGCTCCCGTCTTGCACCAACACCAACTACATCCCGGGAGCGGCGCCCATCTGCGCCCGCCCCGGGAGAGCCAGGAGCGCAACAAGCAGCGGCCCCGCTCGCCGAACGCCTGAACCGCTAGGGTCTTTAGCACTCCGCCACCGAGGGGAACTTGGCGCGTTTTCCTCAGTCTCAGGACCCCCGTGTTTTAGCCTCCGCCCGCGCCAGCGCTGCGATTGAACGTGGCGTCCTTTGAAATTGCCGGTTCCAGTCTCCACGCTGCAGAGACACGAAAGGCAGGAGCCGTCTCGCGACGGCCACTCGCCCCTGGCACGCACGGGCTCCGGAGCCAGCTGGGACTGTAGTTCCCCAAAAGCCTAACGGGTTCCACAGTTTCAAACAACGCAGGCACAGAGCCGGGCAGCTCGTGCGGGTCCTCGCTGAGGGCGCGCGCGAGGTGCTAGCGGCCTGGCTGGCGGGCTCGAGCCTCACACCCTTTTTTTAACCATTCGTGCGCGCGAGTTGAGGGAAAAGCGTACGGGTCGGGAGACGGGACAGAGAGCAGACGGGATGGGCCACCACCTCGAGAAGGAGCCCAAATTCACCAATCCATGATGAACAATCCCCAAAACCGCGCCTCCCACCGCCCGGGGGAAGCCAATCAGAAGTACCTAGACCAAAGCCAATTAGATGGGCGGGAGCAGCAAGCCCATCTAATAGCAAAAAAGAAGAAAGGTGGGCTCCAGCCAATCATTGTTCGACATACGGAGTGTTCCTCAGGCGCGGTGCCCCTCCTTCCGCTCTCATTGGCGCTCGAGTGCGCGCTTTCGCTGCCGACTGTTAAAATCTTGTTTGGCGTTTTGTTAATCCTCGACGGTGGGACGCCGCGGAGGGTGCGGCTTCCGGAGCGAGGCCCTCGCGGTAAGCCCCGCCTCCGTTCGTGCGTACGCGCCCGGGCGGGGTTACCAAGAGAGCAGCTTCGGAAAATGGCTGCCCGGCTGGACGCCGCCGCGCTTGGGCTTTCAGTTCGGAGTCGCGGCCACACTAGGCCTAGGGCCATCCAATGAGACAAGGCGCTGCCACGGATAACAATACATGCTCAGGCGAATGCTGTAGAGCTGAGGCCCGGTCCTCAGCCCCTGCTCGCCTCATTTTCGCCTGTTTACCTCTTCCCTTTCTCGGCCGCAGGAGGAAACGAAAGAACAGTTTCAGGCCCAGCTCCGGCCGCGGGAGCTTCCCAGGGTTCCCGCGCGAGCCCTCCCAAAGGGTTCAGGAGCGGCAGGCAGGCCTCATCTGGTTGTGTGCTTCCTTTTGTGTTTGTGTGCCTGCTTTGGTGAGGTGACCTCAGCTCAAGTGCTGCAGTTAAGCAGGATACGTTCAGCCCAAATCCATTTAATCAAGTATTTTTAAGGTGCCTACTATGTGCCAGGCATTTTTCAAGGCGCGAGGGATGTAAAGGCATTCCCTGTCATAAAGGAGCATTACATTCTGGAGAGGGAGATACAAGTGACGCTAAGATAAGTGATAGATACGATAGCCTGGAAAGACCTCTTTGAGTTGACATTTGAGCAGAGCTGAATGAAAAAGCTTGGAGGAATCTGAGGGAAGAATGGTGCGGGCAGAGAGAACAGCAAGTTACAAACGTCCTGAAGCTTAATGTGGTTGGTGTTTTGAAAAGAAGCAAGGAGGCCAGGGCGCTTAGAGCGCAGTCAATTTGGGAAATAAGATGGGAGGAGATGAGATGAGTGAGAAAGGCAGGACCCTGGGTAAGCCGAGTAAGGAGATGGGAGTCGTTAGATGATTCTGAGCTGGGGAGTGGCGGGATTACACGTTGACCTTCAAGAGTACAAGCAGGGTCGGGCGTGGTGGCTCACGCTTGTAATCCCAGCACGTTGGGAGGCCAAGGCGGGCTGATCTCTTGAGGTCGGGAATTCGAGACCAGCCTGACCAACATGGAGAAACCCCGTCCCTACTAAAAATACAAAATTAGCCGGGCGTGGTGGCGCAGGCCTGTAATCCCAGCTACTCCGGAGGCTGAGGCAGGAGAATCGCTTGAACCCAGGAGGCGGAGGTTGCGGTGAGCCGAGATCGCCTCACTGCACTCCAGCCTGGGCAACCAGAGCAAAACTCTGTCTCAAAAAAAGAAAAGTACCAGCGGAAAGGTCAGCCAAGATGCTGGTTCAATAAGCCAAGGAATAAATTATGGTAGTCTGGAATAAGATGGTGGGATGTTGAAAACTGGTAGGGTTCAAGATATATTTTGAGCACAGCCAACGAGCTCTACTGATGGATTGGCTGTATGATAATGTAAGAAAAAACAGGTCGGGTAGCCAGGGCCGGTGGACCGCTTGAACCCAGGAGTTCAAGATCAGCCTGGGCAACATGGCAAGACCCATCGCTACAAAAAACTCCAAAAATTGGCCGTGCGTGGTGGCACGTGCCTGTAGTCCCAGCCACTCGGGAGGATGAGGGAGGAGGATCCCCTGGCTGCAGTGAGCCGAGATGCACCACTGCACTCCAGCCTGGGCAACAGTGTGAGGCCCTGCCCTCCACCCTCCCACCCGAAAAAAGAAAAAAAAACAAAGAGTAACGATTTTTTTTTTAACCTGAGCAACTCAGTGTTGGTCCTTGCTAAAATGGGGGTCTTAGTAGGCTCAATGGGAAGGATCATCGTTCTTAGAATATTAAGATTGAGGTGTTTAACGTACAAACAGATGTTGAACCAGCAGATCACGAAATACACAAGGACAAGATTAGAAAATGTATATAGGTCAGTCTTAGCCATTGTGCACCACAGAGTGGCAGTGTCTCATTTTCTAGTACTAGCATAATTATTGCTACTTTCAAACTCTACGAGAACAGATAAGCAATTCTACTTTCCCATATTCCTGAGATCCTATTGTCTGCAGCCACTATTCTTCCTGTACACAATGTGTGGTATCAGTTAAGATTCATTTGCGGAAAATAGAATCCATTTTAGCTAGTATAAACACAAAGATATTGAATACTTGGGAGGGTTGATTAAATAGGCTCTAGATTAGTTTTTCAGGAATGAGTCCCAAAGTCTTCCCAGAACCAGGCCACCAAGGAAGCAATGACTCTTCTATGATCAGGAAATGACGTCTCTGAATCACACTGCTGCTGCCATGCCTAGGAAACCACCATCAGAAAGCTGCGTGCACCGCTGACCCTAGAACCACACTATACCCACTATGATCTGCACCAGTGCCATGCATATCCTACGTCCCGTCTGTCAAGGCCCACAGGACAAGTGGCTAGACACTGAGGTTTCTGCTAATGCTGCTTCAGAAAAATCAAACACCTCCACAACTGTGCTTGTCAACAGCAATAGCAGAAGTTTGGTGTGTCTCTGGCAATATGATTAATGTAAAAATTTAATATGCTTCTCATTCTTTTGCTTTCAGTCAGTTGTTTGTGGGAGAAATTCTAGCCACAGTTCTTGCCTAGATGAGTTTTTAAGCCCCGAAACTTTTTTCCCAGTTTCTGTGTGCTCCCCAGTTACCCCACTCTTAATGACAGCTAATCCCTTTGGAAACAATGGGATTTAATAGGTTCACAGCATTCTCAATCCTATATTTGTCAGTCTTGTGTGGGTAAATGCCAGGCATATTTCCTTCCAAAGTTTCACAGGCACTGTTTCTGTGTACAGTCATCCCTTGGTATCCATGGGGGATTGGTTCCAGGACCGTTATGGATATCAAAATCCGAGGATGCTCAAGTCCCATATATAAAATGGCATAGTATTTGCATACAACTTATGCACATCCCACCTATACTTTAAATCATCTCTAGATTACTTAATTACCTAATACAATGCCTACACATCATTCACATGGATTTAACATAGTATTTAACACTTGGCACGTGGCAAATTCAAGTTTTGCTTTTTGGAACTTTGTGTACCTTTTTCATAAGATTTTTTGATCTGTGGTTGGTTGAATCCATGTATATGGAACCCATGAATGTGGAGGGCCAACTGTACTTCAGTCTAAAGGTATAGAAGAAGTGTGGTTTTTTTCCGCCCTTTAAATCTTCAAATTATGAAACTTTTATTTTTATTTTTTTGAGATGGAGTCTTGCTCTGTCCCCCAGGCTGGAGTGCAATGGCATGATCTTGGCTCACTGCAACCTCCACCTCCTGGGTTCAAGCAATTCTCCTGCCTCAGCCTCCCAAGTAGCTGGGATTACTGGTGCCTGCCACGACGCCCAGCTAATTTTTGTATTTTTAATAGAGACGGGGTTTCACAGTGTTGGCCAGGCTAGTCTCGAACTCCTGACCTCGTGATCCGCCTCGGCCTCCCAAAGTGCTGAGATTACAGGCATGAACCACCACGTCCCGCCCAAATTATGAGACTTTTAATCCACTTGGATTACAGCAGAATTTCTCCTTTAGCAAAACTGTATTCTTTTCCATTTCTACATGCAAATTGGTTACTTCTGGCCTGAATTCATATCTCATAGAACTTGGTTTAAAGTGTCAAGAAAAAGCCAGCAAATACCAAGTTTATAGATATTTCCAGCCATTTCCCTTCGTGCCACAATTTTGATTGGCGTGTGATCTGTCTTCTAAAGCTGGCAACAGGTTTACCAAATGTCTGGCAACTGGAGAACAAAGGTCACCAGTTTTCCATCTTGCAGTATCTGAGTCTTTACCACCCACTGCCCAAATGCTTCCACTAAAAACCACATTTCTTTTAAGGTTATGTGTAGCACAAATTTATAGGAACCAAACTCTGCATCCGATAGGAATAGGTTTGTTTATAAGTAACAGAATATTTTTAAGTGTCCTTAGCTAAAATTAATATTCATGTCTTTATCATGTATACATAATGCAGAAGTAGGCAGTCTAGATTAGTATGGTGGTTCTGTGACCATCAGGGACCTAATTAATTTCTTCCATTCTCAACATGTGGCTTCTACCTTTCGGTCCTTTATAGCTGTTTAAATTCCAGCCATCATGTCTACAGTCCTATGCAGGAAAGAAAAAAGGACAGAGATGACCATGGTCCCCTCTCTTTAAGGATACTTCCTGGAAGCTGTACACACCATTCCTACTTATAGCCCATTGGCCAGAACTTAGTCATTTGACAACATTATTCTGGGTGGCTATATACCCAACTAAAAATCAGGGGTTATAATATTAAGGAAGAAGGATAGAATGGATATTAGAGGACAAATAGCATTCTCTGCTATGCCTCCCTTACCAGGTTAAAAAAAAATCCCCAGCTGGTGAAGATATCCCCAAAAGATGAAAAATGGAAAAGTACTGTACAGCTTTTGGTTCCTTGAAAAGAGAATATGCTGGGTATCTGTTTGCCCTTGTGGTAGATATGGAGATGAGCTGCCCAGATCCCCCTTCAAGGAGGGACTTGCTCCCAAGCTGCAAAGACTACCTCCAGTTGTCAGTTCCATCAGACTCTGCTTCAATCGCAGACAATGGCCTTGCCCACAGTCATGCTCTCTGCAGCCTAAACTGGGTGATTAAGCAAGGCTGGACTATAAAGGCTCAGCCATTATGGCCACCACTGGACACCTCTGATGGGCAGTATTCACTCCAGAGCTCTTAGCGAGGCTGGCCAAAGCTTTATTGGACCTGTACTGGAATTTGACTTCATTCTCTTACCAGTCCTACTTCCTCTCCCTTCCTTTCACATCTTATGCTCCAGCTTTGTCTCTCTCTGCACCTGCTCCTCAAGAAGGCTGCCTGCAAGAATTAGTACGAGGATTGGTTGGAGAAAGTAGACAACCAGATGAGGTTTGGGAGCTGAATTATAGACTACCTAGCAGGTGGTAGGTGAAGCATAGTCAGCTCCTGGCACAAGGTAATGGTCCAATCAGGATGATGTACCAGGTGGAAGAGAATGCACTTGCAGGTGTGATATATCTGGCAGTTAACATATATGGTGGAAGTTGTAGCTATAAGAATAATAGAATTGGATGGCTATTGCTAAACTCCATTGGTTACAGAAAAATAAAAAACAGCTAAGGGTAGGTAATAAGCAATTGAAGGTCTGGTGTGAAAGCCAGAGCACCTGTTCGTTGCATAAAAAACAGCTCTCATCTGCAGGGGAAGGGTGGAGAAAGCTGAGCATCAAGACTACTTTAGAGTGGTCAAACTTAAAAGATGGTTAAATGCCTAAAATAGGTCTGTTGTGTCAAAGTCAGGGTCATGGTTGAGAAAATCTAGCACCCTGACACATGGAGGGTCCATCTGGGTAGTGATCATGAAAATTTTGATTCCCCAGGCTCCTCTGAAGCCTGCAGTGTGGCCCCTCCTCCCTACTCAGAGCTATCACTTTCCTGTACTAGAAGACATTGCAGAGGCTTCTACTTGAAAGGCATGTTCTCCCTTCCGCCAGCACTCACACCTGTCATCTAGCCTTCTAGCCAGTAGATCTATAATTAGGGTTAAATCATAGCATAACCTAGTTGGGAAGGTGCTGTACCTGATGGGTAGAGGTAAATGACTGTTCCCCAAAGAAGATGTAAGACCTAGACAAGCACGTACCAACAGGAGCTTCAGAAGAGTACATGGGGCTGGATTCAGATGATGCTTAAGCAAGGGGAGCTAGAACATAAAATTGAATGGGAAAGTTATATTGAATTTGGAGTATTCTCCCAAATACAGGATTTAATATTCTGCCAAGGACCCCCAAGAATTGACGTGAACATTCACTAACTACTACAATGGCTCCTAAAAGCATGGGAAAAGAAAACGAAATGCTAGGAGTGCTAGGGCAGGCAGGTGGCTCAAAAAGGGATTAAAAGGTTGACAGAAATGGGTCTGCTGGAGTGGATATATTACGTACGCCTGGAAGGTTATGATCATTATGTTCTGAGGGAAGGCCCAGAGGACACACCATTTACCAAGGCCATTAGGGAATGCACTGGTGCAAAGGACATAAACATCACTAAAAACCTCAGTGGTGGCTCTCTGCAAGCCAGGACTGATGGTAGCAGAGGCCTCCCAGACTTTGACTCACTGATAGCAATGGAGATGATAGACCCCAAAACAATACTGGCCAACTGGCAGTGCTTAATTACTAGAAGCCAGGAGGTCGCAATTATAATGACCTACCAAGGGGACTTGACCCTCAGAGAGTTATAGAAATGGTTACTAGATGGTGGCGTCTTTAGGGGCAAAATAGATAGACAACCAACTAAGCTCTATTATTTTGTACCAGTGGGGAAAAAAAAGTTAAGGATAGATGACCAGGATGCTAAGGATAGTCACCCAATAGTCAATTCCTTAGTTTCCAGACCAGAGCATTTTTAGACCTGGAACCCATTGACTGAAGAGGCCAGGAGGAAGGACTTTGCTATACCTCAACAAGTATAAATGGTAATGGTTTCCTCAGTCCTTCCCCAAAGGGATCTTTAGTCATTTACTTGGGTAATTGTACCCTGGGGAAATGGACATACCCAAACATGCCAAGGATTGTGAGACAGAGGGTATGAATTTAACTTGTTATCCACAGACCACAAGCATCATCGTGGCCTTCTGTTATAATGGGGGCATAAAGAAGCCAGTTAATAAATGGAGTCATGGCAAGGTCCGGCTCAGAGTGAGTTTACTACTGGATCTGTGACCACAACTAATTATCATTTCCCCACTCTTCAAATGTATAATGGAGTTGTCATTTTTGGCAATTGATGCAAATGCATTAGGACTTTTGCCTATGGGGTAAAAGCTATAATGGTGGGGAAGGCCAAGTGAAAGCCTTTGAAACTGCTTCCCAGCTCCAGAGAAACATGGCACAGTCTCTTAGTCAGCTCAGTCTGCTATAACAAAATACTATATACTGGGAAATTTAGACAACAGACATTTACTTCTCATAGTATTGGAGGCTGGAGAGTCCAAGATCAAAGTCCCAGCAGATTCAGTTTCTGGTGAGAGCTCTTTCTAGCCTGCAGACAACCACCTTTTTGCTGTGTCCTCACATGGCCCTTTCTCAGTGTGAGTGTGTAGAGAGGGAATTCTGAATTCTGAATTCTTCCTCTTACTATAAGGATACTAATCCCATGGTGGGGGCTTTACCCTCATGACCTTCTGTGTTCCCTAAAATTCATGTTGAAACCTAATGCCCGGCATGATGGTATTTGGAGGTGAGGTGTTTGGGAGATGATTAAGGAATGATATCAGTTAAAGAGACCCCAGAGAGTGCCCTCACACTTTCCCCAGGCTGAGATGCAACAAGAAGACACCTATCTTTGAACCAGGAAGACTTCACCACATACAGAATCTGTCAGTGCCTCAATCTTAGACTTCCTAGCCTCTAGAACTATTAGAAATAAATTTCTGTTGTTTATAAGCCACACAGTCTATGGTATTCTGTTATAGCAGCCCAAATGGACTAAGATATAATCTAAACCTAGTTATCTCCCAGAGACCCTACCTCCAAATACTATCATACTGCGGGTTAGGGCTTCAACATATGAATTTTGGGGGGACACATAGGAAACACATACAGGAAATCAAACAATATTATATCTCAAGAGAAGATGGCAGGAATTCGTGTCACTCTTAAGATTTTAAAGGAAACAGAGGTGCTGATTCCCATCATATCTCTGTTTAATTCACCATATGGCCCGGCAAAAATAGATGGACTCTGAAGGATGACAGTAGATTACTGCAAGTACAACCCATTAGTAGGCCTGATCGCAGCTGTCATGACAGATGTGGTGTATTTGCTAGAGTTGATTAATACATCCTCAGATATTTGGTATGCACCACTGATTTTAGTGAATGCATTCTTTTCTATTCCAATCGTAAGAAAGGATCAGAAACAGTGGCATTCCATGAAACAGACAAAAGTGCACATTGGCTGGATGTGGTTGCTCATGCCTGTAATCCCAGCATTTTGGGAGGCCAAGGCAGGAGAATTGCTTGAAGCCAGGAGTTCAAGACCAGTGTGGGCAACAGAGTGAGATCCTATCTTTACGTTAAAAAAAAAATTAATTAGCTGGACGTAGTGGTGAGCATCTCCCAGCTACTCAGGAGGCTGAAGTGGTAGGATCGCTTGAGTCCAGGAATTTGAGGCTACAGTCAGCTACAATTGTACCACTGCACTCCAGCCTGGGTGACAAAGCTAGACCCTATTTCTTTTTATTTATTTATTTTTTTGAGACGGAGTCTCACTCTGTCGCCCAGGCTGGAGTGCAGTGGCGCAATCTCGGCTCACTGCAAGCTCCGCCTCCCGGGTTCACACCATTCTTCTGCCTCAGCCTCCCAAGTAGCTGGGACTACAGGTGCCTGCCACCACACCTGGCTAATTTTTTGTATTTTTAGTAGAGATGAGGTTTCACCATGTTAGCCAGGATGGTCTCGATCTCCTGACCTTGTGATCTGCCCGTCTAGGCTGCCCAAAGTCTATTTCTTTTTTATTAAAAAAAAGTACACATTTACGGTTTGGTTCCAGGGCTATATTAACAGTATTCCTGCCCTCTATCATAAAATAGCCTGAAAAGATCTGGACCTTCTGGACATCCTGCATCACATTGATCTACTACATCAATTACGTCCTCTTGATTGTGCAGGATGAGCAAATTATAAGTTTCAGGAGAATTAAAGAACTGAAAGTGTACATGATTGGTGGAGATGCAAAGGAGTGTACAAAAGAAAGCTAAATCCTCATCTTCTGTATTGGGAAATCGACAAAATGGTAACTAAAAAATCAAGAAGAAGAAATATAAACATAGTTGTTTTGTTTTGTTTTGTTTTGTTTTGTTTTGTTTTGTTTAAGACAGGGTCTCTGTCGCCCATCCTGGAGTGCAGTGGTACAATCACGGCTTACTGCAGCCTCAACCTCCGATGCTCAAATGATCCTCCCACCACAGCCTTCTGCATAGCTGGAACTACAGGCCCACTCCACTATACCCGGCTAATTTTTTGGTGTCGTTTTTGTAAAGACAGTGTTTCACTGTGTTGCCCAGGCTGTTCTCGAACTCCTGAGCTTAAGTGATCCACCCACCCCAGCCACCCAAAGTGCTGGGATTATGGGTGTGAGCCACCATGCCTGGCCTAAACATGTTATTTAGACATGTGAAGGTAAATACCAAAGAATCAGTCAAAAGTTGAAAATGGTTGCCTTGGAGGATAGGAAGATATGTTGAAACCTTTAACTCATGTACATGTATAACTTTGAATTTTCTTTTTTTTTAGAGACAGGGTCTTGCTATGCTGCCCAGTTTGGTCTTGAACTCCTGGCCTCAAGGGATCCTCCTGCCTCAGCCTCCTAAAGTGCTAGGATTATAGGCATGAGCCACCACACTTGGCCTATATATAACTTGGAAGAAGGCAAAAACCTTTTTTTAAAAAAAGCACTGTAAATGAATTGTTTTCTTATTTCATCCTTTGGGAAAGGTCAGAGCAAATGGGCACAATAGGAGGAGGAGAATATTTTGGATTAGAGTGACGATTCTTCTGACATCGTAGTTGTAAGTTAAAGAAAGGCTCAGTGTGTGACCCATTGGCCTTCATCCAGCATTTTTAGTAAAGGTAACCAACCTCGAAACAACTGGTGAAATCACTATTCAGTAATTAAATTTAAACAAAAGATTAATCCACAAACTAAAATCTGTTTAAAAGGTAAAAATTCAGCTTTTCTGGCTGCTTTAGAGGAAAAAGGAGAACATAAAAATAAAAAGCTAAAATCTACTTGGCTTCAGAATTTTCAATTCTTTTTCAGTTTCTAGCCCCAGGGTCAGGTGGGAGGACCTCTCATGCCTATGAAAGGAATGCCTTGCCGCACCTTCCTTAATGTTTGGTAACAATTTAGTGGATGAATGTCCGGTAAGTGGGCGGGTGCTGAGGGGGATGCAGGAAGTCTCATGAGCCTATTTATATTTTACAGGAAGAGTCTGTCTTTCTCATGCCATTAACATTCTCTTATTCTTTATATGTTTAAACCATCCTGAAAAGAGACCTACACTTAAACTTCAACAATATTTTTTCCTTCTCTGAATAAAATTTGCTATAATAAAATACTAGGTATTTGAAGAGAAAATAAATTATTATTTTCTTTTGAGTATCATGGCTTAAAGACCCATGGCTTTTTACAATCTTAACTTGCTTTAAGAATAATTTTTATTTCCTTTTTGAAGCAAAAAATAAATGGTCACAATTTAATATGTGGGAACTCCTTTTCACTAGCTTCTGGGTCCTCTTACGTTTTGAAAGCATCCTTACCTTCTGGCAAATTCCAGGTCCATCTTTAAAAATATTTTCTAACTAACTTGAGTATGTCATATAACATACTTTTTTTACCATATTATATGTTTAAATCACAATATTATTAAAGGTTTATAAACCTTAGTTTTAAAAAATAAATCTTATTTAAGCATGTCATAATATACTATTCATTTTATATTACTTTGCCATTTTATGTTGGACTTTGTTTCTTTTATTATTATTATTTTTTGAGACAGTCTTGCTCTGTCACCCATGCTGGAGTGCAGTGGTATGATCATAGCTGCAGGTTTGAACTACTGGGCTCAGGTGATCCTCCCTGCCCCAGCCTCCTGAGTAGCTGGTACTACAGGCACACCCCACCGTACCCAGCTAAATTTTTTTTTTTTAAGGACAGAGTCTTGCTGTGTTGCCCAGACTGGTCTCTATCTTGCTTCTAGCCTCACGGGCTCTAGGCTAGCTGTCTTTGCTCACTCCTCAGGGTAGGCCAAGCTAACCATGGGGGGAATTTTTTAAAGCAAGAATGATAATAGTCCTTCCCTAAACCTGAGTTTGGGAACTGAAACTGCCTTTGTCAAACTAATAAAAGGCCAAAAGATTAGGATTATGAGAGGGGCCTGAATTCTGCTAGAATGTAGGCATAGTTTTAAGGTAGAAGGCAGGACTCAGAGGCGGGACTCAGACATGGGACCAGATTGAGGTCTAGCTAAAACAAGGCCAGGGCAAAAACAGCTTTCAATCAGATATGTCCACCAGTGTGCCATGTCAATTTACCGTTGCCATGGCAACACCCGGGTGTTACTGCTCCTTTCCATGGCAATGACCCAATGATCCAAAAGTGACTACCCCTTCCCTAGAAATTTCTGCATAAATCGCCCCTTAATCTACATGCAGTTAAAAATGGGTATAAATATGACTGCAAAACTGCCCTGAGCTGTTACTCTCTGCCTAGAGGTAACCCTGCTCTGCATGTAACACCGCCTCTTCAGTAAAGCTGTTTTCTTCTAAAGTCCTTAAAATAAAATTTTAAAAAATGTAAAAAAGCTGTTTTCTCCTACCTCTGGCTTGCCCTTGAATTCTTTCCTGGACAAAGCCAAGAACTCTCGTGGGCTAAACTCCACTTTGGGGCTCACCTGCCTTGCATCAGTTTCCCCAATCTCTTTCTGTCAAGCCTAGAGGTCACAAGATTTTACTTCCCCAGTTGCTCCTATAGATAACATCACTATTATAGAACCCAAGATTGTTCTTCTTAGATGTTTGTCAGACTTTTGGCAAATGATTGACCCCACCCATACTGTGACTCATGACTCAGCCAGTCCTGCGCCCCCACAAGAGGGGTACACAGTGCACGAGGATTGTTTTCCACACCCCTATGATTGCATCCCCAACCAATCAACAGCATCCATTCCCTTGTTCCCTGCCCACCAAACTATCCTTGAAAAACCTAACCTCTGAGCCTTCAGGGGGACTGTTTTGAGTGATAACTCCAGTCCTGCTTGGCTGCCTTGCAATCATTAAACTCTGTACTGTAATACTGTGGTCTCAGTGAATTGGTTTTATCTGTGCAGTGGGCAGGAAGAACACGTGTGGCGATTACAGCATCTGGCCCTCATTTTGGACTTTGAAAACAGCCCGTGTATTTTTCAATTAAAGAAATATACAATATACAGTGTACAGTATACAGAAGTATATAAGCTCTAATATGTGGATTGTGTGATGGTTATGATGTATTTTTCCTTCTTTCAGCCTAAATACCTTGGAATTAGGTTTTGTATAGGTCTTGGTATGGAATCACCCCAAAACTTGGTGACTTAAAGTAACAATTATTCCTCACGTTTCTCCGCTTTGGCCGCATAGTTCTGCTGATCTTGCTTGGGCTCCCTCATTGGCTACATTCAGCTAGTGGGCCAGCTGGGCCTCTCTCTCCCTGTGATTACTCCGCCTCAGGAGGGCCGGATCTGGCTTTTCCACGTGGTGATGGCAGCAGCATTCCAAGGGGGAAAGTCCATGTACAAGCACATGCGAAGCCTCTGCCTATATTTCAGTATTATTGCGTCATTGTCCAAAGCAAATCTCATAGCCAGGCCTAAAGTCCATGTGGGAGGGGATTTCACAAGGGCATATATATGGTGTCCTTAATGTTATAGTTCACCCCAGTCTTCCTACATTGTCTTTTTTATTTTTTTTGTGAGA
This sequence comes from Homo sapiens, assembly GCF_000001405.40. NCBI lineage: Eukaryota > Metazoa > Chordata > Mammalia > Primates > Hominidae > Homo > Homo sapiens. The sequence goes on along the minus strand of NC_000001.11, from coordinate 62,423,831 downwards.
CAGGATTTTGCTCTGTAGCCCACCCTGGAGTGCGGTGGCGCAATTTCGGCTCACTGCAACCTCTACCTCCCAGGCTCAAGCAATCCTTCTGCCTCAGCCTCCCGTGTAGCTGAGACAACCGGCCTATGCCACCACGCCCAACTAATTTTTCTATTTTTTGCAGAAATGGGGTTTCACCATGTTACTTAAGCTGGTCTTGAACTCCTGAGCTCAGTGACCTACTATTTATATAGAATTTTATGAAATTTGGTCTAAATATTCTCTTAACTATAGTTTTTGCATACAAATATGTACCTCCTAGTGTTGTTTTTATCTTTTACCAAAGCAATTCAGTGTTGCACTCTAATTTATTTCCTTTAAGTCTTTGAATAAATTTATGTATTTACTTCACCTACAGCCCCAAAGCCAAATTAAGAAACTTTTAAAGCAATTTACTATTAAAATATGATAAAATTTATATTAAAATTAAGAATTATCATAGAAAAAAAATCACAGTTTAAAAACTACCCAGTAAAATTAAGCAAAATGCTATATATTTTTTTTGAGACAGAGTCTCGCTCTTGTTCCCCAGGCTGGAGTGCAATGGTGCAATCTCGGCTCACTGCAACCTCCACATCCCAGCTTCAAGCGATTCTCCTGCCTGAGCCTCCTGAGCAGCTGGGACTACAGGCGCCCACCACCATGCCCAGCTAATTTTTGTGTCTTTAGTAGAGACGGGCTTCCACCGTGTTGGCCAGGCTGGTCTCGAACTCCTGACCTCAGGTGATCCGCCTGCCTCGGCCTCCCAAAATACTGGGATTACAGGCGTGAGCCACCGCACCCAGCTGCCTTGTATGTTTATATTTTAACATTTCATCTGTGATTCAGAACCAATTTATAAGAGAGTGGTATGTGAATTGCATTTCAAATGTAATCCCATGTGTACATGTAATTCCTTACATTTAAACATTATTCAATTAGCCACTAAATATTTTAGCTACTTTAGGAAAAATATCTGAATCTTTTCAAGGAATACAATAAACCATGTTTGTATTCCCAATTTTATGTTTTGTAGGTCTACATCTTCCCTGATGATGTGAACCATAAAATCACATTTAAAATATTAACGTTCACTTTTATTTTTTTATTTTTTTGAGACAGAGTCTCGCTCTGTCGCCCAGGCTGGAGTGCAGTGACACGATCTTGGCTCACTGCAACCTCCGCCTCCCAGGTTCAAGCAATTCTCCTGCCTCAGCCTCCCGAGTAGCTGGGACTACAGGCTTGTGCCACCACACCCAGCTAATTTTTATATTTTTATTAGAGACAGGGTTTCTCCATATTGGCCAGACCAGTCTCGAACTCCTGACCTCGTGATCCACCCTCCTCGGCTTCCCAAAGTGCTGGGATTACAGGCATGAGCCACTGCACCCAGCCTAAAGTTCATTTTTAAAACTTAATTTTACCAGCCGGGCAGGGAGGCTCACACCTGTAATCCCAGCACTTTGGGAGGCCGAGGTGGGCGGATCACAAGGTCAGGAGTTTGAGACCGGCCTGGCCAATATGGTGAAACCCCATCTCTACTAAAAATACAAAAATTAGCCAGGCATGGTGGTGCGCGCCTGTAGTCCCAGCTACTCTGGAGGCTGAGGCAGGAGGATCGCCTGAACCTGGGAGGCAGAGGTTGCAGTGAGCCGAGATTATGCCACTGCACTCCAGCCTGGGCGACAGAAAGAGGCTCCATCTCAAAAAAAGAAGAAGAAAGAAAAGCTTAATTTTACCAATATATTTTCTTTTTAACTTATTAGCATTAATGCTAACAATCTCCACAATAAGAAATGTTAATTTTCCTACATTTGTTATAGCATATATTTTATTTTATTTTACTTTATTATTATTATTTTTTTTAGAGACAGGGTCTCATTCTGTCATCCAGGCTGGAGTGCAGTGGTACCATTATAGCTCACTAACTTCAAACTCCTAAGTTGAAGCACTCCTTCCACCTCAGCCCCCTAAGTAGCTAGGACTACAAGTGTCCACCACAACACCAGGCTAATTTATTTATTTTTTTGTAGAAATGGGGTCTTGCTATGTTGCCCAGGCTCATATCAAGCTCCCAGCCCCAAATGATCCTCCACCTTCGTCTCCCAAAGCAGTGGGATTACAGGTGTGAGCCCCTGCACTCAGCCATATATTTTATTACCTTTGAATTTAAACACAATATACAAATTCTAAGACTTGGAATTATAAAATTTGCATCAAAGACAAAAACAGAACCTATATATGATTTTTCTCTTTCTATCATAAAAGGAAAAGGAGTGGCATCGCTCCCTATGCTCAATTCAGAAACTGGTCTTTGGGTATCAAGATTCAAATTCACACCTTTTTTTCCCCACTGAAGAGTTAGGCATGGAGAAACTGTGTATGTGTTATCATATATGTAGGTATGTGTGTGGACAGGACCATGTAAAAGCATCTTATTATTACACTGTAATATAATTTTTCTGTCTGTATGCTTTCACTTTTTTTTGGAGCAGGTAAGTTAATTTTTTTCTTCTGTAAGAGTATGCTGAGTATGCTGGATAAATAATTAGTTAAAACAATTTAACTCATAATAATATCTTCGCTTTATTGATTTATCACAATACCAATAAAAGTTATATATTTAGGTCTGCATGTAAAACATGATTATCAGTATTTATTCTTTCAAACAGATGTTTTACAATAATTTGGTTTCATACCTTTTATCAATGGAAGATTTATGTCTTCATAAGGATTTTATTTGGCTGCTTGGAAGGAACCTTCTCACCAATCACTTTTTGAGATCTTGAGACATCCAAATACCTCTCAAAAACTCAATTAGTTTGTGAAACATTTGCACAAATTACATGGCTTTTAGGTCATGCTCTTTCAATTCTTTGTCTTTAAAAACGAAAAACATATTAACTCATGTTAAAAGTTACTCATATGGGCTGGGCGCAGTGGCACACACCTGTAATCCCAGCATTTTGGGAGGCCCAGGTGGGTGGATTGCTTGAGCCCAGGAGTTCGAGACCAACCTGGGCAACATAGCGGGACCCTGTCTCTGCAAAAAACTAAAATTAGCTGGGCATGGTGGCACACGCCTGTAGTCCCAGCTATTCGAGAGGCTGAGGTAGGAGGATGGCTTGAGCCCAGGAGTTGGAGGTTGCAGTGAGCCAAGATCATGCCACTGCACTTTAGCCTGGGCCACAGAGCAAGACTGTCTCAAAAAAAAAAAGTTACTCATATGTATAATTTTTAAAATGTTTTGCTTTCATCTGGAATTATAAATTCTACAACAATTTCTGCTACCTCTTGATCACTCTCTTGTCTTTTTGTCGGTTGGGATATAAAAAGCAGGCTGGGCTGACTACCTTGTTTTGCTGAACTTTGACCTGGCCTTTTAGATTCCTGAAAGCTCCTCAGCTGAGATTTCTATAAGCACTGCTTGTTTCCTCATCCATTAACAGTCTAATCCACTCAGCTGTCTTGGGTCTGAGTTGTAAATGCATCCTTAAGACAGCAACAACTTGTCCCAAATTACCTGTGATACACCATTTTTCAACATTTATAAATCAACAACATTTATATAAACATTAAATATGTTGATGGACATATCCTTGAACTACCCTCTATGTCTTAGTTCTCACAAAAACAAACATGTTCAGACTACTCAGCCTTAGTTTACCCAGGGTATTTTCTCAGTTCACACAGGGTAGCAGCACACTCAAACTGAGTCTATTCTTAGCTCAAGACACTTTAAGCGTAAAGACCAAACCATCCAGATCCTCTTCCCTAAAGATGCCTTGAAGCAGTGTAGCTGGGGCTGCCTGGCAAGTGTACCTCTGGGAGAATTCAAGGACATTGCCTTGTTGAGTCCACAGTCTTGAACCTATTGCCTCAAGTATTCACATAATCAGAAGTGGCTATACTGTATCTCAATTCATACAGGGACACCCACTCATCGATGCTGTATTTTTCTTTAAGTCTAAACACCATGTTTGACCAAGCGTGGTGGCTCACTCCTGTAATCCCAGCACTTTGGGAGGCCGAGGCAGGCAGATCACCTGAGCTCAGGAGTTCAAGAGTTCAAGAGCAGCCTGGGCAACACAGCGAGACCCCATCTCTACAAAATAAATAAATAAACAAACACCATTTTTATGTTTTTCTTACCTAAGAATAAGTCTAGCACGTCTGTCAACAAAATGAATACTCCTAGACCAAAGCTAGGCTCTCAGGCTGTTCTCCATGGAAGGACTCCAACAGTGATTTCAAAGGGCTTATGGATTTTCTCTGCAGAGGTGGACATCCCATCCAACTATTCATCTATTAAACATAGTAACTCCGAGTCAGGGGACCACCAGTTGTTGAAAGAAACCAGACTTCAAACTGTCTGTGAAGATTTGCTGGATAGTATTTTAATTTGGCTAAAATTTTAACAATTGCTGGAGAAAGACCAGAAAGTATTAGAAAGAGATCATCTGCATAATCAAAATTTTCTCATTCCCAGAGGCGAGACAGACATATTTTTATAACAAAAAAAGTTACATGAAAGATACAGTTTTGACTTTGTTCCACTTCAGTCTTTTTTTTTTTAAGTTCAAGCAGAAGGGTCATTTGAACCCAGGTGGTTGAGGCTGCAGTGAGCCAACATTGTACAGCTGCACTCCAGCCTGGGTGACAGTGAGACCTTGTCTCAAAAAACAAAACAAAAAACAAACAAAAAACCCCATAAATAAAAAGACTAATAAATTTGACCATATTGCAAGTAGGAACTTCAAAACAAAGCGAAACATAAAAAGTGAAAAGGCAAGTCTCACAGATGAATTTAAAAAAAATAAATTGACAAGTTGACTCTAAATTTACTTGGAAATGCAAAGCAACTCTAGAATAGTTAATTCTGAAAAGGAAGTACAATATCAGAGGACTTTCTCTACTTGATTTCAAAACTCACTATAGAGCTACAGCAATCAAGATTGTGTGGTATTGGTATAAGAATAGACATATAGATTTCTAAAACAAAATAGAGTCCAGAAACAGACCTACATTATTATGGTTAACTGATTTTTAACAAGTGTACCATGGTAATTCAAAGGAGAAAAAAATAGTCTTTTCAACAAATGGTGCTGGAATATTGCATATTCAAATTTGGGTAACCTCAACTTCTATTTCACATCACAGGCAAAAATTAAAATATAAACTAGAACTAAATGTAGGAGCTAAAACTATAAAACTTCTTGAAGAAAACGTAGGATAAAATCTTTGTGAACTCATTAGGCAAACATTTCTTAGATACACCAAAAGCATGAACCATGAAGGAAAAAAAAGACAAACTGGAATTCATTGAAAATTTTTACTTTTCAAGACATTAATAAAAAAGGAAAGCTACAGAATGAGAGAAAATATTTGCAAATATATCTGATGAAGACTTGTATCCAGAATGTAAAAAGAACTCTTAGAACTTAAGAAAGAAAAAAAAAAACTCCGATTTTCAAAAAAATGGGCAAAAGACTTTTTGATGGTTGATATTATGTGTCAACTTGAGTGGGTCACAGGGTGCCCGGACATTTGGTCAAATATTATCCTGGGTGTTTCTGTGAGGATGTTCCTGGGTGAGAGGAATGTTTGAAAGGGTAACCTGAATAAAGTGGATTCCCTTCCCTACCGTGGGTAGGAGGCCTCATTCCATCAGCTGAAGATCTGAATAGAACAAAAAGGCTAAAAGGGTACTCCACCTGCCTGACGCTTGAGCTGAGACATCGGTCTTCCCTGCTCTCAGGCGGGAACTACACCACCGCTCTCCAGCTTGCCAAATGCAGATCTTGGGACTGCTCGGCCTCCATAATCATGTGAGCAGATTCCTTATAATAAATCCCTTCATGTATATGTACATCTGCATATATACATCCATATAGATATAGCTTATTGGTTCTGTTTCTCTGGAGAACAACTGGCTAATACAGATTTGAGCAGAAATGTCATTAAAGAAATATACAAATGGAACATTAGCACATGAAAAGATGCTCAGCATCATGAGTCACTAAGGAAATATGAATTAAAGACACAGTAAGTTACTGTTTTCTAGTGTGTCTTCTAGTTTACTGTGTCTTCTAGTTTAAGAAAAAATAAAATTTAAAAATTAGACAATATCAGGTGTTGGTGAGGATGCAAAGAACCAGGAATTCTTGTACATTGTGTGAGTGTAAACTGGTACAAACATTTTGGAAAAACATTTGGCATGCAGCCATAAAAAGGAATGAGATCATGTCCTTTGCAGGGACATCGATGGAGCTGGAAGCCTCATCCTCAGCAAACTAACACAGGAACAGAAAACCAAACATTGCATGTTCTCACTTATAAGTGGGAGCTGAACAATAAGAATAGATGGACACAGGGAGGGGAACAGTACACACTGGGGCCTGTTGGGGGTACGAGGGGAGGGAGAGCATCAGGACAAATAACTAATGCATGTGGGGCTTAATACCTAGGTGATGGGTTGATAGGTGCAGCAAACCACCATGGCACATGTTTACCTATGCAACAAACCTGCACGTTCTGCACATGTATCCTGGAACTTAAAATTTTTTTAAAATTGGTGATAGGTAATATATACCCTCGTATATCAGAAGATATACATGTTAGAATGTTTTTGGTAGCATTGTTGTGATGTTTTTTTGTTTGTTTGTTTTTTGAGTCCGTCGCCCAGGCTGAGTGCAGTGGCACGATCTCGGCTCACTGCAAGCTCCCCCTCCCGGGTTCACGCCATTCTCCTGCCTCAGCCTCCCGAGCAGCTGGGACTACAGGCGCCCGCCACCACGCCCAGCTAACTTTTTGTATTTTTAGTAGGGACGGGGTTTTGTAATGTTAAAAAAACAAAAAACAAAAAACACTGGAGGCTGGGCACAGTGGCTCACGCCTGTAATCCCAGCACTTTGGGAGGCTGAGGTGGGTGGATCACGAGGTCAGGAGATCCAGACCATCCTGGCTAACACGGTGAAACCCCATCTCTACTAAAAATACAAAAAATGAGCCGGGCGTGGTGGCGGGCGCCTGTAGTCCCAGCTGCTCGGGAGGCTGAGGCAGGAGAATGACGTGAACCCAGGAGGCGGAGCTTGCAGTGAGCCGAGATAGCGCTCCTGCACTCCAGCCTGGGTGATAGTGCGAGACTCCGTCTCAAAAAACAAACAAACAAACAAACAAACAAACACTGGAAGGAATTCAAATGCTTTGATGGGGGAATAAATTGTGGTACATTCACACAACAGAAATACCACAAAACAGTGAAAATTAAATCAGCTATAGCTACATGTAATAACATAGTTGAATTTCACAAATGTAAAGCAAGTTACAGAATGATACCACTTATATAACTTGAGAACCAAACATATGGGGATAGCTTATCCCAAAGCACATACATATTTGATAGATTTATAAAGATAAGAGGAGAATGAAAAAAAAAAGCCATAGAAAACAGTGGAGGAGGCTTTTCCTAGAGGAGGAAAACAGGAGGCTGGGAGAGGGAAGGGGCCCAATACCGGGCTCCAGCGCGACTGATGCGCAGTTTTTAAGTTGTTTGATGGCCCCGTGAGTGCTTAATTTATTATTATTCTTCATAATTTACATTTATGTTTTGTATATTCTTTCCTATCTCTCAAATAGTTCCTAATAAATGGAAAATATTTGCAAAGTTGTCTAAATGGGTGAGGAAGAACTCTAGAAGTTACTATAGTGGGTATAAATCTATTATGGGTAAATATTTTTTAATTTCTGAAACTTCTTTCCCTCTGCCATGTATTTTCTTCCCTGCTGTGGAATCCTGATTTTTCAAGCCAACTCTAGCTAAATTTGTTACTTAAACTTTTGCTAGGTCTGTTTAAAAGGTTTGTACAAGAAACATGAGGGCTTGTGCTGCTTGCATCAGATGACCTCGTTTACTTAAAAGATTGAAGTGGGGCCGGGCGTGGCGGTTCACCCCTGTAATCGCAGCACATTGAAAGGTTCAGGCAGGTGGATCACCTGAGGTCAGGAGTTCAAGACCAGCCTGGCAAACATGATAAAACCCCGTCTCTACAAAAAATACAAAAATTAGCTGGGCGTGGTGGCACACACCTGTGATCCCAGCTATTTGGGAGTCTGAGGCGGGAAGATTGCTTGAGCCCAGGAAGTTGAGGCTGCAGTGAGCTGTGATGGCACCACTGCACTCCAGCATGGGCAACAGAGTGAGGCCCTGTCTCAAAAAATATTAATAATAAAATAAAAACAAAAGAAAAAAATTACAAAGAAAATGAAAAACTCAATGCCAGGGTAAGCAGCAGACTAAATGCAGCTAAACAGAGAGTTGGTGAAATAGAAGGTAGATTAAGAAGTTATGCAGAATGTAGATCAAATGTATGAAAAATATAAAGAAAAATTAAGAGGCATGGAGTGTAGAGTTAGAGAAGTTTATTAGATTTGTTTCTTTCTTTCTTTCCTTTCTTTCTTTCTTTTCTTTTTTTTCTTTTTTTTTTTGAGACAGAGTTTCACTGTTGTTACCCAGGCTGGAGTGCAATGGTGCATTCTCAACTCACTGCAACCTCTGCCCCCCAGGTTCAAGTGATTCTCCTGCCTCAGCCTCCCGAGTAGCTGGGATTACAGGCGCCCGCTACCACGCCCTGCTAATTTTTGTATTTTTGGTAGAGACGGGGTTTCACCATGTTGTTCAGGCTGGTCTTGAACTTCTGACCTCAGGCGATCCACCCACCTCAGCTTCCCAAAGTGCTGAGATTACAGGCATCAGCCATCATGCTTGGCCCATTAGGTACATTTCTTTTTTTTTTTTTTTTTTGAGACGGAGTCTTGCTCTGTCACCCAGGCTGGGGTGCAGTGGCGTGATCTCGGCTCACTGCAAGCTCCACCTCCCGGGTTCACACCATTCTCCTGCCTCAGCCTCCCAAGTAGCTGGGACTACAGGCACCCGCCACCACACCCGGCTAAGTTTTTTGTATTTTCGGTAGAGATGGGGTTTCACCGTGTTAGCCAGGATGGTCTCGATCTCCTGACCTTGTGATCCTCCTGCCTAGGTCTCCCAAAATGCTGGGATTACAGGCGTGAGCCACAGCACCCGGCCCCTGTTAGGTACATTTCTATCTTTTATGTTGCTGTAGGTAACCGTATTGCCAAATATTTTGCCATTGTACTGTTCTTCAGGCATTTACCTGCTGTATAAAAACCGCACCAAAACATAATGGCTTAAAATTTACCATTTTATTTTATTTTGAGACAAAGTCTCGCTCTGTTGCCCAGGCTGGAGTGCAGTGGTGCGATCTTGGCTCACTGCAACCTCTGCCTCCTGGGTTCAAGCAATTCTCCTGCCTCAGCCTCCTGAGTAGCTGGGATTATAGGCTTGCACCACCACACCCAGCTTTTTTTTTTTTTTTTGTATTTTTTGTAGAGATGGGGTTTCACTATGTTGGCCAGGCTGGTCTCGAACTCCTAACCTCAGGTGATCCCCCCTCCTCAGCCTCCCAAAGTGCTGGGATTACAGTTGTGAGCCACCGTGCCTGGCCCAAAATTAACCGTTTTATTTGCTCACAATTCTGTAGGTGAAAAATGTGGACAGAGCTCGGCTGGGTGGTTCTTTTGCTTTGCATGGCATTTACTGGGATATCCCATGAAGTTGTAGTCGGATAGCAGGTAGGGCTGAAGCACCCAAGATGACTTCATACATGTGTCTGATGCCTTGGCAGCGGTGACTAGAAGATTGGAACCTTCTAGCCACCCCTGGAATTGTCTTTCTCCAAATGTTTTTCTTCACATAGCTTGTTTGGGCTCCCTTTAACAGTGGCTCAATCCCAAGAGAGAGTGTCCCAAGCAGCAAAAGAAGAAACGGCAGATCTCTTAAAGCCCAGGTTGGAAATGGTAAACTATCACTTCTACCATAATCTATCAGGAAATATAGGTCACAAAGCCAGACCAAATTCAAGAGAAGGAGAAATCGAACCCACATAAGCTAGTCAGGGTTTCTAATGGAACTTTACAAGCTGATTTTTATTTTATTTATTTTTTTTGCTGATTTTTAAATCTACATGGAAGTATAAAGGCTAAAATTAGGTAAGACATTATTGAAGTAAAACAGAGTATAATTATTTTCCCTGCCAGATAACAAGATTTATTACAAAGCTATAGTAATTATACAAGTAATAGAACAGAAAATCCAGAAACAGACTCATATTTGCAAAGTAGATATATGACAGAGGGGTACTGCAGATCCCTGGGGTAAGGATAAGCTTTTTAATACATGGCCAGGGATAATTTTTTATCCATATAGAAAAATAAGGTCAGGCATGATAGCCCATGCCTATAATCCTAAGACTTTGGGAAGCCAAGGCGGGAGAATTGCTTGAAGCCAGGAGTTCAAGACCAGCCTGAGCAACATAGTGAGACCCTGTCTCTACAAAATTTAAATTCGGCCAGCCGCAGTGGCTTACGCCTGTAATCCCAGCACTTTGAGAGTCCAAGGGCGGTGGATCCCTTGAGCCCAGGAGTTCGAGACCAGCCTTGGCAACGTGGTGAAATCTCATCTCTACCAAAAATACAAAAATTAGCCAGTTTTATAACCTGGTCTCAAAATAAATAAGTAGATTTTTTTTCAAATTTCCTTTTTAAAAAAGGGGAGGCCAGGCACAGTGGCTCACATCTGTAATCCCAGCACTTTGGGAGGCCCAGGCTGGTGGATCACCTGAGGTTAGGAGTTCGAGACCAGCCTGAACAATATGGTGAAAACCCGTCTCTACTAAAAATACAAAAATTAGCTGGGCATGGTGGCATGCACCTGTAGTTCCAGCTACTTGGAAGGCTGAGGCAGGAGAATCACTGGAACCCACGAGGCGAAGGTTGCAGTGAGCCAATATAGTGCCACTGTGCTCCAGCCCAGGAGACAGTGAGACTAAAAAAAAAAAGAAAATTTTGTTTAGACCTCAGTTTATAAGCAAAAATCTATAAAAGCCAAATGTAAAAACTTTTAAACTTTTTTTTAATTTTAACTTTTTAGAGACAGGGTCTCACTCTCACTCACACAGGCTGGAGTGCAATGGTGTGATCACAGTAAAATGGGAGAGTTCCCTGATTCTCCTTGCAGGTTGTGTGACAGGGATATGGCTCACCTGTTCGGTTTATTCAAAGCTCAAACCCCTAGAGACAGCATGCAGACAAGTAGTTGCAGAGGCTGGGGCAAGTGCTTTGGGCCCTCGGGCCCGCGGTAACGTCTAGGGGTGGGTGCCTGCAACCCCAGTGTTACAAAGCTCTTTCAGCTTTGCCATCTGCAGTCAGCTTGTGTGTTAATTAGCTCAGTGGACCCTCTGCCTTATCACAAGGGCAGAAGGCCAGTGTAACAGCTTTCTATATGCCAAGCTCTTGCCCAGTGTCCCGGAAGAATCAGATCACACACAGGGTTGAAGGATGAATGTAAGGTTTTACTGAGTGGTGGACGTGGCTCTCAGCAAGAGGGATAGGGAGCTGGAAGGTGGAGGGGTGGGGAAGATAATCCTCCCCTAGAGTTTGGCCGATCTTGGCCGATGTTCAGACACCTCTTCCCTCCGTCTCTGCCGTGCCACTCTGCTGCTCTCCTCCCCTCTCTGCCGCTCTGTCCCTCTGCTCCTCTCAACATTTGGCCCGTTTGTGTGTGTGCTCACTAAGGTCTCAGGTTTATATGGGCACAGGATGGGGGCATGGTGGGCCAGAGTGGTCTTAAAAAATCGAACATTCTGGCATGAAAACAGGAATGCCTGTTCTCACTTAGGTCTGTGGGCGCAGGCCTGAGGTTGGAGCCCTCTCCAGGGCTTCTCTACCCAGCACTTCCCTGTCGCACTCCTGTATCAATAGATCACTGCTGCCTTGAACTCCTGGGCTCACGCAGTCCTCCTGCTTCATCTCCTGAGTGGCTCTAAGTACAGGTGCATGCCACCACACCTAGCTAATTAAAAAAATTTTCTTTGTAGAGATAGGGGGTCTCACCATGTTACCCAGGCTGGTCTTGAACTCCTGGCTTCAAGTGATCCTCCTGCCTCAGCCTCCCAAAGTGCTGGGATTATGAGTGTGAGCCACCATACTTTTAAACTTTTTGAAGATAATATTGAAAAAAAGATGTTTAACCTCAGGATAGGAAAATATTTCTTAAACAAGATGCAAAAGAAAGAAAGAAAAGAAAGAAGAAAGAAAAAAGGAGAGGGAGAGAGAAAGAAAAGAGGAAGGAAGGGAGGGAGGGAGGGAGGGAAGGAGCAAGCGGTGGCCCACACCTGTAATCCCAGCACTTTGGCAGAAGGAAATAGCTGGGACTACAGGTAAGTGCCACCATGCCTGGCTATTTTTTTGTACTTTTAGTAGGGACGGGGTGTCACCATGTTGCCCAGGCTGGTCTCAAACTCCTGGGCTCAACCAACCCACCCACCTCGGCCTCCCAAAGTGCTAGGATTACATGCATGAGCCACCAGACCTGGCCAAATATTCTTATTTAAAAATTTTTTATCCCATAACTCCAGTAGCCAAAATCTTTATCTACTCTAGTTTTATTGCTTTTTTAAAAATTGGAAGCTCAAAAATATTTTGAGGCATGGGTTGAGATGTCCTTGTGGTAGGCAGAATGATGGTCCTCCAAAGACACTGATGTCCTAATGCCTGGAACCTGTGAACAAAATGCCTTACATGGCAAAAGGGACTTTGCAGATATGATTATGGTTAAGGAACTTGAGATGGGAAGATTATTCTGAATTCTCTGGTGTACCCAATATAATCAAATCAGCCTACAAAAACGGAGGATTTTTTTCTAGCTATACCAAGAGAAGGTGATGTGACTGGAGAATAAGAGTCAGACAGGTGTAAAGTTGCTGTCTTTGAAAATGGAGAAAGGGGGCTGTGAGCCAGGAAATGTGGTCAGCCTCTACCGACAAGATGGGTTCTCCCTTAGACCCTCCATAGAGGAATGCAGCCCTGCTGGTTGCTATGTTGCCTGGCCTGGTTTCAAACTCCCTGGCTCCAGTGATCCTCCCACCTCAGCCTCCTGAGTAGCTAGGATGACAGGTGTGCACCACTGTGCCCCTTGCTTACACTTTCATCTTAGCCTATTGAGGTTCACATTGGACTTCTGACCCGTGGAACTGTAAGGTAATAAATGTGTGTTGTTTTAAGTCACTATATTTTTGGCATTTTTTTATAGCAGCCATAGAAAAAAAAATCCCATATTTTTCCCAAGGAGGATTTCTTCAATTTCTCACTTATGCCTTGAGGCACTCCAGACCTGGTCCATTTTAAATAGTGATTTATGATGTGTGTGTATCACGGCGAGGTATATTGCAGTTTTTAAGACACTCATGTAGATTCAGGCCCAAAACCTGTGTGAGAGTTGGTCAATCACTAAAATTCTCAGGGAACTTTTAAAACTTTCTCTTCAAGCCAAGGGCAAAACAAACCATTTTCCCTGTTCTCTACATTTGTGGGGAAGATTATTTTCCCCAGGTTCCCAGGAACAGTATTTTCCTGTTCCTGAGTCCTAGCTTTACCTGTGGTGGTCTCTGCTGGCTCTCTGCCCTGGGTGGGCCCAAGGCTTTATTCCCAGGTTCCTCTGTGCAGTGATGCACCTGCCATTGGTCCATGTATGCTTCTAGGTTATCTGATGGTGTCACCATCAACTTCTTGGGTTAATTTCCTCATTCATACTCCCCTCCCTGCTTTTATGTTCCCATTTCATCCCGGACTTCTTCAGGTTTCCCTTTCCTTCTAATCATCTAAGAGTCAGACAGAGCCTGTGTGTGTGTGTGTGTGTGTGTGTGTGTGTGTGTGTGTGTGTGTTAGTATTTTGTTGAGTATTTTTAGATGATATACAGCAGAAGAATTTAAGGATCTCTAGTCTTTCATAGCAACAAAATGGACATCACAAAAAACTTTTGAATCTGTCCCTTTCTCTCTGTGGCCTTAGTTTGTCTCCACTCTCTACTTTCACACCTTCCTGTCAAGTTCCTCCTATTTAGTCTCTTTCTCACTCTGATCCATCCTTTCCATTGCCAGGAGGGCTGTCTTTCTAAGACATCCATCTATGTATAGTTAATGTCCTATCTCCCGTGTTCGGCATGCAAACCCCTCCATGGTGTAAGTTTGCCCCTATTTCTCCAATCTAGTCACTTCCCTCTTCCCACCCTATACTCCAAATATACTGAGTTATTTGCGTTTTCCCCAGTGAGCTATGTTGTTCAACAAATCTGTTTTTTTTTTCCATATTGATTCCTTTACTCAGAGTACTCTTTTTTTCTCACCCCCATCTCCTTTTGTTAACCTTGAAAACTCCTTAACTTAAATTCCTAGTTTTGTTGTTGTTGTTGTTGTTGTTGAATTTGAGACAGGGTTTGGCTTTGTTGCCCAGGCTGGAGTGTAGTGGTGCAATCACGGCTCACAGAAGCCTCAACTTCCGGGGCTCAAGGGATCCTCCCACCTCCGCCTCCTGAGTAACTGAGACCACAGGCGTGCACTACCACACCTGGCTATTTTTTTGTACTTTTAGTAGAGACAGGGTTTCACCATGATGGCCAGGTTGGTCTTGAACTCCTAAGCTCATGCAATCCACCTGCCTTGGCCTCCCAAAGTGCTGGGATTACAGGCGTGAGACACTGCGCCTAGCTGATCATCTTCTTGATGAGCCTTCTTTGTCCGTCCTTTCCCTCCTCTGCGCACAATTCAGCCAGCTTTGACTGGCCACTGTGTTCCAGCCCCAGTGCTGGTCCAGGAGTTACAAAATTAATAGGATCAAATTTCACCCTTTAGGAACTCATATTTCTGTAGGACTCACCAAGTAATGAGGTTAATCAAGTCATCTTTATGTTACCATTTCACATAGGACTTACTCCTGTTATAGTACTTTATACCAAGTGTTGACTCCTTTGTGTACGTATCTGAGTCTCTTGATGTTTATATTTCCATTCCTAATTAACATATTTTATTCTGATTTTATACAAAGGGATGGGGAGGAATAAATAATTTGTTTATATATCTACCTCCTCTGTTAGGCTGTGGCTTCTTTTAGAAAGTGAATCCTGCATTATTTGTCTTTGTGAATATAGTAGGTACTTAATAAATAAATGGACAAATGAATAAATTCTTACCTGTTCTGACATTCTGTAGTTCAAAAGTTGCCTCTGTAGAAAAGCCCACAGCAAACTTTTCTGATTTTTCTTCACAGAGACTTCCATTATACCACTTAGCCTTTTGTTATATTTTTATATTGTTTGCTCTACATTGAGATAATTTTTTAAAACCCTAGATTTCTAGTATCTAGGGCCTGGCTGGAGTGCAATGGCGTGATCTTAGCTCACTGCATCCTCTGCCTCCAGGGTTCAAGTGATTCTCCTGCCTCAGCCTCCGGAGCAGCTGGGATTACAGGCATGTGCAACTATGCACAGCTAATTTTTATATTTTTAGTAGAGATGGGGTTTGCCATGTTGGCCAGGCTGGTCTTGAACTCCTGACCTCAGGTGATCTGCCCACCTCGGCTTCCCAAAGTGCTGGGATTACAAGTGTAAGCCACTGTACCCAGCCAGGTTGAAGTTTTCAAATGCAAGCCCACCAAGTAGGTCTTAGAAATGTCCACTATTTAAAACATTCAACATTACATATAAAACAACTTAAATTGTAAAACTTAAAACTTCTTAAGTAGTTAAAAGACAGAATTTTGTAGTTAAAAGAGAGAACATGCACAAATAATTGACCAGTTTACTAATTAACTAAAGGTTAAAGAGAAAAAAATTAAAGGGAACTTGGCCGGCACGGTGGCTCACTCCTATAATTCCAGCACTTTGTGAGGCCAAGGCGGGCAGATCACCTGAGGTCAGGAGTTCGAGATCATCCTGGCCAACGTGGCGAAACCCTGTTTCTATTAAAAATACAAAAAATTACTCAGGCCTGGTGGCAGGCGCCTGTAATCCCAGCTACTGGGGAGGCTGAGGCACGAGAATCGCTTGAACCTGGGAGGCAGAGGTTGCAGTGAGCCGAGATCGCACCACTGCACTCTAGCTTGGGGGATGGAGCGAGACTGTCTCAAAAAAAAAATTAAAGGGAACCTTTAAAGTTTTAACCTTTTAACTAGTTAACTGAAAGTAAGTATCACCTACGATTTATCCAACTGAAGTATCTCTGGAACATGTGCTTTAATACTTTGAACCAATTCAAGATATGAGGACTATCTGAGATGTGCTTTTAAGTTTCTTAACAGTAGGTGGCGCTCACATCATAGTGTTGGTTGGTCTTTAAATTTGCTGGTTTTCCAAAAGATAGTGGCCTGGGGAGGCCAAAAGATGGTTCTCCACATTCATTATGTATGTGGAGGTCAGAATGTGTAATTGTTATAAGGACAAAAAACAGAATTGTATTAAACAATAAGTATTGCTAGTAATTTATCCAGACTCTGTTAGCTAGTACTCTAGGCAGTTGGGCACGTTTCTTTGCTTGTGTGGTTTAATCAATATACTGGTTAAAGAAAAGCAGGAGGGAAGAGTGACAATTTAGCAGGATGTTGAAAAGTGAGCAGTATGGGCTTTGGAATTAGATAGACCTACAGTTATATAAAACAAGGGATACCAAGCCCCTCGTTAATATTTACTCTTCAGCGTGGTTTTCACCTCCATTACTCTATTAAAAACAGTTTCCCCACCACCACACCTGGCTAATTTTTGTATTTTTAGTAGAGACAGGGTTTCACCATGTTGGCCAGGCTGATCTCGAACTCCTGACCTCAGGCGATCCACCCGCCTCGGCCTCTCAAAGTGCTGGGATTACAGGTTTGAGCCACTGCGCCTGGCCTTAGCTAGTCTTCTTGCATCTGATAGCAATACCCCACAGATCAGGAGGAGATTCCAGACGTAGATCAGATTTCAGAATCAGTAGGGATTCTCAGTAGAGGAACAACGTAGCAGAAAATCTCAATCACAGCCAATGCTCAGTTAATTCCAGCTTCTACCCATCCTGCTCCATGTTGGTCCCCAAGGTAGCATCCGGGCTCTGATAGACTCATGTGGCATGAAGGGAAGGAGGAGGTTTCTGGTTTGTTGTCATCCTTGGCCAGCATCAGCTGCTGTCAGTCTTGTGTTGCATCCTTGTTTATTGGCCTCTATCTCCACTGCATTTGGTGAGGTAATGACAACTAATTAAGTCTCTCTTCTATGTTCTTGACTTAATTTACTCATTTAGTTCACACAACTATCCTATCAGGTAAGAACTATTGTTACATTCATTTTACAGGTGAGAAAACCTAGGTGCAGAGAGGTTAGGTAAATTGCCCCAGGCCATACAGCTAGACAGCGGCAAATACACTGGCTCCAGACCTGTCTCTTAACCATAGGCTGCATTACCTCTTTCTATCTGGTGTTCCCAAGGGCCCTACTTGGCCAGGAAGGTTGTTTTTTTGTTTTTGTTTTTTTCCTAATATGGTACTAAATTTGATTTGTGACTTAAAAAAAATTTCGACTTTTATTTTAGATATAGCAGGTACAGATGCAGGCTTGTGACTTGGGGATATTGCACCCAGGTAGTCAGCACAGTACCCAATAGGTGGTTTTTCAACCCATGCCCCTCTCCCTCCTTCCCTACTTGAGCAGTCCGCAGTGTCTGTTCCCATGTTTATGTCCATGTGTGCTCAATGTTTAGCCCCCACTTATGAGGACATGTGGCATTTGGTTTTCTGATTTGTTAACTTTTTTAAAAAAGGTTTGCATCTACATTCATAAGAGAGCATGGCTTACAATTGTATTTTCTTGTACTCTTCTTATTTTGGGGAGTATCAACATTATACTAGTCTCATAAAGTGAGTTGGACAGCTTTCCCTCTTTTTCTATTCTATGAAAAACATCTATAAGGGCTTATTTCTTCTATGAAGGTGTAACAGAGCTTGCATATAAAACTGGGCAGCCGGGAGTGGTGGCTCACGCCTGTAATCCCAGCACTTTGGGAGGCCGAGGCCTGTGCATCATGAGGTCAGGAGTTCAAGACCAGCCTGGCCAACATGGTGAAACCCTGTCAGTACTAAAAATACAAAAATTAGCCGGGCGTGGTGGCGGGTGCCTGTAATCCCAGCTACTCAGGAGGCTGAGGCAGGAAAATTGCTTGAACCCAGGAAGCGGAGGTTGCAGTGAGCCGAGACTACACCAATGCACTCCAGCCTGGGTGACAGAGCAAGACTCCATCTCAAAAACAACAACAACAAAAAAAAAAACAAAAAAAAAACTGTCTGGGCTGGTGGCTTTTTGAGCATGGTAAGACTTTTACTTAACTAGCTTCCATCAAGCAGCCATTCTGCACTAGACAGAATGAGGCTGCCGCCTCCTGCAGGGAGCACTGACTGGGATCTTGTTCCTACTGTCAAAGGTGCAGAGTGTCAAGTGGTGGAGGCGATGGCAGTGATGTTTCTGCTAGGACAATCTCATGATGTGAGTAGGCATTTTTCCTAGATGTGTGGGTCCTGATATACAAACCTGGCTGTCAGCCCTACCTGGAGAACTGGGGAGTTACCTAATATCTTATTAGCTCTTCTCTGCTTAAATTAGCTTGAGTAGATTCATTTTTCAGCAACTAAGAATAAACTTTAGGACATAATACATGGTAATTTTTGTATATGTACACTCTTTCTTATTTAATACTATTTTTGTCCACTTAAACTATCATTTCTTATAGTCTACTAACATATAACAAGCTATATTAATAAGTCCATTTAAATTTATGATTTTTTGATCAATCCTTTTATCATCAGATACTGTCCTACTTTCTATTTATTACTTTTAGCCCTAAATTCTATTTTATTTGGTACAATTTTGTTACAGTGGCTTCTTTTCTATTACTATTCCTATTAGTTAGAATTGGGTTCATCTGCAAAGAACTGAGACTCAGAATAACAGGAACCCAAGGGAGAGAGGAGCTTTTTCTCTCA
Organism: Homo sapiens; assembly: GCF_000001405.40. Classification (NCBI taxonomy): domain Eukaryota; kingdom Metazoa; phylum Chordata; class Mammalia; order Primates; family Hominidae; genus Homo; species Homo sapiens. Next base: position 62,404,897 of record NC_000001.11, on the reverse strand, counting down.
GGTGGAAGTCCTGTGAGAGGCAGCCCAGGGTGAATAGAATGGCTCTGTTTCAGAGCCCTTGGGGACCTAGGTATTTCAGCCTCACTACTCAGTCATCCGTAGTGCATGCTCCTCATCCTCATGATCCTCCGCTGAACTAGAAGCCTTCTCAGCATAATTCAAGAAGGAGCCTGCACACAGGCAGTAAGGTCAGCCCTCTGCAGGATACTTTTCTGTGGATTCAAGATAGTGTCTGTGCTCTTTATTTTTTTAATTTTAATTTTAATTTTAATTTTGTAGAGATGGGGGTCTCACAATGTTGCCCAAGCTGGTCTTGAATTCCTGGGCTCATGTAATCCTCCTGCCTTGGCCTCCCAAAGTGCTGGGATGGCACAGGCGTGAGCCACCGTGCTGGGCCTCTGTGCTCTTTATGATCTCAATGTCAAACATCCCACTTGCCACTTGCCACTCACAGTCTCTTTTCAGCTTTCTCTCTCTAGTATCCCAGCTCAATCATCTTTCAACTCCACTGGGGCCTTCCATCCATTTCTGACATCAGTTCTTCCTTCTCTACTCTTCCCAAGCATACAGTTGTGCCATTTTTCCTTCCATCTTATATCTTATTTGGTCCCAGCACCCCCACACCACCTCCCTCTGCCTGCCAATTATGGTCTCATTTCTTTTCTTTTCTTTTCTTTTCTTTTCTTTTCTTTTTGAAACAGTCTCACTCTGTTGTGCAGTGGCGTAATCTCAGCTCACTGCAACCTCTGCCTCCCGGGTTCAAGTGATTCTCCTGCCTCAGCCTTCCCAGTAGCTGGGATTACAGGTGTGTGCCACCATGCCCAGCTAATTTTTGTATTTTTAGTAGAGACGGGGTTTCACCATGTTGGCCAGGCTGGTCTGGAACTCCTGACCTTGTGATCCACCGGCCTTGGCCTCCCAAAGTGCTGGGATTACAGGCGTGAGCCACCGCACCCAGTCTGGTCTCATTTCTTTAATCATTCTTGAAAAAGCTGTGAGTTCTCACTGTCTCCAATTCTCTGTCCTCCAATCCTTCCCTAAGCTTACTCTAATCAGGCTTTTGCCCAGGTCACCACAGAAACCTCCTCAATTTTGCCAAATCCAGGAGCGGATTCACAGTCCTCATCTGCTGGGAGATCAGGTTCCCTTAGGGCCAGAAGAGGGGGAGCTGTGTCCTGATGAGACCAGCCGTCCGCTGATGAGAAGGGATGGCTAGACCTTTCCATGCCTGCCAGCATTCATCTCATCAGGGTGGTTTGCTTTCACTGACATCCAGTATTACCAATTCATTATTTTAGAAGTTACATGGTGGGCCTGTGTTTTTGACTGCCCACAGGACTCCATGTAGAGAAATTGTCATTGGTGAACTCGTATGTCATTCTTCCTTCAGGAAACATGCTCACCAAAGTGATGACTTTAGCTGCAAGCACACCAGGGAAGTCCAGCCTCCTCTGAGGCTCCCACTCCAGCCCATGTGATGGAATCAAGGCTAAGCTGGGAGGCAGAGAGAGGGGCAGATGGAACAGAAAGACTAACCTCACTAACTGGTCTCACAGACAGTACCCAAATTTAAGAGAGCTTGACATTTTCGGATCCATGTATTTGGAATTTGAAACAGTCTTGGAATGAGAATTATGAGCTTCTTTTTGCAAATTTTATTGTTTTTTTTTTTTGAGACGGAGTTTTGCTCAGCCATCCAGGCTGGAGTCCAGTGGCACGATCTCAGCCCACTGCAACCACTATCTCCTGGGTTCAAGCGATTCTCTGGTCTCAGCCTCCCAAGTAGCTGGGATTACAGGCACCCGCCATCATGCCCAGCTAATTTTTGTATTTTAGTAGAGACAGGGTTTCACTATGTTGCCCAGGCTGGTCTTGAACTCCTGACCTCAGGTGATCCGCCCGCCTTGGCCTCCCAAAGTGCTAGGATTACAGGTGTGAGCCACCGCGCATGGCCAGGTTTTATTCTTAACAAGCATTCATCAAGTAAAACAAGTCAGGCACGGTGGTGGTTCATTCCTGTAATCTCAGCTCTTTGGGAGGCAGAGGAAGGAGGATCGCTTGAGGCTGGGAATTCGAGACCAGCTTGGGCAACATAGTAGGACCCCATTTCTATAAGCAATTTAAAAATTAGCAGGATGTGCAGTCCATGCAACTCAGAGTTGAGGCAGGAGGATTGCTTGAGGCCAGAAGTTAGAGCCTGAAGTGAGCTATGATTGCGCCACTGCACTCCATTCTGAGCAACAGAGTGAGACCCCATCTCTAAAAAAAAATTCAAGTAGAACAATAGTTGTCCAGCCCCACCTGGCTCCCAGTCTCTCACGCCCTCCTCTCCCCACAGCTGGGACCACTTAAGACCCACTTTTTTTTTTTGAGACAGAGTCTTGCTCTGTCGCCCAGGCTGGAGTACAGTGGTGCGACCTCAGCTCACTGCAAGCTCCGCCTCCCAGGTTCACGCCATTCTCCTGCCTCAGCCTCCCGAGTAGCTGGGACTACAGGCGCTCGCCACTGCACCTGGCTAATTTTTTTTGTATTTTTAGTATAGACAGGTTTTCACCTTGTTAGCCAGGATGGTCTGGATCTCCTGACCTCGTGATCCACCCGCCTCAGCCTCCCAAAGTGCTGGGATTACAGGCTTGAGCCACCGCGCCTGGCCTTTTTTTATTTTTATTTTTTTAAATCTCAGACACAACACAAACTCAGTCACTCCTGGCCTCAGGTCAGAGGGCTCTAAGGAGCTTTCACCCAAAACTGGTTGCCTGAGGATATAGCCTTTAGAGTCCTAGGCCTGATTTGCGTGACCCTTTGTTGGTTGAGTGCTACACTGTGGTGGGCTCACTGTTATGGGCTGAGATACAGAGAGAAACGAGACATATTTTCTTATCCTCCCCTCCTCCAAATACAGCTCAATGAAATATACGAACTAACACATACAATAACTGCACAGAATCTGTTATTTGCCAAAGAGAAGGGCCTATGTGTGGACCTTGAAACCTCCCCTTTCCCCCCAAAAATGCACACCTCTGACTCCGGCCTATTCCACCTCTCTTCTTAAAATTTTTTTAAATTTTTGTGGGTACATAGTAGGAGTATGTATTTATGGGGTACATGAGATGTTTTGATATAGGCAGGCAATGTATAATAATCACATCATAAACTTCCCACCCACCTTGTGTCTGCTGTCAGAGTGGTACCCAGGGCTGGGCTTTTTGCTAAGGAATGGCATCAAAATGGGCCCTCTGGGGCTTCAGCCAAACTCAGCTGGAGCTTCCAGTTTCTGTTCTATTCATTTTCCGTCAGGAAAAATACCAAAACATTCTAACAAGTGTTTCCATAGATGACAGCTACATCCCTTTAAAGAAAGCAAACTCCATGTTGCAAAGGGTAAGTAATATGGTTGAGCAAGGGTTGGTTGACTATGACCTGCAGGCCAAATTCACCTGCTGCCTCTTTTTCCAAAAATAAAGTTTTATTGGAACACAGCCATGCCCATTCATCCGCAATTTGTCTATTGCCCCCTTTGCACAGCGATGGCTGTTGAACAGTTGTGATGGAGACAAGCGGCACACAAAGCTTAAAATATTCACCCTCTGGCTCTTGATAGAAAGTTTGCAGACCCCTGTGGTTTGAGCACAGCTTGACCTCTTTCTTCTAAACAATTAATGAATTCAAGCTTCCAAGTATTTTACCCCAGGGCTCCTGTTTGCCTCTGACAGCTGATTATGTATAATTATTCTCAGTCAATTTTTACTGTAAGATTTTCGAAAGTGGCAGTATAGTTGATTGCCAGGGCCCTTAGGTCACAACCACAGATGGCACAACTTAAAATGAAAGGACCCACCCATTAGCACTAGTATGTTATTCCAGATGACTGCTGAGAATACGAGTAGCCTCACCACCAAGTGTCCTGGAAAAAGGACAGCTACCCCTCATCTCATGACTTGGTGAACTTCATATACAAGGTTTTCCCTCATTCTCTGGTTTCTACTGCCTGGACAATTACCAATAGGTAACACCTGGGTTTCTTGTTTCCGCCTCAGCTTCCTGGGCCATGACTATTGAAGGATTCTGTTGTGAGGTAGTTTTTGTAGGAATTATTTTTCCAATCACAAACAAAAACAGAAAACACTTCCGACTCCAATTTTAATGATTAAACTAAAAAGCCTACTATAAAGAGATCAGTAATTACACCTGGTATTTATTCAGTAATCTCTAGAATGAAATTTCTCAGTCTTTTTTATTGCCCCTTAAGGAAGCTTTTTTGCCAATTTTTTAAAAAATTACCCTTCTCCCCATAAAGTTTTAATATCACAGATATACTGTATATCTGTGTATGTACCATGGCCCTTTGCAAGATCACAAACGATTGTAATGGTTTTGTCACCCCTACTGAGAATGCATTTTCTAGGACAATTGACTAATAAATTAGGAAAAAAGGAAAAAAATAATTCAGCATGTTATTTTATGATTATTATTATTATTATTTTAATTTTTGAGATGGAGTCTCACTCTGTCACCCAGGCTGGAGTGCAGTCGCGTGATCTCGGCTCACTGCAAGCTCCGCCTCCCAGGTTCACGCCATTCTCCTGCCTCAGCCTCCCGAGTAGCTGGGACTACAGGTGCCCACCACCACGTCCGGCTCATTTTTTGTATTTTTAGTAGAGACGGGATTTCATCCTGTTAGCCAGGATGGTCTCGATCTCCTGACCTCGTGATCCACCCGTTTGGCCTCCCAAAGTGCTGGGATTACAGGCGTGAGCCACTGTGCCCGGCCTATTTTATTATTTTTTTGGAGACAGAGTCTCGCTCTGTTGCCCAGGCTGGAATGCAGTGGCACGATCTTGGCTCACTGCAACCTCCATGTCCTAGGTTCAAGTGATTTTCGTGCCTCAGCCTGAGTAGCTGGAACCAGATGTGCACCACCATGACTGGATAATTTTTGTATTTTTAGTAGAGATGGGGTATCACCACGTTGGCCAGGCTGGTCTTGAATTTCTGGCCTCAAGTGATCCGCCTGCCTTTGCCTCCCAAAGTGCTTTGATTACAGGCATGAGCCACCGCACCCAGCCCCATCTTGTCACCATTTTAAATAACCTTCATTTATTTATCTGATCTTAGGGACTCAGGTGATAATGTGGCTCCCCTTCCTGGGTGAAAGCCTCACTATCCTTGCCCACTTTGGGTCCACTTTGGGTGATGAACCAGGTATGTGCTTGAGCCCCCTTGTACAGTGGGAGCCAGGTCTACCCTCAGGGCACAATTAACAGCTTCTTCTTTTCAAGTCTGTGTTCACTTAAAAAGTTTGAGACCCTGCCAGCCATCTTCGGCCAAGTCTACTTGACCCATTGTCAGTTAAAAAATGTGAGAGTTGGTCCAGGATGAGGCTAAATACAATGTGATTGAGAATGTTCCCTGCATGAATAGAGGCCATAAAGTCTCTTCAGGAAAAAATCAGAACTGGCACATACTCCAAGGCAATTTTCTCTAGGATACCTCTCAGCCCATGTAGCACTCTCAGTCCAGAAGCAAAGCTAATCCAGCATAAGAGGTATTGCTGTCAATCACCCTAAAGAGGAGCGGTCCAGAGAGGACCAGGATGATGGAGGGATTCAGGAGTAACCAAGAAAAAAAAAAAAAGAACACTTCAGATTGCCTCATGTGTTTAAACATCTTAGGAGATTTATACTTAGTTCCAGAGTTTGAAAATTAAATAGTGATGGTTACCTAAGAAATGGAACAAAACAAAGGCAATTATTGACAGAAAACAAAAAATTGTATCATATAAAAAATCACAACGCACTATATGGCTCATCTGGGAATAATATTTACATGGTTCTAATAATGTTAACATTGAGTATTGATCTTAGGCTGGCATGTGTTTTTATCCCCAGTATTTCCAGTTGCTGATGTCTTCCTCAAGAACACTCAAATACTAGGCGGGGCGCAGTGGCTCACGCCTGTAATCCCAGCACTTTGGGAGGCCGAGGTGGGTGGATCACCTGATGTCAGGAGTTCAAGACCAGCCTGACAAACATAGTGAAACCCCCTCTCTGCTAAAAATACAAAAATTAGCTGGGCGTGGTGGTGCACACCTGTAATCCCAGCTACTCAGGAGGCTGAGGCAGGAGAATCGCTTGAACCCAGGAGGTGGAGGTTGCAGTGAGCCAAGATCACACCACTGCACTCCAGCCTGGGCGACAGAGCAAGACTGTGTCTCAAAAAAAAAAAAAAAAAAAAAGAATACTCGAATACCATTTAGCACTTGCTGATGTTTCTCATCGAGAAATTATGTAGGCTGGCCATTCATTCTTCCCACCACCCTATGAGTCACCATGATCCTTTAACTAATGTCATAATTGGTGAAAAAAGTCTCGATTGGTGCTTTCTTTCTAAAAGGGAACTCATCCTTATATCAAAATGCATCCACTCCAGGATGGGGCGTCAGCCCATGAAGTGGGACGGCTATACTTCACACTGGGACACCCTGTGGTGTCCGTGATTGTGACTAAGTTCTGGATATGGACAACCCTGAAACATCCAGCTTTTGGAAGTGGGCTCTCCCACAGTAAAATGGACAGGAGTGGGGTGGGTGGGTGGGTGGCGTGATGTCTTCTCATCAGGATTATTTTTAACTGGGCCTTTAGGAACCTGAAAGAACCATATCAACGTTCTCTTACCACATGTGTTAGTTTCCTATGGCTGCTGTAACAGGTACTAACTTTGTGTCTTACAACACAGTTAATGATTTTATAGTTCCGAAGAAGTCTGAAATCTGTTCACCACCTTACAGTCAGGGAGGCAGCAGGGCTGTACTTGCCTGGAGGCTCTGAGGGGAGAAGTCATTTCTTTGTCTTCTCAGCTTCTAGAGGCTGTCCATTCCTTGGTGATGGCCCCTTTCATCTTCAAAGCCAACGCTGGCCTCCCTCTGACTCTGCTTCTGCTGTCAGTCCCTTCTGTGACTCTGACACTCCCACCCCTCTCGTATAAGGACCCTTGTGATGACACTGGGGGCACCCACTGGATAATCTCCCCATCTCAACATCCTTGGTTTAATCACATCTGCCAAGTCCCTTTTGCCATGTGGGATAACATTCTCCAGTTCAGTAGATTAAGACATGAACATCTTTGAGGGGCCATTTTTCTGCCTACCACACCAGGGGCTCCAGGTAGTGGGTCTGGTTGGGGGAGGTTGAAGGGGTTGGGATCAAATGGAGGGGCTATGACCACTACCTTCTCATTCTAAGTTAGAAAAATATTTAGGGTCCTTGGCCAAGGGTTTCCTTCATAGCCTGTCCTCCCAAATAGCTCCAAGCCAGGTGTCTGGATGTCATCCACACCCACCTGTGCCCTCACTTGACAAAGAGATTTGTTTAGACTTGCAATTTCACCATCTCCACAGATCTGCGGTTCTCAAAATAAATTTCTAGAGCTGCAACTCAGCCTGTTTAGCTAGCACGTCATGGAGAGTCCTGCAGTGTCTTGGGGGATAGAGATATTTAATTTGGCCCTGGCGTGTGACACCTTCTCCTTCTTACCTCCTTCCTCCTGGCCCCCAAGCTTGCATTTACTATGGCTTGTGGAGAGTTAAGAATCCCACTATCCTATCCTACTCGTGAATTGCTTGACATCAGGGCATCCTGTGCTACCAGAGCTAGATCCTTGGCAGTGCTGGGATAGCCTCAGGGTCCCCAGGGCCTGTGGCCCCACTTTGGGATGGGAAGGCAAAGAGCCCCGGGGAAGAGAGCCATGAAACCTTCCCTGCTCCCTTTCCAGGCAGAGGCCCGCCTCCCTCCTGACTTGGCTTCTTTTTCTGCATTCTCATTTGGCGTTTGACTAGTCACGTCTCTCTGTGGCAGATCAACGTGGGGACTCCCTGATGCTGGGAGAAATTTTACATTTTAAATCGCTGAGGCCCCAGGGTGATGGGAGAGCTCAGACTTCCTTCAGCTGGCACCTCTGCTACAGGAGGGATCCTGGTCCTGGGAGACAATTTTGTACCAGAGAGCACCTGGGTGGGGAGAAGGCAAAGAAGACTTGCCCTAGAGTGAAGTTTGAGGTGTTGGATACCATACTGTATTGTTTTGTTTCTGAATTAGGTTGTCTATTCCTGGCTTTAAGAGTGTAGAAAAACTCCCTGATTTTCGAGAGATTGTGAAAATTTTACCCACTGAATTGATTTAAAGAGACAGTAGAAAACAAAATAAAACTGCATTTTGATTACGTGCCATAAGTCAGGTATGCTTTGTTCAACACACCCAATACATTAATTTCCTATATGAGGGCTCAATATAAATAAATTTGCCTGCCTGCAGATTCACTAAGTGTTCTCTAACATATCATTTCTGTTAATGCTCTTTTATTTTTATTTATTTATTTATTTGGAGACGGAGTCTCACTCTGTCACCCAGGTTGGAGTGCAGTGGCGCGATCTCAGCTCACTGCAACCTCCACCTCCCAGGTTCAAGTGATTCTTCTGCCTCAGCCTCCCAAGTAGCTGAGATTGCAGGCGCCCATCACCATGCCTGGCTAATTTTTGTATTTTTAGTACAGACGGGGTTTCACCATGTTGGCCAGGCTGCTCTCGACCTCCTAACCTCAGATGATCCACCCGCCTCGGCCTCCCAAAGTGCTGGGATTACAGGCATGAGCCACTGTGCCCAGCCCCTTTTATTTTTTTATTACTATTTTATTTATTTATTTAAGACACAGTCTTGCTCTGCCGCCCAGGCTGGAGTGCAGTGGCACAATCTCAGCTCACTACAACTTCCGCCTCCCAAATTCAAGCAATTCTTGTGCCTCAGTCACCCAAGAAGCTGGGACTACAGGCATGAACCACCACGCCCAGCTAATTTTTATATTTTTAATAGAGATGAGGTTTTGCCATGTTGGCCAGGCTGGTCTCAAACTCCTGGCTTCAAGTGATCTGCCCACCTTGGCCTCCCAAAATACTGGGATTACAGGCATGAACCACTGCGCCTGGCCTTTTTTTTTACTATTAAAAAAAATTGTTTTAGAGACAAGGTCTTGCTGTTACTCAGGTTGGTCTTGAACTCCTGGCCTCAAGTGATCTTTCTGCCTCAGCCTCCCAAGTAGCTGGAATTACAGGCACTAGCCACTGCACCTGGCTTATTAACCCCTTTTAAAATTTCCCCATTGTATGCCTGTTGGGAAATGTACCGGAAACCTAATTCAAGTGTCCTCCCTTTCCAAATAGCACCCCCTCTTCCAGGCCACTTGATCACTTCAGTGGGGGACAAGGAGTAGACTGGAAGCTGGAAGGATTTCCTCCTCGCGAAACAATTGGCCAGTGTGGAAGGCCAGACCATCTGGGCCCAGCACAGAGGCTGCTTTCTTCCAAGAGGAATGCTGAGCACAGAAACACCCTGACCCTTGGCTGTTCCAATCCCTGTTAGGATCCTCTGTTCCGGGGCCCTGGAGTAGGACCTGCAGGTCAGTCCTGTTCTGTGACTGCTGACAGGACCCTGCGTCCTGATGGCTGCTTGGTCTCTTCAGACTGGGGCCTGGCATAATTTCCCTCTGCCCACCTCAGCCTGGATCACTGGCAAGGGAGCAGAGAGACTCTTGAGTAGGTCACTACTTGGACAACTGGCAGGACTGGGGTAGTCATCTCTTATTCAGTGGGCACTGCTGGGGGTCAGGCATTGTACTGGGTGCAGCACACCTCAGGTACTTTCACAGAACATTCTCAGCTGTCTCATGAGGTAGATGTTACCATCCCCATTTTGTAAGGAGACTAAAGTCCTGTCTCCATCAGGGAAGACAGGATGGCGTACTCAGAAGGTTTAATTGAAAAGAGTTTAAGGAATGGACTATTTACAAAGGTGTGGGCAGAATTAAGGGGGCTAACAAGCGATGACGGAGCCCCCAGGGGTTAGTAGCAGCTGGAAGCCATGATCACCCCCAGGCCTAAAGGGGAAGAGAAGGCAAGTCACCCCTACCAGACAAGAGCTGGGATCAGGGAGAGTGTGGGAGCACTGCAGAACCACCAGAGGGAAGGTGGCAGTGGGGAATGAACACCCTCCCGTCACCTCTGCTACCACTGCTTTCCAATGCCCAAACTCAGCTGAAAGCCAGAGGCCCAGGGCGCCTGGTGCCACAGCCCACAGAGCTCAGCCTCCCGAGAGGCCCAGGGACACTAGACGGCGCATGTCCTGAGAAATAATCTGACCAGAAGTCCTGTGCTGAGATTTAAACGCTAGTTTTCCTGAAGCCACTGCTGTCCTTCCTCCCATTGTCTACACTATCAAAAATAGCAGCTAGAAGTCAAAAAGAAAAAGAGATGGACAAGGAAATTAAAGTTCAGCTCATAGACCAGTGGCATCCAAAGTGTATTCTGAGGTACACTAGGCTCTTTTGTTGCCACATAGTTTGACAAAGGCTTTATTTCATATCTCCCAGTTGGAGCTCCGAAATGTGTTTTAGCATATTGAAGACTCTGAGATGTAATTAAGCCTAACTAATTTTCATTCTTTTCTTCAACTTAATTGACCATGAAAACTTTTTCCATTCATATAATATCATGGAGACTTTGTATTCTTTGAAACACGCTTGGGGAAGTACTGCTGTGAGCAATGGGGTTTGATGCAGGGAAAGGCTGAAGATAAATTTCGCTGCAGTGTAGCAGGTGGGTTTGAAGAGGGCAATGAGGGAGACAGGCAGATCAAGCAGAAGGCTCCTCCAGTAATCCAGGCAAGAGATGAGAAAGGCTGGAGCCTGGGAAGCAGCAAGAGGAGGGAGAAGAAGAGCCAATTCCTCCTTGGTAATGGGGCGAATGGTGAGTCATTATGCAATGGGCCGATCTGGAGGAGAATCAGACAGAGGCTGTGAGATATTCAGGCCAGTTTTTGACACATTGAGCATAAGGTGCTTTGGTATAAACAGATTTTTTAGTTGGAAATTGGGGGTGCAAGATTAGAGTTTTGGCAAATGGTTGCTGCTCAAGGTACACATTTGAAAGCCATCAACATATGGGTGATGATGGAAGCCCTGGGGGTGGTTGGCACCCCCCCAGCTGAGAAAGTAGAGCAGAGGGTCTAACTTGGCTTGAGGGTGTGAAGAAACTCCTGAAATTACTTAGGGTATTATGTGTCCATGAATATAGGCATTTTTACTTATTTATTTTAGGGATGACTCTCTCATAGCTTCTAGCATGTTTTCAAAGGTGTCCTTGAAAAAATAAGTTTAAGAACCAGTGGTGAAGAATGAGAAGAGAGGAAGATCAAGGGTAAAGTCTGCAAGAAGAGTAATCAAATAAGTCTGACACCTTTGAGCCAGAGGGGTTGGAGCAATGCAGGATGCAGGGGCCGCAGGATCCAGAGCAGAAGGAAGGATCAGCAATTTCCCGTGATCCGAGAGTCGAGTATGATTAGGTCTAGAGATAAGCCTTTGGATTTGGCAATTAGAAAGTCATTGCCTTGTCAAGAGCAGTGTCAATTTTGGGTGGAGGAGATTATAGAGGATGGAATAGTGAGTGGCTTGGGAAGAAGCTGTTGGTGTGAGAAGAGACCAAGTCCTTCAAGAGGCTTGTGGTCAGGCTGGGCACAGTGGCTCACACCTGTAATCCTGGTGCTCTGGAAGGCTGAGGTGGGAGGATCACTTGAGGCCAGGAGTTCACGACCAGCATAAGCAACACAGAGAGACCTCATCTCTACAAAAAAAATTTAAAAGTAGCTGGACAGCTGAGGTGGGAGGATCACTTTAGCCCTGGAGTTCGGGGCTACAGTAAGCTATGATCTTGCTCAATGTGTACCTTGAGCAGCAACCATTTTCTAAAACTCTAATCTTGCACCACCAATTTCCGACTAAAAAATCTCTGTTTATACCAAAGCACCTTATGCTCAATGTGTCAAAAACTGGCCTGAATATCTCACAGCCTCTGTCTGATTCTCCTCCAGATCAGCCCACTCCAGCCTGGGTGACAGAGTGAGATCCTGTCTATAAATAAAAAATTAAATAAGATGCTTGTGGTCAAAGCAGGACTAGGATTAGGTGTTTATACTGGTTTGAAATTGAGAGCAATAAAAGTTTGATATTCAGGACCCACCCCTGAAGACACTGTTTTTAAAGGGAAAATTATAACCTACATACTGAAAGACAAAATGTATCTAGGTGCATTTGGGCAGGTATAACAAACTAGCATAGACTGGGGGCTTATAAACAAAAGAAATTTATTTCTCATAGTTCTGGAGGCTGGAAAGTCTAAGATCAAGATGCCGGCAGATTTGGTGTCTGCTGAGACCTTGCTTCATGGTTCATAAATGGTCATCTTTTCACTGTGTCCTCAAATGGTGGAAGGGTAAGGGAGTTCTCTGGAGCCTTCTTTTAAAAATAAAAGGCACAATCCTATTCATGAGGATTCCACCCTCATGACTTAATCACCTCCCAAAGGCCCATCACCTCATACCAAAACCTTGGGAATTAGGTTTCAACGTATGAATTTTGGGGGGCCACAAACATCTAGTCTATAATACTGGGAAAATAAAATATATGATTCATGAAAGTTATCAACACACACACAAAAGCAGCAAGCAGATCTGGGGAGAAGAGGCTGAATAAGGATAAATGTTGAGGAGCAGAATTGATAGGACTTGCATTGAAATTGGATTTAAAAGAAGGAGAGGAGTTAGGGCTGACTTGTAGACTTTCGACTTGAGCCAGCTGGGTGAAGGGTGGTGTCTTTTACAGGGTTGAGAAAGACTGGGAGAAGAGCAGGTGAGGAGCGGAAAGCAAGATTTCTATTCCAGATGTCTTAAATCATGTGACACGTCAGAGTCCTATCAGATGCCCAAGTGGAGAGGTTAAGATAGAGATAGAGTCTGGAGCTGGGGGAGAGGATAAAGTTGGAGATAGAATTTGGGAGTCATTGTATGTGGATGGCATTTGAGCTATGGGCCTAGATGAGTTCACCTTGAAAATGAGTATAGGTAGAGGAGATGCCCAAAGACTGAGATTTAAGCACTCCTGCATTTAGAGGTTTAGAGGGAGGAGAAGGAAACTGCACTTGGCCAAATACAAGACAAAGTGATCTTCTACACTCAGGAAGAACACACTGGGAGAGGTTGCTTTCTGAGTACAGTACTCCTGAGTCTGTATTCATAACCACTGCCATAGCCACTAGGGTAGCAGTCATCTTAGCAGAATTATCTGTTCTGCATTTATTGTCAGCCCCAAGCAACTTACCCACGGTCAAAGATCATAGGAGCTTATTGAAACTTCAAAGCCCATGCTCATTCAGGGCAGGTGGTCCTGCTGCAGCCAGTGCTCAGCACAACTCCAGGGACGCTAGTCCCATAAACTATAATGCAAACAGCGCCCTCTGTAGGGCTCAGCATGCACAACCATATGTGCCCTTTCTTACTATGTCTTGCTGCCTTGGCATCTTTTCTGCAAAGTTCTGCTACTTTTAATGTAAATAAGTCCTTCCAAAGCCTCCTGATAAAAGGGGTTTATTACAGTGATTATAAACTTGAGCTTTAGAGTCAAAAAGAAATTTGTTCAAGTCACAGCTCAGCCTCTTACTAGCTGTAACCCCTTTCAGCTCCAGTTTTTCCATGTATGAAATGAAGAGAATTAAAGCAGTCACCTCAGAGGGATGGATGAGTATTAAAGGAAAGAAGCCATGAAGAAGGTTTAGCATGCTTTATTCAATTTTTTTTTTTTACTCAGTGTTAATTCATTTTTGTTTCTAACTCCACTTCCTGGGCCCAGACTTTGGCTCTCAGGAGAGATCGGAGGTTTTATGGAAAGGATGGGAATCAGATTTGGTTCAAATCTGCCAGCAAATTAATGAAAAGGGCACCATGGATCAGGAATCAGCGTGCAGAACAAAGATTTGCAGCTCAGCAAGCAAGGAAAATAATTTGGGTGGCTTTGTTTGGGACTGTTACTCTCCTGTTCGGGAAAATGCTGAAAGTTTATTGCAAAGTTGTTTCTTTTTTGAGTCATTTATCATAAAATTGTTTTTGTTTCTAAGCACGTAAGGAATTCCAGGACTGCGTAAAGAAGGAAACTTTGAAAAGCTGAGATCTAGGATATTGGCCATGTAATTTCATTGTGGGGCAGGGCATTAGGAACTAAAGGTAGGCTGGCTCAAGGGATTAAAATCTATTTACAACCTAGTTACCATACATGTATATCCTGTTTTCTCCCCATTGTGCTGGGCTGAGTATCTAACAAAAGATTCTCCCACATATCTGAAAATAAAATGAGCGCCTGGCTCCAGTGTCTATGAGAAATGGACATAGTATGCTTGTATTTTATTTCTATGAAAGGTGCATAATGTTTTCTAGGTTCTTCTGCTCTTTTTCATTCTTTAAAGAAATGGAAACAAAGAGGCCAATCCTGACAAGAAGGAGATGCTGGCCAAGAGCCCCAGATCTTCCTCCTGGTCTCAGAACAAAATGTGAAGACGGTCTGAGTTTTCAGTGAAGAAGGGGAAAAAATGTTTGAGTTCTGGAGTCTGACGTCATGGTCCTCTGTTGCTCCCTACCCTACCAAACAACGGTGCAATAACTTGATGTTGGAGAAAGTCACTTTTCAATGTGTATTGGGTTCCGTTATTTTTCAAGACTTCAGTAGATGTGCGCGACAGGGCAGAGTCACACCCACTTCTGCTCGCTCCAGACATACCTCATCCCACAGGAACGGGGACAAGGGGTGGCTTCCTTGGCCACCTTTCAAGAATGTGCAAGGTGAATCCTTTCAAGAGGAGGAACAATCAATCCTACTTACATTTATTTTTATTATAGAAAAATCTTACTGTATGCAAAAGTAGAGAGAATAGCACAATGAACCTCCATGAAACCCCCATCCAGCTTGACAGCAATCAACTCACAGCCCCTCTCATTTCCTCCATGCCCTCCATTCCCCCCCACCCCAGATTATTTTGAAGCAAATCTCAGGCACAATATCATTTTTCCATTAAAAGTCCTGGTGCAGTGGCTCATGCCAGTAACCTTAGCACTTTGGGAGGCTGAAGCAAGAAGATCCTTTGAGGCCAGGAGTTCCAGATCAGCTTGGGCGCATACTGAGACCCCATCTCTACAAAAAGTAAAGTAAATTAGCTGGGTGTGGTGGTGTGCGCCTGTAGTAGTCCCAGCCACTCCAGAGGTTGAGGCAGGGTGGATCGCTTGAGCTCAGAAAGTTGAGGCTGCAGTGAGTCATGATTGTGCCACTGCACTCCATCTTGAGTTACAGAGGGAGAACCTGTTTCTAAAAAACAAAAACAAAAACAAGCAAGCAAACAAAAAAAACTGGTGCGGTGGTTCACACCTGTAATGCCAGCACTTTGGGAGACTTTGGGAGGCCAAGGCGGGCAGATCGTTTGAACCCAGGAGTTTGAGACCAGCAACATAGCAAGACCCAGTCTCTACAAAAACTTAGCTGAGTGTAGTGGTTCATGCTGTAGTCCCAGCTACTCGGGAGGCTGAGGTGGGATGATCGCTTGAGCTTAGGAGGTTGAGGCTGCAGTGAGCCGAGATCACAGATTGCATTCCAGCCTGGGCAACAAAGCAAGACCCTGTCTGAAAACAAAACAAAACCAACGAACAAACCAACCAAACAATGAACAGTCCTTAATATTGTTATATATCCAGCCTGTATTTAGCTTTCCTGAATACAAGAAAGTCTCATAATTGTTTTACTATTTTTAGTTAGAATCAGGACCCAAATAAAATGCATGTATTGTACAGCTGATATGTTTAAGTCTGTTTTAATTTACAGGCTTCAACTATTTTCTTTTTTTGTTTCTTTCCTTGCAACCTATTCATTGGAGAAACTGGACCAATGTCATAGTGTTTTCCATATAGTCTGTCTTTTGCTGATTTCATCTTCCTCTGACCCCTGCATGTCCTATAAATTTTTAAATAGATCTAGAGGCTTGATCAGATTTCAATTTAAGCTTTTTTGGTGAGAATACTCCATAGATGCTGTGTACTTCCATCAGGAGGTACATACATAATGTTTGATTGTCTCCTTTCTTGTGTGATATTATTAATAGCAGCTATCAATGATTCCTACCCATATCCATTAGGAAATGCAAATTGATGATAGTCAAATTATATCATTCCTTTATAATTTATTTAGCAAAAATACTCTGTAAAAAAAGCTTTCTCTTTATTCACTATTTGGCTGAAATATAGATTGCACAGGAATGAGACTAAGTGCTTGATTGTTTTCCTTTATTTACCAATATTCAAAATAATAAGGTGTTTCCCTAGGATCCTCCGAATGTAACCAATGCATTTTTTTTTTTTTTTTTGGCCAATGAAACTTTAATTGCATTGAAATAAATTCATGGATTTTTAATACATTTGATGGTTTAAATACATTGCAGTGATTATTCTTATTGATGTTCAAATTATTCCATCTTTGGCTAGTGGGATGCTGTTTAAATTAGCTGCTGAGTCTTCCTGAAACAAACCTACTGGTCTTTGATAGTTTTCTTGCTTTCTAATATGACAAAGCAATCCAGGGTCATCTTGCAATTTTCTGCCCCAGATTTGGAATCAGCTATTTCTCCAAAAAGCCCTGGCTGCTTTTGGTGGAAAATAGGATTTATTTATTTATTTTTAGAAACAGGGTCTGGTCTGTCTCTGTCATCTGGGCTGGAGTATAGTGGCGCCCTCATAGCTTGCTGCAGCCTCTAACTCCTGGGCTCAAACAATCTCTCCACTTCAGCCTCCCAAAGTGCTGGGATTACAGGCATGAACCACCATATCCAGCTGGAAAATAGGATTTAGAGATTACAATGAGTATTCGCTGTGCTCATTCTACTGGGTTGATCATTTGCTTCTAGTCCTTTTCAGTGGACAGAGCTAGGAGATATATATATATATATTTTAAGATCAAATATATCATGGGTTCATACCAACACTTCCATTTAAAATTCAGGGGTCAGGGTTTTAACGTAACCTCACAATCTTATGTCTGCATTTCCTTTCTCCAGTGTCAACTTTTCTCTCACACTGATGACTACTGTTTTCAAAGATGTTCAAAGAGATTCTAAAATTTTCTGCTTTCCTTCCCACTTGCATCATTGATTTGAACAAGTGTAGGTGCATCTTAAAATTGTTTAAACTTCAAATAGAAATGACTGTTTGGGAGCATCCTAGTCTAGGTTTTCTTTTAGAGAAGCTAAACTCGCAGGAACCGTTAGCCCTTTGCCTTCAGATTGTCTCAAGGGATTGGTTGGAAAAGCAGCCCTAATTTTCCCAACCAATTCTCACAAATGGTTGGGTCAGTCTCAGGAACCGACTGGCTTCCAGAGAAGCAAGAGGAAGCGAGCAGGTTTGGTGCATGTAGGAGTTTGGGATTTGACCACAGGTCACCATCTTACCTCGGGAGCCATTAGTGGAGTTATGAGGTTCTGAAACCATCTGGATGTCAAAAGTTGTAAATGTGAGGTTTGGGGAAGAGAACAGACACTAGGACCCTGTGTGGGACACCAGTTTAGAATCTGTCAGAAGGGTTTATGGGAAGAACCCTCACAGTTCTAATAAACACAAAACAACTATAGTTTGTGGCTTCCCACAGGGCTTATGGTGTTGTTGACTTATGAGAAGTAGATATCTATTTCATACAGACTTAACCAGATGTCCCTCCATCATCGGCGAGAACCTACAAAAGAAAAATTTCTCAACATCTTATTTTAACTCCTAGTGAGGGGGCTGGTGGATGGCCTACCTCGCAGAATCATAGAATTACAGAATGGCAGGGTTGGAAAGTCTCTCAGTCATCTAGTCAAGGTTTCCCCAACTTCCTTGAAGATAGGAACCTAAAGCTCCTGTTTAAAAGCAAACAAGCAAGCAAGCATAGAAGCAAGCAACTAAAAAACAAACAAAAACCAGGTTATTGGGCTCCAACCCAGATCCATTTCATCAGAATTTCCATGGAGGGTTTAGTAATCTCAATATTTAACCACTACCCCAGGGATTCTTATCTTTGGAGAAGTTTGGAAATGCTGTAATCCAACACCCTCATTTTTCAGATGTCAAATTAAGATGCATGTAGGGGAAGTGATTTGTCAAAGTCACCCAGCTGGAGAATAGTTAATATTCCTGGAAGATACATGCCCTACAGTTACTACCCATTAACCCACCCACATATGGATGGTCACGTATTTCCTTAGCAGGCTGACTATGTAGTTGTCCAATGGATTCACAGACAAAGAAGATAGTCTAAGTATTTATGGGTCTTTCATGGCTAATTCCATAGTAAAGAACTTTTTTAATGCACTGTACTATTGTTTAGCTTTCTAATCTCAGAAAGGTCTTTATCACAGTAAAATGTGTTCTCAGAAGTTGGCTGTATTGGGAAATGTAAGACTTTGAAATGCAAATACGCTTTTCTTGCACAAAGGACTCCTGTAAATCAGAGGGCCTCATTTAAAGAGAAACCAACATTTAAACTAGAAAGCAAGATAAAAGCACAACACAAGGATTATGTTTCCTTTCCCTTGGTCATGGGCCAAAGTTTATTCACCATTGTCTGCTCATTACATTAGATCAGTGTGTCGTGAGGAGCCCTGTTATATAGATATTAATAGATGTGCTGCCAATACAGATTTTCCTTGATCAAAGTTTGGGAAAGGCAGCATTAAGCTGCTCTGTCTTAGAAATTCATAAAACATATTAGCTCACTGCTGTTAGGCCCAGTGGCAGAGTAAGAAATAGAATGCTTAGCCTATGGCACAGAAAGGAATCCTTTCTATGGAAGAATGCTGACTTTTGAGAGCTGGTGGCCCCTGCCCTACTCTAGGGATTGGAAGGGCAGCAAGCTCACAGCTCTGCCTCCTCCAACTTGGCCGGTTCCTCCTTACCCGTGGACTGCTTTGACCTCCGCACTTCAGGGACCGCCCCGCATGAAAAATAATGGAGGTATTAAGGAACTTTGTCCTCTCACATGTAACCTTATTTTGTGATCACTACTTTTCTGTGAGCTGTACCAAGATGTTCTCCTACTAAAATCTAGTGCTTCTGTATTTCCCCCAGTTTTCAGGAAAATACATTAGGCCAATGGGTATCATTTTAAATTTTAATTTCTTCTGTAATTTTTTCTTAAATATTTGGACCTGCTATTCCTTGTCCCATATAAGCGTACAGTATAGGCCGGGCGCGGTGGCTCACGCCTGTAATCCCAGCACTTTGGGAGGCCGAGACAGGCGGATCATAAGGTCAGGAGATTGCGACCATCCTGGCTAACACAGTGAAACCCCGTCTCTACTAAAAATACAAAAAATTAGCAGGATGTGGTGGCGGGAGCCTGTAGTCCCAGCTACTCAGGAGGCTGAGGCAGGAGAATGGTGTAAACCCAGGAGGCAGAGCTTGCAGTGAGCCAAGATCGCGCCACTGCACTCCAGCCTGGGCACTAGAGCGAGACTCCATCTCAAAAAAAAAAAAAAAAAAGAGTACAGTATAAAGCAATGCATGATTTTCCACACAACGGTGTTAATGGTTACTTGCAGTTGAATGGATCACAGTAGTTCATTGTCGGGCAAAGAGCCCTATGATCCACTGTTACCTACTCCTGCTAGGGCCCACAGACTGAACACTCTGCTGCCTGCCTTTATCGAGGGCTGACACCAAGAGTAGTCACTGGGATTGTGGTCACACAACCCCTGCACCAACTCTCATGAAGATATTGTTGATCAGGTCACTCAGTATTCCTCCTATGAGAATCCACGCTATCAGTTTAGCTGAGACTTTGGTGTCAGGAACAAGTATATATTTTGAAAAACTGAAAAGTGCCTAGCAAATGTAGATTGCTCCTAGATTTTAACGATGAGTAAATGTGTAGGAGTGGGCCAGGTTTGGGGTGAGGGAAGGGAAGAGCAGGGCTTCTCTTTAAAAGTCAGACACCATATGACATTTTGCCTTGGTCTCTGGGAGGCTTAGTTCTAAATTAATGCTTGATGCAATAACAATTTTATCCCAGGTTCCAGTCTCAATTGTTGGCCCCCATCCCAGAGGCTTTATTTATTTATTTTTTGCATTCTATTGTACAGGCGTTTTCATTGGCAACAGCTGCAGACTGTTGTAAGAGGTAGAGTGGAGTGATGTAATCTGGAGTCAGACACATGGTGGTTCTAGTTGGCTGATCCTTGGGCAAGCTGCTGATCTGCTCTGTGTCTTGTTAAATGGGGACTGTTGAGAGGATTTAAAAAGGCAATGCTTCAGCAGTGCTTTGCAGAGCGCCTGGGACATAGTAAGCATCTGAGAAGTGCTAACTGACCGTAGCAACAATGTATTAGTCTGTTCTTGCATTGCTATAAAGAACTACCTGAGTCTGGGTAATTTATAAAGAAAAGAGGTTTAACTGATGCACGGTTCCCCAGGCTGTACAGGAAGCATGGCTGTGGAGGCCTCAGAAAACTTGTAATCATGGCAGAAGGCAAAGAGGAAGGAGGAATGTTTTACATAGCTGGAGCAGGAGGAAGAGAGCGAGGGGGCAGGTGCTACACACTTTTGAACAACCAGATGTCATGAGAACTCACTATCACAAGAACATCAAAGGGGAAATCTGCCCCCATGATCCAATCACCTCCCACCAGGCCCCTCCTCCAACTCGGAGATTACAAATCGACATGAGATTTGGGTGGGGACAAAAATCCAAACCATATCAAACAACAATTAAAATGAGGCAATACAAGGCAAATCATAATTACCTTAGATAAATACTTGGTGTGTGTATTCTGATAAGACTATTTGATCATTTTTGTCTATTACCTCAGAATTGCTCCTAACAATAAAAGTGAATATTTAAATAATGCTTGCTAGGCACGTTTTTGAGCACTTCACATGTTAATGCATGTGTTCATTAATGGAAATGCTGTAATCCTTATAACAATGCTCTGAGGTGGGCCTATCATTTTGTCTACTTTGCAAATGAGACAGTTGGGGCACAGAGAGGTCAAGTAATTTGCCCAATCCTTCTGATGGTGAGAAGTAAATTGCCAGGATTCATCATTAAGTGGTCCAATTCCAGGTGGTTTAACCACTTTGCATTCTGCTTCCTAATCCCAGCCAGCATTTACTGAGCACTCACCAGGTGCCAGGCTCTGTGACAAGGGCATCACCTACACTATCTCATTTAATCCTTCCAACAACCATGTGGGGTAGCCCCATTTTATTGACGAGGCCACAGGTGGCTAGTTGACTTCACCAAGTTCACTCACTACTACTGAGTGGCAAAGCAGGGACTCAGATCTAGGTCTGTGGAACTCCCAAAGCCCTCAGGTGCTGCAACACTAACTGCGCTTCTGAGCTTCTGCTTTACTTTTTAAAAAAATTGTGGTAAAATATATATGACATAAAATTTATCATTTAACTATTTTAAGTGTACAGTTCTGTGGTATTAGGTATATTCAGATTGTTGTACAACCATCACCACCATCCATCTCCAGAACATTTTTATCTTCCCAAACTGAAATTCTGTACCCATTAAACAATAATGGGTTTGTAAAACAATAATGGCCGAGAATTTCCCCATTCTCTCTTCACCCCAACCCCTGGTAAGCACAATTCTACTTTCCGTCTCTATAAATTTGACCACTATAGGTATCTCATGTAAGGGGAATAATAAAATATTTGTCCTTTTTGTATCTGGCTTCTTCCACTCAGCATGTTTTCAAAGTTCATCCATGTTATAACATATTTCAGAATTTCATTCTTTTAAATTCTGCTTTACTTTTATAACTACTGTTAATTAGAACACTCAGGCAAAGAAATATCCCTTACCATCCTGAAGGTGCCATTTGGGAAAAAGAAAAAAAACCCAAACCATTGGCTCTGATATAAAGATCAAATATGAAATCATCTGCAAATGAAAATGGTCAAGATTTGTACATTATTCCCTCTCTGACCATGATGGTTACATCTCTTAGAAACTCTTTATTAATAGAATTCACGGTTGAAGAACAGAAGATCTTGTGTGAAAAGGGACCAAAATAATGAATGAAGCTACGAAAGCCCTTATGCATATTCATCTCAACTAAAATTAAACCAGCAAATACACTACACTAAATAAACCAGCCATGGCATTTCCTCTCCCTGATTGCTGACAACCCAGATACTCATTGTGTCTCACAATCCCAGTTACAGGGAAAACATGACAGCTGCAACAAGATTGGAATGATTTGCACTTCAAGTTCACTCAATGTGAAACTTCTGGCAATGTCGAATAATTTGTAAACATATGTGTGAGGCCTAGAGTTTCTCTTAAGGATGAACTTGCATCCATAAAGGGATTGCTATATCCCTAGAATCTTGGGATCCACATGCATGAGCTGGTGAGTGAAGCACTTGCCAACATCAATATCCATCAAAGAGCACCAAGAAAGGCCTACCCCACTCTGGGATCACTGGTCAGGTCTAAGATGCTGTGACATGAGTCCAACTGATCCTAAGTGTTCAGGACAAACTACTTTGCTAGTGTCCACAGGCCACAAAACAATAAGCGGTCAACTTCTTTTAAGAATAGGCGACTTGGATTTTTTTCAAGACAACCTCAGTGTTTTGAGCTACTAAGCAAAGACATGAATAACTAAGGCCTTCATGAAGTTGCTCGGTTGCCAGTAATGCGAGGCATTTCAGTGCGTGGTTGCGGTTGCCATGTGGGTTCTTCAGAGAGTGACTCCGAGACAGAGTGCAGTGTGCAGATGTGCATCAAGAACACCCATGGGGGCAATAGCTGTGGAAGGGAATGGAAAGAAACAGGAGTGGACAGAGGAGACGTCCACTTGTGTTGCAGCCTTAACTGACACCCCCAACCACCACCCTGGAGCTGAGCAGCCTGTCAAGAGTTGTCTTGCATTGAGTCACTATGGCCAAGTCACCACATGCCACACTGCATGATGTGAGCTGCCCCTGGCAGGGCATAACCTTGGAGAAGGCATCTCTCCACAACTGAGGCAATCTCTGAAGCTGTCTACTGACAGCATGCCCACCAACTGGGGCAACAAGTGGGGGGCGCATCTCCATGTCCACCAGAATCACTTACGGGACCATTTTCACTCAGTTAAAAAATTATTGTTAAGTTTCTCTAAGGGGAACACATTAACAGGAATAGAGAAAAGCTTCTGGTATCCATTATCTCCAGCTTCCCTCAGTTTAGCAGCACCTTTCTAGCATTAAGGAGTTGAGAATGTGTTTGGGAATCTCTCAATTCTCTTGGCTGGGTTAGGAGGGGAATGATGTGTTATTTTAACTGGAGTGAGGGTAAATCATGTTCAATGAACAGGAAAGAGGAGGAAAGTTGTTACAATTTGTGAGGAATGATTTGGATATATTAATAATACTGATAAAATTTTGCTTTTCAAAACTGAGAGAAAATTAATCACCCTATATTTGTGGGTTAATAGGTGGGTGATGAGATGGGATCAACTTAGAGTTTAAAAGCATAATTTTTTTTTTTTTTTTTTTTGAGACGGAGTCTCGCTCTGTCACCCTGGCTGGAGTGCAGCGGGGCCATCTCTGCTCACTGCAAGCTCCGCCTTCTGGGTTCACGCCATTCTCCTGCCTCAGCCTCCCGAGTAGCTGGGACTACAGGCGCCCGCCACCGTGCCCGGCTAATTTTTTTGTCTTTTTAGTAGAGACGGGGTTTTGGCCGGGCGCTGTGGCTCAAGCCTGTAATCCCAGCACTTTGGGAGGCCGAGGTGGGCGGATCACAAGGTCAGGAGATCGAGACCATCCTGGCTAACACGGTGAAACCCCGTCTCTACTAAAACTACAAAAAATTAGCCAGGCATGGTGGCGGGCGCCTGTGGTCCCAGCTACTCGGGAGGCTGAGGCAGGAGAATGGCGTGAACCCGGGAGGCAGAGCTTGCAGTGAGCCAAGATCGTGCCACTGCACTCCAGCCTGGGTGACAGAGCAAGACTCCGTCTCAAAAAAAAAAAAAAAAAAGAGACGGGGTTTCACCGTGTTAGCCAGGATGGTCTCGATCTCCTGACCTCGTGATCCACCCACTTCGGCCTCCCAAAGTGCTGGGATTACAGGCGTGAGCCACCACGCCCAGCCAATTTTTTAAGTCTTTAAAAAGTTTTGGGCTCATGCCTGTAATCCCAGCACTTTGGGAGACTGAGGTGGAAAGATCACTTGAGCCCAGGAATTTGAGACCATACAGGGCAACATAGTGAGACTCCGTCTCTAACAAAAACAAAAAATTAGCAGGGTGTGGTGGTGCACACCTGTAGTCCCAGCTACTTGGGAGGCTGAGGCAGGAGGATTGCTTGATCCTGGGAGGTACAGGCTGCAGTGAGCTGTGATCATGCCACTGCACTCCAGCCTGGGCAATAGAGCAAGGTTCTGTCTCAAAGTAAATAAATAAATAAAACAAAAAATAAAAAAATTTGTTGTATGAAGATTTTCAAACACGTAAAAACAGGGAGAGTAATATAAGAAATTCCTATGTGCTCATCATTCTGATTCAAAAATTATAAACACAAGGTCAATCTTGTTTCATCCATATTTCTAGCCACTCCTCTCCCCCGGTGAATTATTTTGGAACAAATCCCAGACAACATAATATTTCACCCGTAAATATTTCCGTATGTAGGTCTAAAATATAAAGAATCGACAAACCCACAATAACATTAACATATTGAAAAACTGAACTTGATTTTTATCAAATACCCATTCAGTAATTGCTGTGAATTCCCTATGGTCCTAAAAATATTTTTGGACTGTTTGTTAGAATCAGAACCCAAATAAGATCCATACATTAAAATTGATTATGTCTCTTTTTTTTAATTCATGGGTTTTCCTTTTCATCTCATTTTTTATTCCTTGCAATTTACTTGTCAAAAAAACCAGTTGTTTTTCCTATAGAATTTCCCATGGCCTGGAATTTGCTGATTATGTCCCCAACGTGTTGTTTAACATGTTCCCTTTTTCTTGTAGTTTCTGTAACTGATAGTGAGGCCACGAGGCTTGATGACAATCAGGTTTGATTTTTTTTTTTTTTTAGCAAGACTATAGGTGGTTGTGTTTACTTTCATTGTGCAGTTGGTAATATCTAGCTGTCTCCTTTTTGTGATATTAGTATCTGTTGGTGATCATTGCCTATGCAGAGTAATTCATAGGGGTTGCAAAGTGATACTCCTCTGATTCTCATTCTTTTTTATATGAGCTGAAATACTTCTATGAAGAGAAACTTCTTGTCAATAGTTTGTACAATTAAAATACATAAGTAAATATATATTTTTATGTAAGTAAATAAGTAAACACACACACATATAATTGGAGTACTTTTTTTAGGAATGGCAGGATAAAGTCTTTATTCTTCTTTTATTTATTTATTTATTTATTTATTTTGAGATGGAGTTTGGCTCTTGACCCCCAGGCTGGAGTGCAGTGATGTGATCTTGGCTCACTGCAACCTCTACCTCCTGGGTTCAGGCAGTTCTCATGTCTCAGCCTCCCAAGTAGCTGGGATTACAGGTGCCTGCCACCACGCCCAGCTAATTTTTGTATTTTTGGTAGAGACGGGGTTTCACCATGTTGGCCAGGCTTGTCTTGAACTCCTGACCTCAGGTGATCCACGTGCCTCGGCCTCCCAAAGTGCTGGGATTACAGGTGCGAGCTACCACGCCTGGCCTGTCTTGATTCTTCTTAAAAATTTTACCAATTTTCAAAACAGTCATAGAAGACATTTCCAGGTGTCTTCTAAAGTAATCAAATTAGTCAAGTATCTATGTTTTAAAGTCACTTTATCATAGGCTTAAACTACACAATTTAGGTTCAAATGCGTCATTTGGTTTTATGTTCTTCAGATTTAACAAAATGAAGAAAAGTGCGCTATCATTTCTCTAAAAAAGGTATTTGCTTGAATATTTTTTCAAAATTAGAAGGATAAATCATTTTAAAAAGAGATTACTTATGGGGCAGAATGAACTAGCATGAGGGGAAAAGAATAGAGGCATATTTTTATAGATTTGACTTGAGAACCATGTTCACATTTTACATAATTACAAGACAATATTAAATTAAAGAAAAAGCAGTCCCTAAAACTCAAAAGAACCTAACTTTTGAAGATTGCTTCTACCTCTTCAGAACTGGGAGGCCCTTACTTAGTAGGTTACATAACCTCAATAAGCCCCAACTAACTCATCTCTAAAATTTGGGATAATTTTAATGATTTTCCCTTTGCTTTAATAAGCAGATTAAATAATGTGCACTAAATACACTTAACACAGTACCTGGCACAAAGCAAGAGTCCAAAATATTTTAGCTATTATTTGTAACCCTAGAACTCATAGCAGAGTAATTTGGAAGCACGTATTCTTTTTGTGGAAAGAGTCTCCCTGAGATCCTTTTAAGTATTGAGATCTCTCAAGATATTTAAATATTTTATTCACAAAAATTTAGTTTTTTAGAAATGGGTCCTACAGCCTCAAGAAGAGGAGCTGTGGTCTCTACTAGCCCAGCACAGAGAATCTGCCAAGGGCCGATTGTAACTCCAGTGAAGAGGAGGCAAAGGAGCTTCCTGCCTCCTTGAAAGGAAAGAAGCTTCTAGAATTCCACACCTAGGAGACAAGGGCTTTCCTTGGTGGGGAAAGTGCGACCTGGCTGGAAGGAGTCTTCCTTTCACAAGGGCCTTGGCCCAGCCAGGACAGTTTTTCTTCGTGCATGTTTGTCCTCCATTACTTACATACTTACGAGTGTAGTCTCTTCCTGTCGTGAGTCTGAAGGGAGTCCATATATGGTTGGTAGGGACATTCCTGAGAGGCTTTTCCCACACTAGGATGTCTAGCAATAACTATAGATCAAACTGAATTGGAGGCACATAAAAATGTCCCACTAAACCCAGACTAAATGTGATTAGACCCAACTCATGCTTCCTTTACCTGGATCCTGAAATTGCTCCCAGACACCAAAAACCATGGACACAGGGAAAGGGGCATGTAGGGGAAGCAGACAGTAGCTATAAGCAGTTACAGTTAAGATACTATGCCTTTGAAAATTTGTTAAAATAGGACCATGGAAACGCATTATTACGGAACCTCCCGTGGCATTGGAGGGGCCTCTGAAAATGAGTGATGTCATGTAAGCTTTGTTGGCTTCATGGTAAATCTGCCTCTGCTAATCAGGAAAGCTCAGTTTTCAGAAAGGCTTTCTGGGAAATCCATTTATAGAACAGAGCCTCCTCTCTGGATTTATTAGTTTGTGGATTGAGGTATTTCTGTGATTCGTTTTCCAAAAATGGAGAGACACCTGCGTTTAAGAGCTAAAAACTTTGCATGATAGTTGACGGGGCCAAGTGCCAGAGGTTGGGCGGCAAGGAGGTGCAGTGAAAACATCAGCTAATTCCAGAATAGTTCTGAGGTACCATAGCCATGGCAAGGCAGGCCCTAGGGGGCCAGGTCTGAGCAGAGAGGCAGCACCCTAGGAAGCAGACATACCCCAGACACAGAGTGAGGGACTGCTAATGACCCACAGCAGTTAACAAGGTCTACAGTGGCAGGAGGGAAGCTTCCTGAACAACCCACACTTCCAAACCCCACGCCACACATCCTCATTCTCATCTCCATCCCCATGTCTCCACCCCCTCACTCCTACTAGAGAGCTATATTTTCACTGGGCGGGTTGAACTGGAGAATGTTGGATGTGTTCCCATTATGGCCTCACTGATATCCCCTCTGTTATCATGCCTTGGGCCCCAAGCCAGGAGAAGCACCTGGTGTAATTCTATTTATCCCTAGATCCTTAATATCCCCCGGGAGTGTCAGGATTCCTCATTCCAAAGGCTGCATGTATGAAGGGTGTTATTGCAAATTGCTCATCTCAGACCTGGGCCCAGGCTTCTGTTTTACATTTTAATAAATGGCTAAATGGTTAGCTTAGGTTGGATCAATTAAAATCATAGCATTCTTAATTTCACTTAAAGGTAGCCTCTTAGAAAATGAATGATTTCAGAAAATCAGGATGTGACGAATGAATTAATTGGAAGTTATTATTAGAATTAATGAAGCTTTCAGAACTGCCTTTTCGAGCTCTGTAACAAACTCTCTTTTGTTTGAATTTCAAAAGTCACCCCACAACATGGCCCAAAGTTCCTTAGATGTGTATCTCTGTAATGAACAGGAGGTTTGAAAAAGTGCCCTGCTTCTGCAGCAGACTTTAACGCTTTTCAAGATGGAAAGTTTTTTAGCTTTCAAAAGAACAACCACCACCGTTTCCCTCTTTAATGCTCATCCCTCCAACAGAAACACACAGTGAAAGAAGGAATCAGTTGGGTGGACTCTTAATGGCTTCCTGGGGTTGTAGTGTCATTGTGAGACAGAGAGGACCTTCAGAAAAAAAAAAAGGTGAGATCGAGTTCATATTTTCATAAGGAAGGAATATAATAATGTTTGCCCATATGCAAGACTTTGTGAAGTGTATATGTTGCTGCAGAAATGAATCACATAATCACTACACTTACATAATTATTTGTGCAATAGTTGATTTCCCCACTAGATTATAAACTTCATGTGGACAAGGCTAAATTTTTTCTAGTTCACCTCTACATCCCTAGACTCTAGCACTTAGATGCCAAAAATATACATTGAATAAACACTATTGAGGTCCCAAAGAGTGATTTAAAAAAAAAAAAAAGCTAAGGCTCACATTTAAAATATAGATATTATGGTAGGAAAGAAAATGCACTATTTTTGTAAATAATTTTTTATTTTGAAATAATTTCAAACTTAGAAAAAAGTTTTAAAAGTTATACCAAGAACTACTGGATACTCTTTGTTCGAATTCCCCAAAGTTTAACATTTGCCACATTTGCTTTTATATGTATGAGAGTAAGTTGCAGGCATATGCTCTTTTACTCCTCAATATTTCAGTATGTAATTCCTAAGAACAAAGACCTTCTCTTACATAACCACCAAACAGATGTCAAAATCAGGAGATTAATAGCAAGGCAATATTATTATCTAATCCATAGACCTCATTCAACATTTGCTAGTTACCTTAATAATATCTACACAGTAATAGAAAAATAATTTTTAAATATTACATGTTGATTAAATGCAACATGTAATCCTGGATTAGATATTTTAAAATTATTTAAAATATTATTTAAAATTATTGCTCTTAATCAGCATGTAATCTCTTTAGTCTTCTTCAATCCGTAATGGTTCTTCAGTCTTTCTTAGTCCTCCATGACCTTGACATTTTTGAAAAGTAGAGGCCAATTATTTTGTAGGATGTCTTTCAATTCAGGTATATTTGATGTTCCTTTGTGATTAAGTTCAGATTTTGTGTCTTTGGCAGGATTACCAGGAAAGTGATGCTGTGTGTTTTGCATTGCACCATATCAAGAGTCACGTATGGGCTGGGTGCAGTGGCTCACGCCTGTAATCCCAGAAATTTGGGAGACTAAGGTGGGTGAATGGCTTGAGTTCAGGAGTTTGAGACTAGCCTGGGCAACACGGTGAAACCCTGTCTCTACAAAAAAATACAAAAGTTAGCCAGGTGTGGTGGCACGCACCTGTAGTCCCAGCTACTCAGAAGGCTACGGTGGAAGAATCATCTGATCCCAGGAGGTGGAGGCTGCAGTAAGCTGTGATTGAACCACCCCTGTCTCAAAAAAAAAAAAAAAAAAAAAAGTCACATATGTTAGTCTGTTCCATTGCTGGTGATACTAACCTGGATCACTGGGACAAGCTGGTGTCTCCCAGATTTCTCCACTGTAAAGCTACAATTTTCTTCTTTATAATTAGTAAGTATTTTGTGAGGAAATACTTTGAGATCATGCAAATATCCTGTTCCTTATCAAATTTTCACCCATAACTTTCGCATCCATTGATAATTCTTGCTTAAATTATTACTATGATACTTGCCAGTTAGTGAATGTCTACTCTATCATTCATTCTGCATTTCTTAGTTGGCATTCCCTTCTAGGAAAGCTGTTCTCTTTTTCTCCTATTTACTTGTTAATGTATTTCTTTATATTAGCATGAACTTGAATGATTATTTCAGTCATTGGAATTATAATCTGTTAATATCATTACTTATTTGATATACATATTCTCCCAGATTAGGCTGGCCCTCAGGCTCTTTTGACACGTGCTGTTGTTTTTGAGCATTCCCTTTCTCCCTGAGATAAGAAGGTGATCCAGGCTGAAACTCAATCTTCTCTGCACAGTCCTGGAATCAGCCATTCTCTCAGGAGCCCTAGCTCCTTTTAGTGGAGAATGGTCTCAAATTTACTTTTAAAATAAAAAACGAAGACAAAATAGATAATACAAAACTATTCAGCAAATACAATAGATATTAAACAAAAATCTACTCTGACCTATGCCATTGTCAGTTACACAAGAGGGACACAAAGCTTGATTCATTAAGATAGTCTATTATAGGTTAGATATATAGAAATATATAAATGAAGCAGAATAGGCCAGGCATGGTGGCTCACACCTGTAATCCCAGCACTTTGGGAGGCCGAGGCAGTAGGATCACTTGAGCGCAGGAGTTCAAGACCAGCCTGAGCAACATATCAAGACCTCATCTCTATTTAAAAAAAAAAGTTAAGTGAAATAGAATGGAGCTACTATAAATTCATCTTGGCATAGCATATGTCAGACCTCAGAATTATTTTTTTGTTGTTGTTGAGACAGAGTTTTGCTCTTGTTGCCCAGGCTGGATTGCAATGGTGTGATCTTGGCTCACTGTAACCTCTGCCTCCCGGGTTCAAGTTATTCTCCTGCCTCAGCCTCCCAAGCAGCTGGGATTACAGGCATGCACCACTAGGCCCAGCTAATTTTTTTGTATTTTTAGTAGAGACGGGATTTTGCCATGTTTGCCAGGCTGGTCTCAAACTCCTGACCTCAGGCGATCCACCTGCCTTAGCCTCCAGGGTTGGGATTATAGGCGTGAGCCACCGCGCCCAGCCCAGACTTCAGAATATTATATATGAGGCATTACAGTGAACTATTCAATTAATTGTATTAATTTTTTTAATATTAATCAACTGAATTCCTTACAATTCAAAAAATTATACTATCAATGTATTTCTTTGTTTTTTTTTAACTTTTTCTTTTTTTGATGTTTCTCTCTTTCTTTTTTTTTTTTTCTTTTTTTGATTTCTTTTTAGAGATAGGGTCTTGCTATGCTGCCCAGGCTGGTCTTGAACTCCTGGGCTCAAACAAACTGCCCACCATGGCCTCCCAAAGTGCTGGGATTGCAGGCATGAGCCACCATGCTCAGCCTATGCTCTCCATATACTAAAGCTTCAGTTATGAAAACAAAACTTTAGAATTATTAGACAAAGTTTAGAAAAATATATTTAGAATACAGAGATAGTGTGAGATTTATGCTATGGTTTGAGTGTGTGTGTCCCGCCAAAATTCATATGTTAGAACTTAAACCCCAAGGTGATACTGTTAAAAGATGCAGCCTGTTGGGAAGTGATTACATCAGGAGCGCTCAGCCCTCATGATTAGATTAGTGCTCTTACAAAAGAGGTTTGGAGGGAGCGCTGTAGTGCCTTTGTCTTTCCATCTCTTCGGCCATGTGAGGACACATAGAAGGAACCATTCATGAGGAACTGCCCTCACTAGACACCTACTGGTGCCTTGATCTTGGACCTCCCAGCCTCCAGAACTGTGAGAAATAAATTTGTTTTTTATAAATTACCCAGTCTAGAGTAGTTTGTTATAACAGCACGAGTGAACTAAGACAATTTCCTAAATAAGCACAAAGTACATACCAGTTCATAATTGTTACATCTTTTTTTTTTTTTTGAAACAGAGTTTCGCTCTTGTCACCCAATCTGGAGTGCAATGGCACGATCTTGGCTCACTGCAATCTCTGCCTCCTGGGTTCAAGTGATTCTCCTGCCTCAGACTTCCAAGTATCTGGGATTACAGGCGCCCACCACCATGCCTGGCTAATTTTTTAATTTTTAGTAGAGACCAGGATTCACCACATTGGCCAGGCTGGTCTCGAACTCCTGACTTCAGGTGATCCACCTGCCTCGGCCTCCCAAAGTGCCGGGAATACAGGCATGAGCCACTGCGCCCGGCCTGTTACATCATTTTGGTGGACTATTTCTTTTATTATTGTACATTGATCTTTGTCTTAGACCATTTTGTGCTACCATAACAAAATACCACATTAGGGATATACCACATTAGGGCTGGTCATACAGAATATAAAGAAAAATGAATGGGATATTTTGAACATAGATATAATAAACTGTTTATAATCCAATAATTGTTTGTTACAGATTTTCAAACTAGAAGTGGAAAAGCTACTGAAGCATCTTACAAGGTAAGTCATCATATTACATTGCCCAGAAAAGTACATACAGTAGTAGAGAGATTAATAACAACTTGTATAGTTGACATTGCTAAATGCCTGCTGGATGAAAAGTCATTAAAAGAAATTATAGGCCAAGAGTGGTGGCTCGTGCCTGTGTTAAAAGAAAAACCTTAGCCAAATTACATTTAAAAGAGTTCAATTGAGCAAAGAATGATTTGTGAATCGAGCAGCCTCCCAAACCAGAGCAGGCTCAGAGACTCCAGCGCAGCCACATGGTAGAAGGTTTATGGACAGAAAAAGGAAAGTGATGCACAGAAAATGGAAATGAGGCACAGAAACAGCCAGATTGGTTATAGCTCCGCATTTGCCTTATTTGAACACGGTTGCCTTATTTGAACAGTTGGCCACATTTGATTGGCAAAAACTCAGTGACTGGCACAAGAGTAGGCCACAGCCAGTTTACAATTCCATTTAGGTTATAGTTCATGATGTACAGAGAAACCTTTAGGCTGAACCTAAAATATGTAAGGATGGCCGGGCGCGGTGGCTCACACCTGTAATGCCTGCACTTTGGGAGGCTGAGGCAGGTGGATCACCTGAGGTCAGGAGTTCAAGACCAGCCTGACCAATATGGCGAAACCCCATCTCTACTAAAAATACAAAAATTAGCCAGGAGGGGCGGTGCGCACCTGTAGTCCCAGCTACTCAGAAGGCTGAGACAGGAGAATTGCTTGAACCCAGGAGGTGGAGGTTGCAGTGAGCCGAGATCGTGCCACTGCACTCCAGCCTAGGCGACAGAGTAAGGCTCCATCTCAAAAAAAAAAACAAAAACAAAAAACCAACCAACCAACCAAACAAACAAAAATCAATATGTAAGGAGGTAGCTTCAGGCTAAACTTAACACCTGTAATCCCAGCACTTTGGAAGACTGAGGTGGAGAATTGCTTGAGCCCAGGATTTTGAGACTAGCCTGGGCAACATCGTAAGACCCAGTATCTACAAGGAATTTAAACAATTAGCTAGACGTGGTGGCATGCACTTGTGCTCCTGGCTACTCCAGAGGCTGAGGCAGGAAGATCACTTGAGCCCAGGAGGGTGAGGCTGCAGTAAGCTGTGATCATGCCACTGCACTCCAGCCTGGGTGACAGAACAAGACCCTGTGTAAAAATAAAAAAGAAAAAGAAAAAAGAAATGACATAACTGCCACTTTTCAATGATGTGGTAACTCCAAGTCAAGAATTAGCTGCAAACATAAAGACTAAGTGAATATCTCCTCTGTAAAATTGAACTTTTGCCTTAAAATGAGGAAATCTATGCGTGTGCCTTGGTTTGCAACTTTTGCTTGCGTTCGTTCAGGTTCAGCACCAACCTATCATCAAAGATTGATGATGTATATGTGGATGTGGATGCAATGAACACAGTGGTGCTGAAATGTTCAAAAGGTTGAATAATTTTTTTGAATTGCCTGGTTTATCCTGCAACAACTATGTTAACAACTGTGCTGATGGTGCAAAAGCAATGGTTTATAAAACTGCTGTTGTCTTAGCACAAATCAAGGCAGTGGTGCCAAACTCTCCTAGTGGTCATTATATTCTTCACCACCAAGCAGTTGCAGGGGATAAAAAGCAGTTTCGCTGAAGAATATCCTTGATGAAGAAGTGAAAAATATGAATTTTATGAAATTTCATCCCTAGAGTACAGGTCTTTTTAATATTCTCTGTTGAATAGGAAGTACGCATAGAGCACTTATGCCGCATACCAAAGTATGAGAGCTGTTTCGAGGAAAAGCACTCGTGAGATTGTTTGACGTGAGAGGCGGCCTCGCCTCTTTACCTAAGGAACACCAGTTGAAAGAATGGCTGACAGGCCAACTTTGATTATTCAGATTTAGGTATTTGGCAGACACTAACAAATGAACAAAGCAAGTCTGTTTGACAGGAGTTCTTTGTGAACCATTTGTTGACAATGATAAAATTCACACCCCGCTGAAAAACTTAGAGTCTTGGAAAACTTGTATCTGTCCCCACGAGCATGGCAGCTTCTCAATACTTAAAGATTTCTGATGAGATCGGTGATGATACTAATGGCTATGACTTTTTAACAGTCTTGTTTAATTAAATATGTCAACATTTAGAATATCTGCATACTTCTGTGAACCAATATTTTCAAATGGGTGATGCATGATGTTACAATATCATACATGGGTGAAAAAAATCCATTCAAAGTACAAGATAAATCAATAGATTTTAATGTAACTGAGTATGAAAAGTTGATTATTGTGGTTTGAAAATCTAAACTATGACTAACCTTTAAAAAATTACCACCTGTCAAGTTTGTGCACAATATCAAAGAAGAATTTCCTCAATCATCTCAAAAGACTATCAAAATATTCCTCCCATTTCTAATGACTTATCTGTGTCTGTGGATTTTCCTAATATACTTCACTCAAAACTCCATTTTATAACAATTTGAATCCAGAAGCAGATATGAGAATCCAGTTGTTTTAAGCCAAACATGAAAAAGATTTTTGTAAAAATATAAAACAGTGCTTCTTTTCTCATTAAAATTTTTTAGAGTTTGAGGCTGGGTGCAGTGGCTCACACCTGTAATCCCAGCACTTTGGGAGGCCGAGGCAGGCAGATCACTTGAGGTCAGCAGTTCGAGACCAGCCTGGCCAACATGGTGAAACCCCGTGTCTACTAAAAATACAAAAATTAGCCAGATGTAGTGGCATGTGCCTATAATCCCAGCTACTTGGGAGGCTCAGGCAGGAGAATCACTTGAACCCGGGAAGCAGAGGTTGCAGTGAGCCAAGATCACGCCACTGCACTCCAGCCTGGGCAACAGAGTGAGATCTGTCTCAAAAAATAAATAAATAAATAAATAAATTTGGAGTTTGAAAAATGTAGTTCTTTTTCATAAAAATATGTTATTTATGTTAACATATAATGGGCTTATATTGTTATTTCTAAATAAATAATACATATATTTAAAATGTCTCAGCTTTAATTTTAATATAATAAATATCAATAGATATAATCCATATAACAATATCTCTTTAGGGTCCTCAAATTTCAAGAGTTATTTAAGGGGCCCCGAGTCCAAAAATTCTGAGAACCACTAGATTTGAGTAAGGGGGACAGATGAGTTTTGGAAGTTTGAAGAGGCAAGAAAAGACATGTGGTAATTCTGATTGTTTAGTAGAGTAGGAAAGTGACTGGCTTAGGCAATGTAGTAGGATTGATGTGGCAGTGCGGTTTTCTTCAGCGACATTCAAGTACCTAAGAGCAGGCTTGGAACAGGTGAAGACTTGATTTTAACACAGATTGGCTTTGCCAGGCTGGTGAAAAAAAAAGGAAGAGTAGGGTAAGGGGATTTTGTATACACAAGGGCATGATTACGGTGCTGTTTGGTGGAATCTAATCTGGGTGATTAAATTAGTCTAAACTAAACTGGGTGATTAGATTAGAAAAGACTGGAAGGCATGAAGGAGGAGAGGCATAGTGGAAACTGTGACATATAATGAATTGTAGGCTCTGATTAGGTGGCAGAATGCTGGAGTTGGGGCTGTCGGTAGAGTACGCTGGAAGGACAGAAGCTAGAGATCCAAGAGTGGGATGCTTACATTTTACATCGTGGAGGGGGTGCAACTATGTTCATGGGTCCAGCACATGACAATGGGAGTGGGTAGCTGAGCTAGCATGGAGGACAAGATCACAGGAGAAGAGAGATCAAGAAACTTGGGAGGATCATCTCCACCCAGGGCTGATATCACCTGGTAGGATCAGTATGTCCATTTCAGTTGTTAAGATGTTAAAATTCTTTCATATCAGTTGGTTAAATGGCCACTGCTTAAGACCCATGAGTGCTCCTCCATTGCCTTGGCTACCCTGGCTCCTGTCCCTGGACCCAGGACCTCCCTAAGATCTGACCCAGCAATTAAAGGGTAATACCATGCCCAGCAGGAGGCCCTCCAGAGGACTGACATTACTTCTGATTGGTCACTGCCTGTGCTTTAACTGAACATTGCCCCTATTTCCATGAATATTGAAATCACCAAGAACTGAGACTGACACAGTGTTGGAGAGAGAGACAATGAACGCAGGCTAAAATCCTCAAGGAGCAAAGACCCAGAGCTCTGAAGAAGGCAGTGCTATTGTCTGAGGCTAGGAGCTTCAGAGCTGGGGATTTTCAGAGAAGGAGAACAAAGGTCTGGAACTCTTAGCGGGGAAGAAGCAGACACCTAGCCCACTTCTGAGTCGAGTGGTAGGAGGGTGTAGGAGAGAAAGCAACCATCAGTTGTGAGGGCTACAGAAGAGATAAGATTCTGGGAGGAGAACCACATTTCAAGAAGGCAAAAGGAACTTTCAGAGAAGAGATTAAAGGTGGAGAGCAGTGCAGGACCCAACAACTACTGTGTAATATCCCTCAGTATTCTGAAATGGAGTTCAGAGATAATTTACCCTGCATACATACATGATTTTATAAAGTGAATCTAACACCCAAGTGTCGTATAAAGGATAAATAAAAGGAGAGGTTTTTGAATTAAATAATGTGTATTTCAACATAGAAAAGCTTGGAAATGCCCCCAGTCAGTGTTAGGATAAAGTAGTGATATTCTTGCATTTGTATACAGAATCACCATGGATGATGGACACCCACAAATGCAGACAGATACTGTGGTATTGCATTGATAACTCAAATACTATGAGCTACTTTGCCTTTGGTGATGTGATTTTTTCCAAAATAACAAGCAACTCCTGGTAAAGTTTCAAATGTAATAAAGTACAATCTTCTCTTGATTTACATAGTAATTGCACTCTTGGAAAATTCAGCATATATTAAAACCATGCAAAAATGTCTCAGTTTATATGGAAAATAGAGTCAGATTCTAGCCTCAAATAACTATAATTGAGTTTTTCACCCACATGAATGTCTAGCAAACATTTGAAAATCATATAGTTTATGAAACAATTCTTCATATATAGGACTGTCTTATGATCACAGAACATCTAGCATCCTTGGTTCCCACCCATTTAATGACAGTCATGCTTTGCAATCACCCTATTTAAAATATTCCCACAAATTTCCAGAGTTTTCCCTAAGGATCAGCACCAGACCTGCTGAATCCCCAGTGCAGGAGAATGAACAAACGCATGGTCCCAGGGGTGCACTGTATATCTGGCAGTTGAGAAAGGGTGGGTGTTGGGGTCATTTGGGGAGGAGCCCTGCAGAGAGTTGCAAATCTGTGACGCACAGTCTCTGTTCCAGAGGGCCTGCCAATCTGGTGAGCAGATGACAGAGGAGTCTTTTAAGGGCATTGAAATGGATAGTTTTGACATTTTGTGCTGCTGTAACAAAATACCGCAGACCAAGCAATTTGTAAACAATTGAAGTTTATTTGGCTCACGGTTCTGGAGGCTGGGAAGTCCAAGATCAAGGGGCTGCATCTGCATCTGGCAGCCTTCTTGCTGTGTCATAACGTGGTAGAAGGCATCACATAGTAGAAGGCGTCACATAGCAAGTGAGTGTGTGCGTGCATGAGAGAACAACAGATTGAACTCACAGCCTCAAGCCCTTTTATAATCAGTGCTTAATCCATTCACAAGGTTGGAGCCCTTGTGACCTAAACACCTCCAATTAGACCCCACCTCCCAACACTGTTGCATTGAGGATTAAGTTTCCAACACGTGCGTTTGGGGGGACACATTCAAATCATAGCAGTTATATAAACCTAAGTTTTTAAATTTATTTTAATAATACAAAAAATTCCAGGAAGACCCACAATAGCAACACTTTTAACAGGACCACTCAGTCAAGCCCTTCTGGATTTTATAAGCATTCCCTTGTTGATTCAGGTTTTAAAATATCACACAGAAGCTTTTCTGCATGAAAAGGGATACTTACAGTTGCTTGGTTTTCACTGATATTTCAATGTAAAAAAATTACATTGGTATTTCAATGTAATAAAGTTGTAAGTTTAAACTATACCTTTTTCATAAGCCTTAAAGCTCAGTGTACCAATCTAGTTAATTTATTCACAAATCTAGTCATTTTGTATAAAAATAACATCACTTTCATTTGTCCTTTAATTAATGTTCGGTTAAGTTTTAAAAATAATATTTCCTTAAATAATTAACCCCATTTAACCATCATGGTTAATTAAATCCCTTTAAATTTTAGGCCAGGTGCAGTGGTTCACGCCTGTAATCCAAGCACTTTGGGAGGCCGAGGCAGGTGGGTCATTTGAGGTCAGGAATTTGAGACCAACCTGGCCACCATGGTGAAACACCATCTCTACTAAAAATACAAAAATTAGCCAGACTTGGTGGTGCGTGCCTGTAATCCCAGCTACTTGGGAGGCTGAGGCACCAGAATTGCTTGAACCTGGGAGGTGGAGGTTGCAATGAGCTAAGATCACACTGCTACACTCCAGCCTGGGCAACAGAGCAAGACTCTGTCTCAAAACAAAAACAAAAATAAATAAACTAATAAATAAATTTTAAATTATAATCCCAAATTTAATATACAGTTGACCCTTGAACAACCCAGGTTTGAACAACAAGGATCCCCTTAAAAAATATAAATTTTTTTCAATAAAAGTTACATCAAGTGTGCCTACCTCTCCTACCTCCTCTTCTACCCCATCTGCTTTTCCCACCTCTGCTATCCCTAAGACAGCAAGACCGACACTTCCTCTTCCTCCTCCTCTGCTTCCTCAACATGAAGACAAGGAGGATGAAGCCCTTTATGATGATCCACTTCCACTTAATGAATAGTAAATATATTTTCTCTTCCTTATGATTTTCTTTTTTTTTTTTGAGACGGAGTTTTGCTCTTGTTGCCCAGGCTGGAGTGCAATGGCGCCATCTCTGCTAACTGCAACCTCCACCTCCCGGGTTCAAGCAATTCTCCTGCCTCAGCCTCCCAACTAGCTGGGATTACAGGCATGTGCCACCATGCCCAGCTATTTTTGTATTTTTAGTAGAGATGGGGTTTCACCATGTTGGTCAGGCTGGTCTTGAACTCCTGACCTCAGGTGATCCGCCCACCTTGTCCTCCCAAAGTGCTGGGATTACAGGCATGAGCCACCATGCCCAGTCCCTTATGATTTTCTTAATAACATTTTCTTTTCTCTAGCTTACTTTACTGTAAGAAAAATGATAAATTCATGTCCTTTGTAGGGACATGGATGAAACTGGAAACCATCATTCTCAGCAAATTATCACAAGGACAAAAAACCAAACACCGCATGTTCTCACTCATAGGTGGGAATTGAACAATGAGAGCACATGGACACAGGAAGGGGAACATCACACTCCGGGGACTGTTGTGGGGTGTGGGGAGAGGGGAGGGTTAGCATTAGGAGATATACCTAATGCTAAATGACGAGTTAATGGGTGCAGCACACCAGCATGGCACATGTATACATATGTAACAAACCTGCACATTGTGCACATGTACCCTAAAACTTAAAGTATAATAATAATAAAATTTTAAAAAAAGAATATGGTATATAATACATGTAATGTACAAAATATGTGTCAATGGACTGTTTGTTATCAGTAAGGTTTCTGGTCAATAGTTGGCTATTGGTACTTAAGTTTTTGGAGAGTCAAAAGTGGTACACAAATTTTTCACTGTGCAGGGAGTCCCTGACTCCCATGTTGTTCAAGGGTCCAACTGTAACTGATTATCTCAAGCATATCAAATACCCTAGAAGGCTGACTTAGTCATAAGACAAACAAAACACTCTTCAGCATGGAAACTCTAGTTACAAACATAATATTCCTATAGACTTAAAAACATTTCAGTCTTTTAGACAGTCAAATACTGTTTATAAGTTAAACAACTTTCATGCATGTTTTAAAATAAAATGATGTTTAATAATAATTAAACATTACAAATTAAAATCATACAATTAATATGTCAGATTTTCTTAAATGTTTCAACCACCTGAAATAACTATTATATGCTATTTTTCTTGAGGAATTCAAAATTTATTCCTCAACAGCCCATGGAAGACTTAATCCCATAGAAGTGGGCATGTCGGCATTCAGTCATTTGCCTTCATTTCACAGTCAGTAAGTAACAGGGCCTGAATTCTAAAGCAAATGGATTTCATTTGCTTATTATCTCTGTAGTTTTTTTGTTTTGTTTTGTTTTGTTTTGTTTTGTTTTGTTTTTGAGATGGAGTTTCGCTCTTGTTGCCCAAGCTGGAGTGCAATGGTGCGATCTCAGCTCACTGCAACCTCCTCCTCCTGGGTTCAAGCGATTCTCCTGCCTCAGCCTCCAGAGTAGCTGGGATTACAGGTGCGCACCACCATGCCCAGCTAATTTTTTGTATTTTTAGTAGAGACGGGGTTTCACCATGTTGGCCAGGCTGGTCTCAAACTCCTGACCTCAGGTGATCCACCCGCCTTGGCCTCCCAAAATGCTGGGATTACAGGCGTGAGCCACTGCACCCACCTCATCTCTGTAGCTTATTATTAACTTTCCTGAGTAGCAAAGTCATTTCCTCAATTACATGAAGCAGATGTACCATCTCAGGTCAACTGATGGTCTTGGCCTGCAACTGAGGTTACAGGTTCAAGTTAGAAGTCAGAGATGCTGGCCTGCAACTGTGCTAGTACTTCCAGGCTGATGGTACCCAAGATTCAGGTTCACCTCTCTAACTCTGTCTTAAGGTTATGGGAATTTAAGTCCCCAAATTTTGTTATAACTTGGATGCTGAGTCACAAGAAGTTATTCCCGTTAGTCACATTTTTTTTCTTAATTTTATTTTTATTTCGAGATAGGGTCTTGCTT
Organism: Homo sapiens; assembly: GCF_000001405.40. Lineage (NCBI taxonomy): Eukaryota > Metazoa > Chordata > Mammalia > Primates > Hominidae > Homo > Homo sapiens. The sequence goes on along the minus strand of NC_000001.11, from coordinate 62,363,824 downwards.
GGTCACCCAGGTTGGAGTGCAGTGGCGTGATCACAGCACACTGCAGCCTCCACATCCTGGACTTAAATGATCCTCCCATCTCAGCCTCCTGAGTAGCTGGAACTATAGGTGTGCACCACCCTGCCCAGCTAATTGTTTATATTTTTTTGTAGAGACAGAGTCTTGCTATGTTGCCCAGGCTGTTCTTGATCTCCTGGCTTCAAGCAGTCCTCCCGCCTCAGCCTCTGAAAGTGGTAGGCTTAGTCAAATTTTTAAACCTTTACTGTAACTTATTTTACAACTGTGTTGCCTGATAAGATTCCACACTCTTCAAGTATTTTAATTCCTTACGTATCTCACTGATTAATTTGTATAATCATTTTATTGACACCCCTCCTTTGTGTCCCCCCTGAATCCTACACAGTCAAGCATAGCTCCTTAAACAATGGTTTCAATGTAGTCATTCAACCAAAATATATTAAGAAGTACTTTCTATGTGCCAGGCACTATTCTAGGCCCTGGGAGTACAATAGAAAACAAAACAGAAACAAAAGATTCCTGCCCTCATAGAGCTTCCTTTCTAGTGGGTCCCATTGCCTTCTCAATATCTTGAGCCATCACTTTAAGTCAGGAACTATGTTATGGGAAACCCCAGCTGGCTCAGTGCCCAGCACATAACAATAATAGTCGTAGCTAATGTTTTCAAGGGCGTACCATGAGCCCAGGGTAATTCTAAAGTCTTTGCATGTGTCTTTCATGTGTCTTTCATGTGTCTCTCATGTAATCCCTGCAATGGCCCAATGTTGGGAGGAGGTAATTTTGTAGATGAGGAAGCGGGCACCTTATCAGTCATTTGCCTTCATTTCACAGTCAGTAAGTAGCAGGGTCTGGATTCTAAACCATTTTTTTTGGCTCATATTTAATTGCTGTGCCACATCACCTTCCAGAGTAGTGTGAAATAAATGTTTGCCAAAAAAAGAAGAAAAAAATCCACGGGAAGTTCACATGGCCCTAACCAGCTGGTTACCTTGGTGTGTGTTGACAAACCGTGCGTCTCCTTCCCCCCACCCCCATGGCAGGTCTTCTGCGCTAGCTGGCTGGATGTCTGCTGCTGTTTTATTTATGTAAGATCCTTAATCTAAACCAACTGTACGCCAGGTGTTCGGAGTCAGATTCTATTAGGAAACTCTTGCCTTATATTTGGTGACGGAAAAATGGGATTTGATTAATCCATAAGGGAAAAATGATGAAGTGTCTATTGTTCATCTCCTCCTACCCCTTCCGTGGCTGACCACATGGAGAGCGGAGGAAAGATGCCCTGTGGGAAAGCCATGGGGCCTGAATGTTTGCACATCAGCCAGTGCTCAGAGAATACACAGATACGACTTTACTTGGATTCTTGGCTCCTGAAGGACATGACCAAGGTCACTAAATTAAATTCCTAATAAAGCCAAGTTAAGGAGTCCTGGCTCCCAAAGCCCACATCTGTGCTGTCCTGCAAGAGTGACAAACAGGACACTCAGTGGGCAAACAGGAAGAGTCCTTATGGCCTGAAGGGCAATAACAATGACTTTCAGCAGCCCCTAGCTGTCAGGTGTGCTGAGCTAGGCTCCTTTGCTTTGGCAAAATCTCCAGCTGGCTGTGGCACCTGCAGACACTGTCTCTTTTAAACTGTACAATAAGTTGATGAGGTCAGTAACCTTACAGGTGAGAAAACTGAGGCTCAAAGCAGGGACTCTCCTTCGTCACACCATGCTCACACTTCTGTTGAAGCACTCTTTATGCTATATCATAATAATTTTGTTCCAAAGGGGCTTTGTCAGTGACATGATTCTATGACTTAGAAACCTCAACGAGTGAGCGTTGGTGAACCTGCCATTTTGGAGCCGGGCCCGTTTTTCAGTCTTCTGTAAAATGGAAGTTGACTTCACCTTTGAAGCAGATTGTTCCTTTGCTTTGGCAAAATCTCCAGGGTGTACCCTGTAGATGTAAGGCACCAGGATATAAGCCAGGTATCCCTCCCTGGGTCTTAGGGGAAAATAGCAAACACACTATACATAGATGCTTTGGACTAGGAAGCAAATGCCTCACTTGGTGATGGAAACTGTTGGCTGCAATTGCCACAGAGCCATATCCCGGCTCTTGCTTTGTTGGGAAAAGGATAGGAACAGCTGCTTCTTGGCTATGTTCGAACAGAGCTGTCACTGGCACTGATGTGCTGCCTGCTCTTGATGGGCCTGGACCAGCTCCCACTGTTACAGAAGGTGGTGAGCGGAGGACAGAAGCCAGGTTGGCAGATTCCTGGCTCTGGGACATGTGATGGAAAATTCCAGGTGCACTTCAGTTACCTGGGGCAAATCATGCCTGCAGCTGGAGAGGGTCAGCCCTGACAGCGAGGCTTCAGCATGTAGCAAGGAAGAGTCCTTCGCCTGGAGCCCAGTGCTGCGGCTCCTCAGGGGCACCTCAGGCAGCGGCTCCTCAGGGGCACCAGGAGACAGCACCCATGATGCAGCAATGGCGATTTCATGAGAAGTGGTCAGCAGTAGCCACAGAATTTCTCCCTCTCCAGACTGCTTCCTGAGCAGAGGGCAAAACAGGACCTGACACCTGACGGTAGCATACGGTGGCCCTAGTGCCGAGATACCCTTGTAGGAACCCCTGAGATTGCTTCGATGGGAGTGTGAATGTTCATGAGGCTCTTTATTTATTTAAATTTTTTTTTTTTTTGAGACGGAGTCTTGTTCTGTAGCCCAGGCTGGAGTGCAGTGGCGCGATCTCGGCTCACTGCACGCTCCGCCTCCCAGGTTCACGCCATACTCCTGCCTCAGCCTCCCCAGTGGCTGGGACCACAGGCGCCCGCCACCGCGCCCAGCTAATTTTTTGTATTTTTAGTAGAGACGGGGTTTCACCATGTTAGCCAAGATGGTCTCGATCTCCTGACCTCGTGATCCGCCGGCCTCGGCCTCCCAAAGTGCTGGGATTACAGGCGTGAGCCACTGCGCCCGGCCTTTTTTTTTTTTTTTTTTTTTTAAATACAGGGTCTCTCTCTGTCGCTCAGGCTGGAGTGCAGTGGCGTGATCTCTGCTCCCTGCAAACTCTGCCTCCTAGGTTCAAGTGATTCTCCTGCCTCAGCCTCTCGAGTAGCTGGGTTACAGGTGCCCGCTAACACGCCCAGCTAAGTTTTGTATTTTTACTAGAGACAGGGTTTTGCCATGTTGGCCAGGATGGTCTCAAACTCCTAGCCTCAAGTGATCCACCCGCCTTGGCCTCCTAGAGTGCTGGGATTACAGGCGTGAGCCACTGCGCCCAGCCTTAAATTTTTTTTTCTTTTTTTTTTTGAGACGGAGTCTTCTCTGTTGCCCAGGCCAGAGTGCAGTGGCGCAATCTCGGCTCACTGCAAGCTCTGCCTCCCGGGTTCACGCCATTGTCCTGCCTCAGCCTCCTGAGCAGCTGGGACTATAGGCGCCCGCCCCACGCCCGGCTAATTTTTTGTATTTTTAGTAGAGACGAGGTTTCACCGTGTTAGCCAGGATGGTCTCAATCTCCTGACCTCGTGATCCGCCCGCCTCGGCCTCCCAAAGTGCTGGGATTACAGCTGTGAGCCACCGCGCCCGGCCCAAATTTTTTTAAATAAAGAATTTAAATTTACTCTTTTTTATATTAAAAAAAAGCTCATAAAGCACTTTATTTATTATTATTACTATTTTTTTTCGAGACGTAGTCTCACTCTGTGTCCCAGGCTGGAGTGCAGTGGCACAATCTCGGCTTACTGCAATCTCCACCTCCTGGGCTCAAGTGATCCTCCTGCCTCAGCCTCCTTGAGTAGCTAAGACTACAGGCGGATGCCACCACACCCAGCTAATTTTGGTATTTTTAGTAGAGATGGGGTTTCATTATGTTGGCCAGGATGGTCTCAAACTCCTGGCCTCAAGTGACCTGCCCTTCTTGGCCTCCCAAAGTGCTGGGATTACAGGTGTGAGCCACTGTGCCCAGTCCATTATTATTATTTTTTGAGACAGAGTCTCACTTTGTCGCCCAGGCTGCAGTGCAGGGGTGGGAACATAGCTCACTGTAGCTGCAATCTCCTGGGCTCAAGTGACCTTCTTGCCTCAGCCTCCCGCCTCAACTTCTCAAGTAGCTGGGACTACAGGCACATGCCACTATACCCAGCTATTTTTAAAAATTTTTTTGTAGATACAGGGTCTCACCCTGTTGCCCAGGCTGATCTCTAGCTCCTGAGCTCAAATGATCCTCCCCTCACCAGCCTCCTAAGGTATTGGGATTACAAATGTGAGCCACCACACAAAACCATGAGGCTCTTAAAATAAAGAGCCTCATCATTAAACAACAACAACAACAAAAAAATGCAACAGCAAAAAAGTCAGTGACCTGTTCATGTTTTCTTAATATTGCTTGAAAATTAAACTATAATTCTGTTTTTTCTCATCCACTAGTTTAGTCTCAGTAACTCTAAAATGAGTTTGATAAGGAGATAAGGACAAGTAAGAAATGGAGGTTTTCAAGCCACCGTTACCTTGACATCAAAACATACTGTGACTGCTTTTTATGCTCAGGCGCTGGTGAATGTAAACATAGAGGTTACGCAGGCTTGTCACCACCTGCACAAGGGAGGACTAGATTCGGGTGCATGTGACAGAAAATCCAAAAATACCAGTGGCTTAGACAATAGGGATTGTTGTAGTAATGGCTTCCAATAAATCATTTCACAGTAACTATGCCTGCGGGTGACTTGCTTAGATCAGGGGAACATTAGCATGTGTGACACGAGCAGAGGCTTGCAAAGCACTTGCATGTGGGGCTTTTCTTGGTTTTTGCCTTTTTTGTTTTGGAAGTCTAAGACTGCATGTGAAGAAGCTTAGGCGAAGCCTACTGGAGAGTGAGACCAGATAGAGCAAAGGGGCACCATCCCAGCTGAGGCCCGGCAGAACAACCAGCCTGCCAACCACCAGACACACAGAGTCAGCCTAGGCCATTCAGCTCCAGCCAATCCTCCAGCACCCAGCTGACCCATGGTATCAGGAACTAAATAAGATGGCTGTTGTTTTAGGCCATTAGCTTTTTTTTTTTTTTTTTTTCTGAGACGGAGTCTCACGTTGTCACTCAGGTTGGAGTGCAGTGGCACAATCTCGGCTCACTGCAACATCCACTTCCCCAGTTCAAGGGATTCTCCTGCCTCAGCCTCCCAAGTAGCTGGGATCACAGGCAACCACCACCATGCCCGGCTATTTTTTGTATTTTTAGTAGAGATGGGGTTTCACCATGTTGGCCAAGCTGGTCTCAAACTCCTGACCTCAGGCGAGCCGCCCGCTTCGGACTCCCAAAGTGCTGGGATTACAGGCGTGAGCCACCCTGCCCGGCCAGGCCATTAGCTTTGAAGTAGTTTGTTATTCACCAAAAACTAACAGATACATATAATATAGAAACTTGTTTTCTTTCTCTTCTAAATGAGAAATATGAAGCCTAAAGATGACACAGCACCCCCCACCTTGTCAAGAACTAAGGCTTATTCCATCTTGTTGTTCTTCCATCCTCAGTCAATGGGTTATCCTTCCTGATCCAAGATGGTTGCCCAAGCTCCGGCCATTGCAGTTTGATTCTAGACAGTAGGGAGTGGGATAAAGGGGGAGGTAAAGAAGGAAGGGTATTCCTCCCTGGTCTTTTGCAAACACTCCCCGAGAAGTTTCACATACCACTTATGCTCATCGGCCATTTTCCAGAACTTAGTCACGCAGCCATAGCCAGTTACAAGAGAGACTGAAAAATGTAGTCTTGCACCTGGGAGCCATGAACCCAGCTAAAAATCTGTGTTTTTTTTTTTTTATTGGTTTGTTTTTTTACTAAACAAGAAGGGAAACGATTTTGGAGAAAATGAGCAACAGCTCGGTAACTTCTCTCAGCTGTGAGCTTCTGCAGCATAGAGTTTTATTCATCTTTGAATCTCCAGTACTAATAGGCACTCAGTAATTCAGTAATGTCTTGGAATGCTGTTGAGTGAATGAAGGACTGTCTATTCCTCAGACCACTGAAGGGGCACTCCCAAGTTTAGGAACCGCACTCCACCTCGAATAGATGGTCCGCACTGCCCTTCTATGAGTGATCAGATAGGGATCTTCTAGAGAGGCTTTGACTGCTGCAAGAGGACCACTGGCTTCAAAGTCAGAAATCCTGTCTCTGTCACTTATTTCCTGTGTAATGCTGGGCAAAGTTCTTAATCCTAAATATCCTTATCTTTAAAGTGAGTATAAAAATTTCTACCTTAATCAGGAGTTATTGCCTAATGGGTACAGGGTTTTTATATGGGGTGATAAAAATGTTTTGGGAATAGACAGTGGTGAGGCCTGCACAGCATTGTGAATGTAATTACTGCCACTGAAATGTACACTTACAGATGGTTTAGAAAATTTCCTGGCTGGGGGCAGCAGCTCACAATCATAATCCCAGCACCTTGGGAGGCTGAGGTGGGAGGATTGCTCAGGTCTGGGAGTTTGAGGCTGCAGTGATCCACGGTCATGTCACTGCACTCCAGCCTGGGTGACAGAGCGAGACCCTGTCTCAAAAAAAGAAAGAAAAAAAATTTTGTAGTGTACAAGTTTGCCATATTTCTGTGTGTGCCTCATGTGAGTTTATAAAAGAATATGACAAGAGAAATCATAAAAAGGGCAAAAGGAAAAAGCCATCACAAAAGGGTGGTCTGGGATGGGGCGAACGGATAAATGACAGTGGTTGGAAGATAATAATTATATTTTCCTGGGATGCTTTGACCTGTAATCAGAATTCTTTATGGTGTCTTGGCAACATGCAGACCTCTCAGAGAAATGCCTGACACACAGAAATGGTGAAGCAGTGGTCCTCCGGCGGCCTTCAGGGCAGGATTGATAGTGCTTATGTTTGTGAACTCTCAAAAACTCTATAAATCCAGCTGGCTGAGACAGAGTTCTCTCCATCTCTCTCTGAACTAGTCATTCGACTTCAATTCAGTCAATACTCAATGGGTGCATAAATGCAATCATTAGGGCTGTTAATGAATATTTTGGTTCTCGCCTTCAGGACATAAAGTCAAATTTGACCTCCCCACTGCCTTAGCTTTGGCAAATGAAAGAAAAGCAGAAGTGATATGTGTCATATTGGATGGAAAGAATTCCCCTGCCCTTCTCCTGTTTCAGTGATTGCAGAAGCACTCAAGCTGAAGCCTCCCTCCCCTGTGTCTATGAGTCACTCTCATGAGCCATACTTGCCACCCTGCACCAGACATCTGGCATAAGTGAGGAATAAACCTCTGTGTGGAATGCTACTGAGATTCAGCATTGTTTGTTGCTGCAGCATTACCTGGCCTACCCTGACTGATGCTCTATGTGTGTTTCACCCTGGGCTAAGTGAGTTATTTCACATAGAAACTAAACTCTGGAGTTAGAGAGCCTAGGTTTCAATCCTGGTTAGCTACTTTCTTACTGTGTGATCTTAGACAAATCAGTAAACTTCTCTGTGCCTTATTTCCTATTTATTTATTTATTTATTTATTTATTTATATATATATTTTTTGAGACAGAGTCTTGCTCTGTCACCCAGGCTGGAATGCAGTGGTGCTATCTCAGCTCACTGCAACCTCCACCTCCTGGGTTCAAGTGATTCACCTATCTCAGCCTCCCAAGTAGCTGGGATTACAGGCACACCAGTACCATACCCGGCTACTTTTTGTATTTTTAGTAAAGACGAGGTTTTGCCATGTTGGCCAGGCTGGTCTCAAACTCCTGACCTCAGATGATCTCCCTGCCTCGGCCTCCCAAAGTGCTGGGATTACAGGCGTGAGCCACTTCGCCTGGCCCTTATTTCCTATATTTGTAAAACGGGGATAATAATGGCAATCGTCTCATAGGATTTTTGTGAGGATTAAACTATGTGAGTAATTAGCTCAATGCCAGGCACATAGTAAGTCATCAGAAATGTTTGATGGTCATGATGTTGATCTCATTTAACTCTCACAACAACTCTATCTAAGTGATATAGTTTGGATATGTGTCCCCGCCCAAATCTCATATCGAAATGTAATCCCTGATGTTGGAGGTGGGGCCTGGTGAGAGGTGATTGGATAATGGGGGCAGGTTTCACATGAATGTTTTAGTACCATCCCCTGGGTGTGGTCCTTGTGATAGTGAGTGAGTTCTTGTGAGATCTGATAGCACCTTCCCTGTGGCTCTGTCTTGCTCTTGCTTTCACCATGTGATATGCCTGCTACCCCTTTACCTTCCCCCGTTATTGGAAGCTTCTTGAGGCCTCCCCAATAGCAGATGCTGCTATGCCTCCTGTACAGCCTGAAGAACTGTCAGCCAATTAATCCTCTTTTCTTATGAATTACCCAGTCTCAGGTATTTATTTATAGCAATGTGAGAATGGACTAATACAGTAAAACATGAGGTTTCAGCACTGTTCCTGCAACATCACCTGGCCCCAGTCACACAAGTCATAAGATTAGGATCCAGCACTGGCTCATCAGTCCACCTCGGGGGCATACTTCTATGTCCCTGGAAGCTGGCCAGCTCCAGTGTCCAGCCACTTCTCATTCTGTCCTCATCTGCTCTCTGGATTGCTCATTCACTTACTCAACCAAATTCATGTAAAAGAGCTGTCTGGGCCGGGCGCGGTGACTCCACGTCTATAATCCCAGCACTTTGGGAGGCCGAGGCGGGAGGATCACCTGAAGTCGTGAGTTTGAGACCAGTCTGACCAACATGGAGAAGCCCCGTCTCTACTAAAAGTGTAAAATTAGCCGGGCGTGGTGGCACATGCCTGTAATCCCAGTTACTCAGGAGGTTGAGGCAGGAGAATCGCTTGACCCTGGGAGGCAGAGGTTGCAGTGAGCCAAGATCACGCCATTGCACTCCAGCCTGGGAAACAAGAGTGAAACTCCGTCTCAAAAAAAAAAAAAAAAAAAAAAAAGCCATTTGAGGATTACTCAGAGCTACAGCCACTAACGCTGGTCCCTCAGTCAGAGACTGGTCCTGCTCTCATGCCTGAAAGGAAGGCCAGGAATCTGACCTTTACTCTTGGGATCTACCTGATTTCCTCTGGCACCAGACTCACCGCTTGGTCTGCCAAAACCAAAAGTTTTGTTTTTTTTTTAACGATGATTATTATTTTTTAGTATAATTGAGATGGGGTCTTGCTATGTTGCCCAGGCTAGGCTTGAACTCCTGGTCTCAAGATATCTTTCCATCTCCACCTCCCAAAGTGCTGGGATTACAGGCGTAAGCCACAGCATCAGGCCCAAACCATTTATTTAAACCTGAAAAAAGGTAATTGGTGTACAAGGTAAAAATACCCAGAAGTTGCAAAAGGATATAGAGAGATGTCTCCTTCTCAGCCTACCCTCTGGACTCCCATTTCCTCTCCCCAGAGGCAACCATGGAGACCAGTTTCCTCAAAGTGGATTCTGAATCAATTCCTTGTTTCTTTCTCTAGCTGCGCCATCCTGGGGCTGTATTTTTGCAGCATGCACCCTCAGTGCCCTGTGGCCACGCTCCCTGCTCCGCCACCAGCAAAACCCATCCAAAATCCTCCCCTCCCTCCTTCCTGCCTCCTAATCCTGTGCATCCTGCTATTTCTCTTCAAGCCACCTTCTCCAGGAAGAATTTTTTTTTTTTTTTTTTTTTTAGCAATTCCAGCTGTTTGTCATCCCTCGTCTTCCTGACAACATAACTTACTATTTCTGTCACATATTCGGACATTTTGTCTTATCCACTGCAACAGGTGCTAGTTTGTAACTGCTCAGTGTGGGCCACCCTGCAGTCCCCAATTATCCTGGAGTTGCTTGTCCATCCCCATGGCCCCCATTACTGCCTACACCCTGAGGACTCTCAACTCCACTCTCCTCAGCTTCAGATCTGTATTTCCAGCTGAAACTGGGCATCTTCCCAGTTGTCCTGTGAGAATGTCCAAAATGGAATTCGTCCTTTTGGCCCTTAACTTAGTACTTCCTGAGTCCCCTCTCTTAAGGAATGGCATCAACATCTATTTTGTCATCCAAACTTGAAACTTCACTCAGGAGGATGTGTGCACGGGAAAATGGGGGACAGTGTTCACAAACCCTGTTATCAGAAACGGCTCTCGGCTCCATCCCTTTCCCCCCCATTCCACCATCTCTGCCCTTGCCACAGTCTTTTGCCTGATTTAGGGAAAGTGTTTTCCCTCCCTACAGCCTCTCTTCCCTCCAATTCATTGTCTCTTCACCTGGCACTGTCATCTTTCTAAAGGACAGTTGTGATCCTTCCACTTTCCTGCTTGAAAACTTTTCAGGGCTCCCCGCTTGCCTGCTGGCCCCTCCAGAGTCACCTCGTGTACTCCTCCTGTCACTCCCATTGCCACCGTCCCCCAAGCCCCTGAAATTCCGGTCAGGTGGTCACCCTGCCATTCTCCAAACAAGCTTCCCTTTCCTGCCTTTCCTCCTTTTAGCCTCTTGACTCCCATCCTTCCCCCTCTCCTCTGCCCACGCCAGCAGACCCAAAGACCAGCACAAATGTCACCTCCATGAGGCCTTTCCCCTCTCCTCCAGCCCTGGCTGCCCACCTCCTAGGCAGAATTGCGACTTTGTGCTCTGTGACCCTGCACACTGTCCCTGAAGCTTACTCATCATAAGGTAGTGTGATGCCTCCAGCTTTGTTGTTTTTGCTCAGGATGACTTTGGCCACTCTCCTTTCTTTTCATCATCCTTCAGATAGTTATTAAGGGTTTCCTGTGTGCCAGACCCTGGGCTGGACACTGGGGATATTGATGATAATAAGGAATTTTTTTTCTGTTTTCAAGAAGCTCACAGTGGCCAGGCATGGTGGCTAATGTCTATAATCCCAACAAGGAGGCCCAGGCAGCAGGATTGCTTGAGCCCAGGAGTTCTAGACCAGCCTGGTCAACATAGTGGGATCTTGTCTTTCAAAACAACAACAACAACAAAACCCACAGAAAACAAAACCAACTTAACTAGGTGTGGTGGCATGTGCCTATGGTCCCAACTACTCAGGAGGCTGAGGTGGGAGGATTGCTTGAGCCTGGGAGATCAAAGCTGCAGTGAGCTGTGATCACACCACTGCACTCTAGCTTGGGTGACACCCTATTTCAAAAAAAAAAAGCTCACAGTGTAGAGGGATGTGGTGGGGGAAGGTACAGAATATTGCAATCTAGACACTAAGGCACAAAGTTCCCCTTTCATAGGGCACTTTTCTTTAACTTACAGGCTAACAGTTCTGCTCCTGGCTTCTCTCCCGTTTGTCCACTACAGTAGGTGCCATGCATATTTCCCAGTTGCTCCCGGTTCCTCTGTGGGCCACCCTGTTTACTGAAGTCAGTACTTGAAACTTGGAGTCACGGTCCCTCAATGGAATGAGGCCCCTCCCAACTAGCACCAGGAAGGATTTAGAGAGGCAGGCTTCCTTCTCCGGCTACCTGAGAAGAGGTCCCTAGGCCTCCCCAGACTATCAAAGCAGTCCATGGCACAGAGAGCTTAAGAACCTTGGTCTAGGCTGGGCATGGTGGCTCACATCTGTAATTCCAGCACTTTGGGAGGCCAAGGCAGGTGAATCACTTGAGGTCAGGAATTCGAGACCAGCCTGGCCAACATGGTGAAACCCCGTCTCTACTAAAAATACAAAAATTAGCTGGGCATGGTGGTGTGTGCCTATAATCCCAGCTACTTGGGAGGCTGAGGCAGGAGAATCGCTTGAACCTGGGAGGTGGATGTTGCAGTGGGCTGAGATCACACCACTGCATTCCAGCCTGGGTGACAGAGTGAGACTTCGTCTAAAAAAAAAAACAGAACCTTGGTCTAGCTTCAGGTCAAGGCCACATTCAGGTGACACACCCAGGGTCCTGAAGCTGCTTAGATAGCACAACTGGGACCACAACCACATCTGCCTGTGAATATCACCAGAAGGGACCTCCTCATTCTGAGGGCCTCTCCACAAGGACCACTCTTCTACGCATCCCATCCCTTCGGACACCTGGCAGAACACTTGGCAGGGAAATTCAAATGGGTTCCCTAAAGCGGATCAAGTGCTGCCCAAGTGCAGAGTCGTCTCGGGGGCTAGAGGACAGTGCTCCTTCAGGTGCGGCCCAGAGACCTGTGTGGTCTGAAAACTGTTACTGGTCAAAGAAGCTAAAAGTACAGAAATTGAGAAGAAGGGTTTAGAAATCCTTACAGCAATTTGACTATAATAATAAAATAAAGCTTGCTTTTTATATGTCTGCTTTTTCTTTTAACAAAGACAAAGGCTTATATTTTGCACCTATGTCTTTCATTTTATTTTACAAAATCATCTGTATGCAATGGATTGGAAATTTTTATTTTTTATTTTTATTTTTATTTATTTATTATTTTTTATGAGACGGAGTCTCACTCTGTCGCCCAGGCTGGAGTGCAGAGGCGCGATCTCGGCTCACTGCAAGCTCCGCCTTCCAGGTTCACGCCATTCTCCTGCCTCAGCCTCCCCGGCAGCTGGGACTACAGGTGCACGCCGCCATGCCCGGCTAATTTTTTTTGTATTTTTAGTAGAGACGGGATTTCACCGTGTTAGCCAGGATGGTCTCGATCTCCTGACCTCGTGATCCGCCCGCGCTGGCCTCCCAAAGTGCTGGGATTACAGGCGTGAGCCACCGCACCTGGCGGAAATTTTTGAAATGAAAACTAAACAGCAACAAAAAATACTAGTCTTGGCCGGGCATGGTGGCTCACACCTATAATCCCAGCACTTTGGGAGGTTGAGGTGGATGGATCACTGGAGGTCAGGAGTTTGAGACCAGCCTGGCCAACATGGTGAAACCCCATCTCTACTAAAAATACAAAAATTAGCCAGGTGTGGTGGCCCGCGCCTGTAATCCCAGCTACTCAGGAGGCTGAGGCAAGAGAATCACTTGAGCCTGGGAGGCGAAGGCTGCAGTGAGCCAAGATTGTGCCACTACATTCAAGCCTGGGCAGCAGAGTGAGACTCTGTCTCAGAAAAACAAACAAACAAACAAAACAAAACAAAACACACACACAAAAAACAAAAAGTTACTAGTCTTTCCTACACACGGAGTTTGAGAATCACCATTGATTATGGGGAATACAGTGGACAGAAAGTGGGGGAGAGAGATGGCACAACCGGGCAAATGCTCTGAAAAACGGATAAATAAAATGCTGGTCACAGATGAGAACATCAGTCTAGCAGAGCTTGCGAAGGCAGCAGGGAGGAGAAAACCTCTGAGCTGTGTTTTGCCCAGTGTCCACAGGTAAAGCTATGCCCTCCGTGTATCCCAGGCCATGGGTTCAGCAGGAGCTAAGGCAAGGATTGCAAAGTGCAAGGTAGATCAGAGAAGGTGGGTTGGCAGGCCCAGTGAGGCATTTGCCCGTGTGTGTTTGCATGTTGATGGTTTGGGGCTTTTAGAGTAGGTTGTGAAGAATCACCCATCTATTTTAAGCAGGGAATGAAATGATCACATCTGAGTTTTAAACGATAATATTTGTTGAGTTGAACTAAATTTAAAAAGTTCTCAAGCACTGATTCTCTCAGAGAAGAGAATTTTCCTCTTCCATCAGAATGTGCAAATATCAGAGATGGATTTCCACACCTAGATGAACACGTGCAAGGATGTGTGTGAATGAGGAATGCTCTGGAAAACCAGTTTGCCTCTTTTGTCCTCTCCTTTCCCCTTCCCTTTCCCCTCCTCTTCTCTCCATCTGTGGTAGGCCAAATAATGGCCCCACAAAGATGTCCATATTCTAATCCCTGACACTTGTAAATCCTGCCTTATATGCCAAAAGAGATTTTGCTGATGTGATTAAATTAATTATCTTGAGATTGGGTGGTTATCTTGGATTATCCAGGTGGGCCTGATATGATCACAACAATCCTTATAAGAGAGAACAAGACTGGAGTTAGTTGTAAGAGGTTGGAGCGATAGCAGAGGGGCCATGAACTGAGGAGTGCTGATGGCCTCTAGAAGCTGGAAAAGCAAGGAAATGGACTCCTGGACCTCTGAATGAACCAGCACTGCCAACACCTTGATTCTAGCCCAGGAGAACTGATTTTAGGACTTCTGATATCCAGAACTTTAAGATAATTAATTTGTGATTTTTCAGCCACTAGGATTTTAGTAATTTGCTACAGCAGCAGTAGGAATCTCATAGGTCACCTCCCCTCCCCTCCTCTCTCCTCCCCTACCCTCCTCTCCCCTCCCTTTCTCTCCCCTCCCTCCCTCCCTTCCTCTCCCTTCCCTTCCCCCTCCCCTCCCCACTTCTCCCCTCCCAACCCCTCCCTTCCCCTTCCCCTCCCCACTTCCCCCTCCTCTCCTTTCCCCTTCCCCTCTTCACTTCTCCCCCACAACCCCTCCCTTTCCCTCCCTTTCCCCTTCTCTCCCTTTCCCTCTTCTCCCCTCCCTTCCCCACCCCTCTCTTTCTCTCCCCTCCCCATTTCGCTCCTCCCCACTCCTCTCCTCGCCTCCCCTCCCCTCCCTTCCCCTCCTCTCTCACTTAGCAGTGCCCACTAGTACTTTCTGTAATGATGGAAATGTCCTATATTTGCACTGGTTGCTGCTAGCCACATGTGGCCACTGAGCCCTTGAAATACGGCTACTGTGGCTGAGGAACTGAATTTTAAATTGTGTTTAATTTTAATTTAGACTTAAATAGCTACACGTGGCTATTGAGCATATGGAACAATGCAACAACTTTTACTACAACAAAAACAGGAGGAAAATACAGTTGCCAAGAAGTCTTCAGACAGGATGTCATGGCATATTTTGTTAATGATGGTAGTCAGAATAAAGTAATGATGAAAATGAGTCCTTCTGCTTTAACCCAGCTGTGCATGTCTTAATCTGTGTCCCCAGCCTCTTGGAAAGAGGTCTGGGAGCCAGGAGCCTACAGTTCTCACTTGATTTTGACGTGTTACCTTAGGCAGGTCTCTGCCAGGGGAGGGACAAGAACTAATGACCTTTGAGCATTAGCAAAGTGCCAGGTGTGGGGTGGTAAGCATTTTTACAGATGAGCACATTTGAACAGCACGGCTCTGTGTTCCTACCCAAATCTCATCTTGAATTGTAATCCCCACGTGTCAACGGAGGGACATGGTGGGAAGTGATGGGATCGTGGAGGTGGTTCCCCCCATGCTGTTCTCATGATAGTGAGTGAGTTCTCATGAGATCTGCTGGTTTTATAAGTGTTTAGCAGTTCCTCTTCCTTGTCTGTCTCTTTCCTCTCACCTTGTGAAAAAGGTGCCTGCTTCCCCTTGGCCTTCCGCCATGATTGGATTGTCAGTTTCCTGAAGCCTCCCAGCCATGCAGAACTGTGAGTCAATTAAAACCTCTTTTCTTTATGAATTACCTAGTCTCAAATATTTCTTTTTTTTTTTTTTTTTTGAGACGGAGTTTTGCTCTTGTTGCCCAGACTGGAGTGCAATGGCGTGACCTCAGCTCACTGCAACCTCTGCCTCCCGGGTTCAAGCGATTCTCCTGCCTCAGCCTCCTGAGTAGCTGGAATTACAGGCATGCACCACCATGCCCAGCTACTTTTGTATTTTTAGTAGAGACGGGGTTTCTCCATGTTGGTCAGGCTGGTCTCGAACTGCCGACCTCAGGTGATTTGCCTGCCTCGGCCTCCGGAAGTATTAGGATTACAGGCGTGAGCCACTGTGCCTGGCCTCAGGTATTTCTTTATAGCAGTGTGGAAACGAACTAATACACCACGAAACAGGCATTTATATTACTATGCTACAGGTGAGAAAAGGAGGCTTAGGAAGACCCGAGTGGTGAGGTGTAGGGAAGGTACTCGGAGCCAGTTCTAAGGCCAGAGCCCTTTCCACTGCCCTCTGGGCTTCCCTAAACTCTTCCTCGCCAGTGACACAGGCCTCAGGCTGTCTACCCTCTCAGAGGGTTAGGAGGACCCAATGAAGGAATGACCCTGAAATGTGAACAGGGCGAAGGTGCTGAGTGTGCTCAAGGGAGGGAGGTGACATTTTCTGAAAATCCAAACAGGCACAGTGTTTCAAGATGGTTCTGCACTCTCACTGATATTGAAAATACTTCAAATTTTCCATTTAAGAAATGCCTCAGGCCCGGCCTGTTTCAATCATGTAAAAACCAATATCAGCTTAGAAAGGTTATCATTGCCTTTCCAATTCCAGTCAACATTAAAAATGCAAATGTTTGCTATTTAAATATAGCCTTTGGCTGCCAGCTGAGAGTGTTCAGGACATCAGGTAAACCACAGTGGGCAGCCATCTCCCCAGAGCTCAGCCAGCTCCACAGGAAGGAGGCAGAGGACATCCAGGAAGTCTGTGTCACACCAAGATGATGGCACCACTTCCAGCCCCATGGAGGTCTGGGTCCTCCGAGGCTGGCCAGTTTCAGCCAGCGAGTCAGACATCCATTCATTAGGGGCAGGGACCCTGTTGCCTTTCTTTGTTCTTGTGCCCCTGATAACCTGGCTCAGTGCCTGCTTCAGAGTAAAAGCTCAAAGAATATTTGTTAGATGAATTAATTCATTCGCCATCTGTTTTTGGATATCTTCTCATGTCCTAGGTACTCTGCTGGGCCTTTAAGCTGATACAGAAATGAGCCATTTGGGGAAATCAGTCCTGAGTAATTTACCATCTAAGAAGGATGGTAAGATGTGCAAATAATAGTAATAACATCAAATACTATCCACTTATCCTCACCATAAGTATTATTTGTGGAGGCCTGTCAAACACAGGTGTTTGAAAATGTGCCAGACAGGGAATGCTTGTGTGGCTGGACATCAGGATTCTGGGAAATCTGGGAGCAACTAGGCAGTGAAGCCAGCAAAGAGAGTTTCTGGGAAGAGATACCGAGAACTCTTCCAGGTGGTCTTTGTCCTTGGTGGTCTCCTCCACTCCGACTGTGAGATCCATGAGGCCTGGACTGCGTCTTCTGCAGCTCTGCACCCCAATGCCTCACACGGGGCCTGAAACACCACAGGAAACCAACATAGATGAATAAGTGAATATACATTAGGCATAAAGGCATAATAACACGAAGCATTTATTGAGAGTTTAGTATGAACCAAATATTTCACAGAAATCTGAATTAGTTATGACAGTCAGGAGATAGAGACCACATCGGTTTCTTGCACAAAGTGAATGTCATGTAAAGGATCGCTAAATAGGTATAAAGTGTTAACTAGGTAACTGGGAAAAAAAAACAAGAACTGACTTGGTCTATTTGGGCTGCTACAACAAAATACCATAAACTGGATAGTTCGTAAACAACAGAAATTTCTTTATTACCGTTCTAGAGGTTAGGAAGTCCAAGATGATGGCACCAGCAGATTCGGTGTCTGGTGAGGGTCCTGCTTTTTGGCTCATAGACGGCATCTTCTCCATGTGTCCTCAAACAGTGGAAGGGGCAAGGCAGCTCTCTGAGGTCTTTTATAAGGACACTAATCCTATTCATGAGGGGTCCACCTTCATGACCTAGTCCTCTCCCAAAGGCCCCACTTCTTAATACCACCACTTTGAGGGTTAGGATTTCAACACCTGAATTTTAGGAGGGACACAAACCTTCAGGCTATATTCAGACAAACAAGAACTATAAGGAATAATAGAGACAGCAACAGTAGGAAGCCGCGATCATCCTAGGGATAGGCCTCACTGGGGAAAAGTTAGAATGATGAACATTTAGAGGTTTCACGGGAGGACTCTGAGCTGAAACTCAGAGCCCTGAGGAGGGGATACTGCTAGTCTGGTGCTGATGTCTCTGAGTTGGATGTGCTGAAGCTGGTTCTGCTAGCATTGGAAAAACTGCAAACTGGCTTCAGCTATTGCTATGGGGAAGCCCTGCTGCTGCCAGGGTTAAAAGGCACTGCTGAGGTGCTACTCCTGGAAGGAAAATAGACAAGAAGCCCACAGGACACATACAAGAAGGAGCAAGTCTGTTTTCCCCTCCAATTGCGTGGCTCTCTCTAGCACCCCGACTGGCAGAATTTCAGAGGGAGTCAGCTGGCTGAGTAGAAATGGGGTTTGTAGAGCCCCAGGCCCAGCAGCACAAAGCAGAGTACAGAAGAGTTTGGAGCTGAGACCCCATGACTGCACAACTGGTACAGGAATCTCCCCACCAATGCCATGATGCAGGAATGCACTGCTATTACTCTTATTATGTGATGAGGAAACTGAAGGTCTAGGGAAGTTAAGGTGACTTGCCTAGCAACTTCAAATGGCAGAGCCCTGATGTGAAGCCAGGTCCATCTACTCTTTTTTTTTTTTTTTTTTTTTTTTTTTTTTGAGACTGAGTCTCGCTGTGTTGCCCAGGCTGGCGTGCAGTGGCACGATCTTGGCTCACTGCAAGCTCTGCCTCCCGGGTTCAAGCCATTCTCATGCTTCAGCTCCTGAGTAGCTGGGATTACAGCCGCCCACCACCATGCCCGGCTAATTTTTGTATTTTTAGTAGAGACGGGGTTTCACCATGTTGGCCAGGCTGATCTCGAACTCCTGACCTAAAGTGATCCACCCGCCTTGGCCTCCCAAAATGCTGGGATTACCGGCATGAGCTACCGCGCCCAGCCTCCATCTGCTCTTAACGGCAATGCTCCACCACGTTTCCTTCACATGTTTATATTAACAATATGTCAGGACAGAACAGACTTAAGTCCCAGTGCTGTCAGGTTGGAGCTGAGGTGGGACAAGATGGGTGAGGAATTCAGGCATGGGGCAGTCCTGGTGAAGTCTCCCAACATGCCACTGATCAGCCACCAGCTTTGATCAGCTCTGCTGTGAAGCTGATATTCATATCACTGACCCTGCCAGCCCTATCTGAAAAGATTTTCTCCTTAGAAAGGGACAGAAATAACCTCTTGATTTACTGTCCTTTAAGAAAGTTGAGATCTTTGTTCTTTGACCAAAAATTAGCCACCACCACCAAACTCTTCTCCATGCTTCAAGACACAGTTCAGATGTCACCTCCCTTGAGAAGCCTTCCTGATCTCTAGGGACCCTGTCATGCCGGTACGGGTGCTTGCATAGGATTTGGTGCACACTCCTGGATGGGGCTTCTTTGTCTATAATACTACACTAGATTGTGGGCCCCTTGAGGGTGGGCCTGGGTCTACTTAAGCTCTGCCTGGCACATAGTGGGCACCCAACCTAGCAGTGATTGTAAAGGCTTGTCTCTCCCAGAAGCATGCTTCTGCAGGAGCCCTGGACATCTCAGGACCATATTTTTTTTTTTGACTCATTCTCTAACTTTCAAGTGTTCTCAATCTAGTGGTGAAGACATGTTTAAAAAAAAAAAAACCAGAAAAACAAAAATCTACTGGCACAGGCCTTCATTTCTCCTGTATTCCAACCCATTCTTCACACTTCAGTCAGACACAAACGTAGCCATCTAAAGTTCCTGCTAAAACCTTCCAGGTGCTTCCCATTGCTCCTAGGATGAAGACCAACTCCTCAATGTGATCTCTGAGGTCCTCCAGCATTGGTCCCTGCCCTCCTCCGGCCTGGGGTCTCACCACTCCCCATTCCCCTTCTTCCAGCCTCCGGCTATCCATCCCTCCAGCTACTGAGCCTCCTTCAATTTGCCAAACTCACTCACTTCTTTGCATCCTGGTGTTTGCAAGTGGGGTTTCCTCTTGCCAGGACCCTCTTCTCTTCCTTTGCCTGAGTCCCTCCTACCTGTCAGCTGCTGAGTCACCTTTGGGATGTTATTGGCAAGGTAACTCCATGCTCCCAGAGCAGCCAGTTCCCGAATCCTGGCTCCCATCCACTGAATTGCAACCGCCTGCATTCGGTTAGTTCACACCACTCGATGCCGAGCTCCCAGAAAAGAAAAGGTACAGAGTACCTGTGGCAGGTACTCTGTAAAATCAATTTGAATTAATTAATTTAAAACTTAAACAACAACAGCAACCAAACTAAGAGAGTTCTCTCCACACAATTTTGGAAGTCACAGACTGCCCAAGACATGGTGAAGTAACTTTCTCCCAGTGTCTAGGGACCATTTCAAAAGAGGACCTCCAGATTAGGGGAGAGGGTTCTGGAGGGAAAGTCAGGAGAGCAGAGGTGGAGCCTGGGTGCCCTGGGGGGTAGCCAGTTGTCACAGTGAGTGTTAGCTTCTTCGTCTTTATGATGAGTATAAAAATGCCTGTCTTGGCCGGGCGTGGTGGCTCATGCCTGTAATCCCAGCACTTTGGGAGGCTGAGGCAAGCGGATCACTTGAGGTCAGAAGTTTGAGACCAGCCTGGCCAACGTGGTGAAACCCTATCTCTACTAAAAATACAAAAATTAGCTAGGCTTGGTGACATGCACCTATACTCCCAGCTACTCTCGAGAGGCTGAGGCAGGAGAATCTCTTGAACCCAGGAGGTGGAGGTTGCAGTGAGCTGAGATCACGCCACTGCACTCCAGCCTGGGTAACAGAGCGAGAGTCTGTCTCAAAAAAAAAAAAAAAAAAAGGCCGTCTTTCCTGATACACAGGGGTGTGATGGCATGGCACGTGCACATGTGCAAATCCTGTGCAAACTGTGAACAGCTGTACAAATGTCAGGTACAATAATTTTCACTGCCATCATCTTCAGGAGTCAGTCCAGGCCACAGCTTTGCCAGCTTTCTTCATAGCAGCCCAAACCCAGGCCTTAAGATTTTCACCTTCTTTTCCCCCTAGAACTAGGCCCCAGCTCCCTGCAGAGAAGATACATCAAAGCCCCACATGAGGATTTTTATAGCTCCACATTGGACAAGCTTCCTCTTCCTGAGATAGAGCCTACAGGGAAGGTGGGGAAGCTAACCTAAACTTCCTGCTTCCCAGACACCTTCCCCACGCCTGACTCCAGTGAGGGGAAGCCTGTGGCTGCTCCTGCCTTTGTTCACTTTACTTATGGTCCTCTGCCCACTGTCTCTCCCTGGGATTTTCTTATTGTTCTTCATGGACAACCAAGAGCCAGAGAGACTCATCAGGTAATAAAAAGGACCCAACACACCCTCATCACTCCAGTTTCTCAAAGCAATAAACCAAAGGACAGAGTTTGTGGAACATGATTGGGCCACAGGAATAAGATCGCCTTGAAATTGACTCCTTAAAAAGGCAAAAGACATCCATTGCATAAACATTAATTAACCTATTTATGTCAGGTAGTTAACATGTTCTATATCACTTAAATATTGTATCAACTTTCTTCATTTTATAAATAAGAAAGAAAATCGAGGCTATTAGTTAGATTAATAAATGGATGGGTCGATGGATGGATGGATGGGTGAATGGGTGGATGGATAGGTGGATATCTGGATGGGTGGATGGGTGAATGGGTGGATGGATAGGTGGATATGTAGATGGATGAATGGATGGATGGATGAATAGATCTGTGGGTGAGTGGATGAATGCATGGGTGGCTAAGTGGTTGGGTGGGTGGAAGAGCAAATGGGTAGATAGATATGTGGAGGATACATGTATGGATAAATGGATGTGTGGATGCGTGGATGGATGGATGGATGGATGGATGGATGGATGGATGGATGGGTAGATGGATGTGTAGATGGATGGGTGGGTAGATGGATGGAGAAGCTCCTTGCCAGAGTCAAAAGGAAGTGGCTCCATCTCCCTAAAAAGGCAAAGCTGCCATGTCACATGCGGTTTCGTATTGAGGCCCCTCATGGAAAAGGTTGTGCATGTCACTGGGCAAGTGTAAGATAAGGCCATCATCTGGCAAAGCTGTTCTCTAGAGTAGCAGAGTCACCCATTTTAGACTGAAGATTGTGGAAAGAATCTTTCACTTTTTTAGTTGCAGTTTTAGAAGAATTTGCATCTTGGCACCACCATTTATTTACTGTGTAAGCATGGACAAGTTAGCAAACACCTCTGTGCTCAGTGTCCTCATTTGTAAAATGGAGAACTATCCAACTTTGTATTGTTATAAGCTTTAAATGATGTCGCTCAGATAGAAGATGTTAAATATGTCAGTTTTCTCCTCTCTCTCCCCTAGGCAATGCAAAAATCATTGCAGAGATGAGCCAAGGATTGTTAGAATTTTCCCTTAAGGGGGAAAAACCAGATGTAGCTGAGTTGCTCAGTAGCAGGCTTCACTATACTCCTCTGGGGTTGAGAAAAGAATCGTTTCCCTCCGGAATCGTATTCTCAAAAAGGAAATGAATTTTCCCCTCAGAAGGAAATGGGAGAAGATTCCTTTTCTTGGTGACCTCTGAACCATGGCACCATTTCAGTGGCATCTGAGAGACTCAGGTCCAGACCACCCAGGGTTTGTTCTTTCAAATGAGAGGGTGGAAGACATGAAGGAGAGCAGGGGCAGAAATGGATAAGAGGCTGAAGACCCAGAACATCCAGCAGGCCAGGTTTTCTTTTCCTGATTTCCCCTAAGGAGGAAGGATACAGGAGGAAAAGATTTTTCCTAGATTGCTTCAGGATAGGAGAGAGAGCAAGCATGTGTCATATGTGTTTGTGTGTGAGGAGTATGGAAGTGGGGTGGGGTATGCGTGTGTGGGACTGTGTGAAAATGGGAGTGAGCCTCTGGGTGGGTAGATGTGGGTAGGTATATGGGAATGGGAGGTGGCGGAGAGTGTGGGAGGGGAGTTTGGAAAGTTGTGGGTGTAAGTCTGTGTCACATTGCATCGCACTGAGAGGATGGGCCTCTCTAAATGCATAAAACCACACATATCTAAGCACTCTGAATAAACTCTTCTTCACTGGAAATGTGTAAGTAAGTTTATTTTTCACTCATTCATATTCCCATCATGGGGAAACAAAAAATTAAAGTGTCTTGAGGAAATTGCAATCTGTGTAGAGAAGGTGAGACACAGGTGAATTCAATAAAAATGAGTACATTTGCCATGTGCCAGGTGCTGTTTTAAGCACTTTATGTGTATTACCTGATTAACCGCTCACAACAGTTTTACACGAAAGGTGCTATTGTGACTCCCATTTCACAGATGAGGAACCTGAGGCTTGGAGGAACTGGCTGCTGTGGTCTGAAGGTGTCCCTCCAAAATTCATATGTTGAAACGTAATCACCAATATGATAGTATTAAGAGGTGAGTGAGAGGGCTAGGCATGGTGGCTCACACCTGTAATCCCAGCACTTTGGGAGGCCAAGGCAGGAGGATCACTTGAGGTCAGGAGTTTGAGACCAGCCTGGTCAATATGGTGACATCCCATCTCTACTAAAATTATCAAAATTAGCTGGGCATGGTGGTGGGCACCTGTAATCTCAGCTACTCAAGAGGCTGAGGCATTAGAGTCACTTGAACCCGGGAGGCAGAGGTTGCAGTGAGCCGAATTGCACCACTGCACTCTAGCCTGGGCGAAAGAGTGAGACTCCGTCTCAAAAAAAAAAAAAAAAAAAAGAGGTGAGTGAGGCCCTTAGGAGTGGAGCCCTCATTAATAGAAGAATTAAGGTCCTTATAAAAGAGGAGGCTTAAGGAGCTGTTGGCCCCTTCCGCCATGTGAGAAGGCAGCAAGAGGTGCCATCTTGGAAGCAGACAGCAGCCCTCACCAGACACGGAATCTGCCAGCACCTTGATCTTGGACTTCTCAGTCTCCAGAACTGGGAGAAATACATTTTTGTTATTTATAAATTCCCCAGCTTCAGAATTTTTTTTGTCTTTTAGTTTTCGGTTTTTTGTTTGTTTCATTTTTGAGATGAGGTCTTACTCTGTCACCCAGGCTGGAGCAGAGTGGCACAATCATAGCTCACTATAACCTTGAACTCCTGAGCTCAAGCCATCCTCCCACCTCAGCCTCCCAAGCAGCTGGGACTACAGGCATGCACCACTATGCCCAGCTAATTTTTAAATTTTTGGTGGAGACAAGGTCTCACCTGCTATGTTGCCCAGGCTGGTCTCAAACTCCTGGGCTCAAGCAATCCTCCAGCCTTGGCCTCCTACAGTGCTGGGATTATAGATGTGAGCCACTGCTCCTGGCCAGGTACTTGGTGATAGCAGCAAAAATGGACTAAGACACTGGTCCAAGGTCAAATAGCTTGTGACTGGTGGAGCTGGGATTCCAGTGCAGGCAGTGTGGCTCCTGAAAATGTGTCCCTAAGTATAACATCAAGTCTGAACCATCTGTCCCCAGTTGACATCCAAAGGATGGGTTCATGTCCCTTATAAAGGACTGGCTGCCAGAGAGCAATCAACCCAGTAAGATGCATAGTGCACCTCTGAAGTCCTAACCCACTGCCCTAGGTCCAGTGCTGTCAGCATCCCATTTCTTCATCCATCCTCATCCTATGTCTCCTACCCTGTTTCTACTTCTCATGTGACCCCCAAGACCAGGCAGAGATGGGGTACAGGAAGGAGACATGTGTAAACTTAAAGGCCACTCTCCCTCCCCACTCATCACCTTCCCAGCAGCCCTGGGGCTGGGGCACTGGTCGCATGCTATTCTTCACCCCGAGGGTCTCCCTCCGGCTCCTCCTGGGAGGCAATGATCATGACAGCTGCTGCAGTGAGATGGCTGGGCCTCACACACGCAGCCAAATCTGACTTCAGTTCTCAGGGTCGTAATATTAATAGCATCTCCATCCATACACCTCTCATCAGGGACCAGAATAGGCTCTGGTGCTTTAGGTGCATTACCTCATTCAGTTTAATTCCCACAATGACCCCATGCGGAAAGATGATCCCCCATTTACAGATAAGAAAACCAAGGCTCAGAGAAGCCAAACAGCCCAGTTGGAGAGGGGTCCCTGGCATGAGAGGACAGGCTTGTCTGCCCCCGGGCCACTGGCCGTACTGCCATGTTGTTTGGTCTCTCCCTCTCACACTAGGTTGTATGTAGAGCAAAAAGCTGGTCCTATTTCCACCACCAGGTGGGGGAGACTGGGTGGGTGGGCGCCCCATGTTAAGTACCTTCACCCCTGAGAGCCAGACTTTCTGGGGAGGCCCACCCAAGTCTACGGCCCAAGAGACCAAGGAGTCTGTGGGGAAATAACTTCTCCCAGGGGAATCAAGTCAAGTGCGGTCACCCCCAGGCCCAGGCAAGGGAAGTCCTGCTGTCCCCCCCTTAACTTTGCCCCTGCATCCCCAGTCCTGGCCTCACAGGCATTTGTGCTGGATCCTGGGCGTAGTGGCCTTCGAGCAAAAACTAGGCATTCCGGCCCCTAAGCCATCGGGGCCCGAGTATTAAAATCCTATTTAATAGGGGGTGAGGCCCACAAACAGGGAGAAGAGCTCTCCCTGTGGCTATTCCTTGAATCATGGCAGGGCTTGGGTATGCTGAGGCCGTCGGCAGAGGCGACTCTGGGGCCGGGAGATAGAGTGACCGCTGCTAAAATCCAAGTGTCAAAGGTCGTGGGGCCAGCAGTATTTGCGGTGGGAGGCAGTCGGCTGCAGACTGGACTCACCCCTGAGTCACCACTGGGGGCTCCCAGGGACAGATTTGGGGCAAGGAGAGGAGTCTGAAAGAGATGGGGTACGCCGTAGTGAAAGCTGGAGTGAGAGCCTTCGTATTGTAAGTTGTTCTAGCAGTTAAAACAGTTATTTATAAAGGACCCAAAAGACTGTGTTCCTGCCTCAGGCCAGCAGAGGCTTTAGAAGCACAGTACAAATGTTGGCCATTGTCCCTTCTAAAAGGAACAATTCAACAAACAGCCTCGGCTGAAAGGAGGGGACATTCCTCAGCTGTGTTTTGTCCCACTCAACTCTGGCTGTCCGTGGACAGCCAACTGAGGCTGGCCAGCAACCTATGACCTGTGGCCCAGCACGAAAAGGGAGCCGGGCCAATCAGATTCCTGCCTCAGGAATTTGAACCAAGAAATGCTGAGACATGCAGTCTGTCCGCTGCGGGACTGGAGGCCACAGGAACTCCTCGGAAGATTCCAGATGGTGGAGCTAGAGCTGGGGGGCCTATGAGGAAGAGAGAGATGGGGGAAGCAGAGAACTGGCTAGTAGAAGCCTTACAGTGAGAAGTCAGACTGGGAAAGGCAGGAGAAAGGCAGTGACACAGACAGAAGCCATGATGTCAGGCTGAGGCGCCTCTGCCCCTGCCCCAGGCTCTCCCTCCCTCCCTCCCTTTCTCTTTGGGTGACTGAGTGTCTGATGACACAGGAGGGGAGGGGAGCCGGGCAGTGACCACTCCCACAAAATGGTTCTGGGGTGAAGGGGACCTGGTCGTCAGCCCATGATGGCTTTTTCAGTTATGACAAGGACACCAAAGAGCCAAGTGAGCAAGAAAGGGAGAGCCCAGCGGTGATGAGCAGCCGCCTCCCACCACTGCCCAGGCAAAGCAAGAAGTTGGCTTCGAAGGCCTGGGCAGCATCTAAACCGTGCCTCAGGAGGGCAGGCACGGTGGGGAGTGGTGACTTGCAACCCTCTCAATTCCCAGCTTCCCTTTCTAACTGTGAGAACTTGGAGAAGAATGAACTCTCCCCTGTCTTTGTTTTCACATCTATAAGGAAGGAGGGAATAAGAATAGACCCTCCTTCCTTAGGCTGTGGGAGTGTCCAGGAGTGTCAGTGCGGAGCCTGGGAGAGGCAACGCCTGGCCCTGGGGAAATCCTCCTTTCAGCCACAGAAATTCTGCTTTTGAGCTCCTCCAAGAAGGGCAAGAGCAGGCATAAGAGGTTGAGGAATCTCTTCCCCTACAGAATTTCCTGCCCGAAATGACCAGTGTGGGCCTGTCCATCGACAAGAGCACGCCCCTCTGTCTGTTGCCCTTGGGGACTCTGTGGGGAAGGAGGCTTTCAGATTCACCCTGGCTGCAGATCAGCCTTACTTAGCCAGGCTTATTAATAGGAGAATGTCCATTTCTGTCTTAAAATAGCCATAGAAAGTTATTTAAAGTGAGCTGCAGTTGGGTGGTCAGATGGCTTGTTACTGTCTTCCTCCCAGGAGAGTTCAAGAACTCTCTCATATTTTCCTGTTTCATTTATAGTAAAACAGTCCTAACAGGAAGGTCCATCACTCTGTGTAACTTCCCGAGTCAAGGATGCCCAGGCTGTCGGCGGGGTCTCAGCGTCAAGTGCCACCCTCATCCACTACCCACCACCCGCTCTACAGTGCCCTCGGCAGGCAGGCAGCCATCCAACCTTGGCCCGGCTCCTCCAGGTGTAGGGGCCTCCAGGCTCCCAGGGGAGGAGCCTGGGGGAAGAGAACTGGACTTGGGAAACAAGGACGCTGGCCTAGAAAGAGTCACTCAAGACCCATCTAACTCCTGCTTTTTCCTCTGTTCTGAATATCTTAAGAGAGACCCTGCAGAACAGAAAACCAAAGATCGCATGTTCTTACTTCTAAGCAGGAACTAAATCATGAGAACACACAGACACGTAGAAGGGAATGACACACACTGGGGCCTATTGGAGGAGTGGAGGATGGGAGGAGGAGAGGATCAGGAAAAATAACTAATGAGTACTACGCCTAATACCTGGGTAATGAAATAATCTGTACAACAAACCCCTGTGACACAATTTACCCATGTAACAAACATGCACATGTACCCCTGAACTTAAAATAAAAGTTTAAAAAAAAAATAGTGACCCTACCTAGAGCAAGGGTCTTGTAACAGAAAAGGCCCTTCCCCTTGGCCAGGCTCTGTGACTCGTGCCTGAGGCAGGTGGATTACCTGAGGTCAGGAGTTCGAGACCAGCCTGGCCAATATGCTGAAATTCCGTCTCTACTAAAAATACAAAAATTAGCTGGGTGTGGTGGCGTGTGCCTATAGTCCCGTCTACTCAGGAGGTTGAGGTGGGAGAATCACCTGAACCCTGGAGGCGAAGGTTGCAGTGAGCTGAGATCACGCCATTGCACTCCAGCACGAGTGACAGAGCAGGACTCTGTCTCAAAAAAAAATAAAAAGGCCCTTCCCCAACATCAAATCTTGTCCTCCCCCAGCCTTTCTATACCATTCCTTTCCCTCCTTGGATTTCTTTCTCACTCCAGGTTCAAAACCTATTTAGCTATGACAATCTGGAACCCTCCATCCATTGTGAACACACTTCCCTTTTCCTCCAGATCATCATCTTTTGCCTTCACAGAAGTCTGCATTTCCTCTGCAGCCCTGCAGGAGAAAAGTTGCTCACCCACACTCCACGACTCTGAGGCAGAAACGGTGGCTGGCTTGTCCCACCTCCCTCTTGTCACTTCCACATTGTTGCTTAACTCATTCTTTGAGCCAAATGCCATCCAACTGTCCTCCTGATATGGTTTGGATCTGTGTCCCTGCCCAAATCTCATGACGAATTGGACTCTCCAGTGTTGGAGGTGGGGCCTGGTGGGGGGTGATTGGATCATGGGGGTGAATTTCTCATGAATGGTCCAGCACTATGCTCTTGGTGCTGTTCTTGAGATACTGAGTTCTTGTGAGACCTGGTTGTTTGTAGCACCTCTCCCCATCTCTTTTGCTCCTGCCATGTAAGATGCCTGCTCCTGCTTTGTCTTTCGCCGTGAGTAGAAACTCCCTGAGGCCTCCCCAGAAGCAGATGCTGCCATGCTTCCTGTACAGGCTGCAAAACCGTGGTGAGCCAATTAAAACTTTTTTTTTTAATAAATTACCCAGTCTCAGGTTTTTGTTTTTGTTTTTGTTTTTGAGACAGAGTTTCGCTCTTGTTGCCCAGGCTAGAGCACAATGGCGCGATCTTGGCTCACCGCAACCTCCGCCTCCCAGGTTCAAGAGATTCTCCTGCCTCACCCTCCCTAGTAGCTGGGATTACAGGCATGTGCCACCATGCCTGGCTAATTTTGTATTTTTAGTAGAGACAGGGTTTCTTCGTGTTGATCTGGCTGGTCTCGAACTCCCAACCTCAGGTGATCCACTCGCCTCAGCCTCCCAAAGTGCTGGGATTACAGGCGTGAGCCACCGCGCCCAGCCAGGTATTTCTTTATAGCAATGTGAGAACAGATGAATACACCTTCTAAACACTAAAAACAGTCCAGTGCCCTCTCACTGAATCCCTCAAGGCCTGGCTCATGGTCTTCCTCTCCAGCTCAAGTCCTCAGAGATTTCAGCACCTAGGCACACAACTGATTGGCCTGTACTTCTTGGATATCACTAACTCCAAGAGTCTCCACCTCCACTTTACTGCGGCCACCACTCCCTGACCCACCCTGGATCTTGTCATGAATCAGACTGGGTCATGTAGAGTTCAGTATCTTCCCTTCTGGTTGCATTCTCCCATCCTTTGAGCTATCTCATGACCTCACACCCATGACAACTATATTTGACCTCCAAGAGACCCCATCCACTGGTCCTTCCATTTCCTTCAGCCTATCAGTCTTCTTGGCTGTAGGTCCAGACCCTGTAGGTGATCATATGAACTGCACCCACACCATCCTCCTTGCACTGCTATCCTACCGTACCTTCCTCTCCTGACAAATCCTTGTTATTTTCTTCCAGTCTCATTGGAGATCCTTCAAGCCAGCTCCTCAGCTTGTGCATCTCCGGAGCCCTTGTCTGTTGCGTCCTCTTTTCTTCAACTCTCTCCCACTTCTGACATTTTCCCCTTGGCCTATATATCTGTCCAGTCTACTCCATCTGACAAGAACCCTCCATAAAGCCCCTCTATCACCTTCCACTTTGGCTTCATCTCATTGTAATCTATTCATGGTGTCACCCACTTCCTCACCGCTCATTCCCCAGCCCACTGCACCCTGGCATCAGTCCTGGCCACTCCATGGAAATTGTTTTCTCCAAAGTCATAGATTCAGGCATAATTGCTGTGTAACAAATTGCAAATTACCCCAAAACTTAGAGGTGTAAAACAACCCCCCCCCACTTTTTTTTGAGATGGCGTTTCACACTTGTCACCCACGCTGGAGTGCAATAATGCAATCTCGGCTAACTGCAACCTCCACCGCCTCCCGGGTTCAAGTAATTCTCCTGCCTTAGTCTCCAGAGTAGCTGGGATCACAGGCACCCGCCACCACACCCAGCTAATTTTTTGTATTTTTTTTTTTTAATAGAGATGGGGTTTCACTATGTTGGCCAGGCTGGTCTCAAACTCCTGACCTCAAGTCATCCACCCGCCTCAGCCTCCCAAAGTGCTGGGATTACTGATGTGAGCCACCATGCCCAGCCAACAACCCTTTTTTTATGCTCATGGATTCTGAGGGCCGGGAAGTTGGATCGGCCACACAGTACAGCTCATCACTGCTCCATGGGGCCTCGTCTGGGCAGGTGACTCATCATCTGAAGGCCCATGCACTTTCATGTCTAGCACCCAGGCAAAGACTGGGTCTGCCGACCAGAGACCTATACATGGCCTGTGTGTGTGATGTGGCTTCCTCACAGTGTGGCAGCCTCAGGGTGGTCTCGCTTCTTATGTGGTGTGCTCTAGCGTTCCAGCAAACAAGGTGGAAGTGGCATTGCCTTTTATGACTCTGAAGTCATTACGACTTTTATAGCCTCAGAAGTCCTATGGCATCATTTCCTCTATGCTTCATCAGTCAAAGCAGTCACAAGCCCACCCAGAATCAAGGGGAGATCATAGAGATCCCATTTCTCTAGGGGAGAGTGAGGAGGTTGCATTGTGGAAGAGCATGTGGGATAGGAAATACTGTTGCAGTTTATCTTTGAAAAATACAATCGGCCACAGACTTCAGTGATCTTCCGGTTACTAAATCCAAGGGACATGCCTTAGCCTACTTCTGCTGCTATAGCAAAACACCTGAGACTAGGTAATGTATAAATAAAAGAAATTTATTTCTCTCAGTTCTGGAGATGGCAAAGTCTAAGATCAAAGAACTAGCAGATTTGGTTTCTGGTGAGGGTTTGGTTTTTGCTTCAAGGCCATGTCTTTAATTCTGTGTCCTCACATGGTAGAAGACATGGAGGGACAAGCAGTTCTCTTCTATCTCTTTTCAGAAGTCATTAATCCCATTCATGAGGGCTCTACCCTGAATGCTTAATCACCTCCTAAAGGCTGCCCACCTCTTAATACTATCACACTGGTGATTAAGTTTTAACATATGAATTTTAGGAGGACACATTCAGAACATAACAGGATGTTTTTTAGTTAATATCTTGATCTCTTCTGTATTTTTGTTTTGTTTTGTTTTGTTTTGTATTTTGAGACATGGTATCTCTCTGTCACCCAGGCTGGAGTGCAGTGGCACAATCTCAGCTCATTGCAACCTTCACCTCCCAGGCTCAAGTGATCCTCCCATGTCAGCCTCCTCAGTAGCTGGGACTACAGGCATGTGCCACCATGTCTGGGTAATTTTTGTGTTTTTGAAGAGACGAGGTCTCACCCGCCATGTTGCCCAAGCTGGTCTTGAACTCTTGGGCTCAAGCGATCCGCCTGCCTTGGCTTCCCAAAGTGCTGGGATTGAAGATGTGAGCCACTGCTCCCAGCCTGTATTTGTTATAATTGATCATTCCCTGCTTCAGGAAACTGTCTACCTTGTCCATGTGGGTTACCACACTCTTCCAGCTCTAGACAGACCTTTGCCTACTACCCCCCATCCCCCACTTCATGTGCACCTCTGCCTTCCTGTTAACGAGAAAGTTCTCCAAGGGTCTGTTCTCAGACCACGGCTTAGCTCACTCTTTGGCTTCTCTCCTGTAACTTAGATTGCCATCTAGATGCCATTAACTCCCAAATCTATTCCACCATAGACCTCTCTCTAACAGTCAGTCTTGTATACCCATTGGCCTGGTGGATGTGTTCAAAGACAGCTCAATTTTGGCATGTCCAGCGTTGAACTCACTAACTTCCACTCTAAACTAGCTCCTGCTCTGGTATTCTTTTTCTCCCTTAGAGATATGTAGCTGCCCAAACTTTGACACCTCCTTTTCTGTCACCTCTCACGACTAATTACTTACTAAGTCATGATCATTTTGTCTCTTAAATGTTTCTACAATTTTTAGTTGTCATCATTTTAAAATTAGAAGATTAAGAATCAAAGCCAGGTATGATGCATGCACCTATAGTCCCACCTACTCAGGAGGCTAAAGTGGGAGGATCACTTGAGCCTAGCAGTTTGAAGCCACAGTGCGCTAAGATGGTGCCTATGAACAATAGCTACTTCACTCCAGCCTGGGCAACATAGCAAGATCCCATCTCCAAAAAAAAAAAGAATTGGAGAGTCAGAAAGATTGTTATTTTCCAAGATTAAACAGCTATCATCTATTTATTCTTTTATGTGTTAATCCACCACTTATTGATTACAACTAAGTTCCAGGAACTGTAATGAAAAAGCTTGTAAGACATAATCTTTGGTCCTTTTCATGGGAGAGATAAGGAAGCAAGCACTAGATTACTATAAGGTGTGATAAATGTTGTGATCATGGGAAACATTGGATACTACAGGGGCAAGAATCCAACCTGGATGGGCTAGGCAAGGTGGCTTATCCCTGTAATCCCAACATTTTGGGAGGCCGAGATGGGTGGATCACTTGAGGCCAAGAGTTTGAGATCAACCTTGGTAACATAGTGAGACCCTGCCTCTACAAAATATTTTTTAAAAACCAAAAAACTAGGCTGGGCGCGGTAGCTCATGCCTATAATCCCAGCACTTTGGGAGGCCAAGGTGGGCAGATCACCTGAGGTCGGGAGTTCGAGACCAGCCTGACCAACATGGAGAAACCCCATCTCTACTAAAAATACAAAATTTGCCAGGCGTGGTGGTGCATGCCTGTAATCCCAGCTACTCAGGAGGCTGAAGCAGAATAGCTTGAACCTAGGAGGCAGAGGTTGCGGTGCGATTGCACTCCAGCCTGGGCAACAAGAGTGAAACTCCGTCAAAAAAAAACAAAAAAACCCAAAAAACTAGCCAGGCATGGTGGCTCATGCCTGTAGACCCAGCTACTTGGAAGGCTGAGGTTGAGAGGATCACTTGAGCCTGGGAAGTTGAGACTGTAGTGGGCCATGATTGCACCACTGCACTCCAGCTTGGGCAACAGAGAGATCCTGTCTCAGAAACAAAAAACAAAACAACAACAACAAAATCCAACCTGGAATGGGAGGGAGGAAAGTTGGGGTTGTATTAGTTTTCTATTGTGTTATAACAAATTACTCCAAATTTTATCTGCCTAAAACAATAAATATGTATTAGCTCAAGTTTCTGTGGGTCAGAAATCTGGTACAGCTAAGTTGGGTGCCTCAGGCTCAGGGTCTTCCAAGACTGTAATCAACGTGTCAGCTGGGGTTCCGATCATCTCACTGCGTGATCAAAGGAGGTTTCACCCTGAAGACACTCACTTGGCTGTTGGCAGGCTTCAGATCCTCACTGGCTATTGGCTGAAGTTGTCATTTTCTTGCCACGTGAGAGCAAGAGCTTTGAGAGAAAGAGAAAGAGAAGAGAGGGAGCTCAAGCTAGAAGCCAGTCTTTCTGTAACATCATCTTGTAACATCCCATCACTTTTGCCACATTCTGTTTTTTAGAAGTGAATAGCTAGATCCAGCTCATACTCAAGGGGAGGAGATTACACAAGGGCATGAACACCAGAAGGAGAGATCACTGGGGGCCATCTCAGAGACTATAAGAGAGACCAAAGGAGATGACTTACAGCAGGTGATGTCTGAACTAGACTCTGAAGGAGTTAGCTAGGTGAAGAGTTACAGGACTGTCTTAGCAGAGAACGCTATGTGTGAAGTAATCTGGAAGGGAGAGAGTCTGAGGCTGGAGGAATTCCACGCTCAGTAAGGCTGGAGGATAGGCTGCCGTCTATGTGGAGACTGGAGGTAAGTTGATGCTGTTGAGATGCATTTGACAGCTAATTCTGTCATCCAATGGTGCCTCCCAAGTTAATGTCAAATTCCTTGCTTAATATGCTCTGGTTCACTCTGCTTTTGCCAGGTTTTAAATTGTTAATCAACATTAAATGTTTCATGTACACACAAATAAATATATATAATCAAATTATCAAATAAAAAATTGAACTTACAACCTCTTTCCTATTTACAAAAATGGTTAGAGCAGTTTTTCAGTAGAGCACATTTATAAATCATTACAAATGTGAAAAGCATGACTAGAATTTTCAGTTATCGGTGGGTGGAAATCCCCTGACACTTTGGAATATATTTATTTACTTTTTTTTTTTTTTTTTTTGAGAGAGGGTCTTGCTCTGTCACCCAGGGTGGAGTGCAGTAGCACGATCTCAGCTCACTGCAGCCTCCACCTCCCAGGTTCAAGTGATTCTCCTGTCTCAGCCTCCCGAGTAGGTGGGATTACAGGCATCTACCACCACACCAGCTAATTTTTGCATTTTTAGTAGAGACGGGGTTTCTCCATGCTGGCCAGGCTGGTCTCAAACTCCTGACCTCAGGTGATCTGCCTGCCTTGTCCTTCCAAAGTGCTGGGATTACAGGCGTGAGCTACCGCACCCAGCCTTATTTACTGTTTTATTTTTTTGAGATGGAGTCTCACTCTGTTGCCCAGGCTGGAGTACAGCGGCACAATCTCAGCTTACTGCAACCTCTGCCTCCTGGGTTCAACAGATTCTCCTGCCTCACCTTCCCAAGAAGCTGGGACTACAGGTGTGTGCCACCACACCCAGCTACCCAGCTAACTTTTGTATTTTTAGTGGAGATGGGGTTTCACCATGTTGGCCAGGCTGGTCTCAGACTCCTGACCTCAGGTGATCCACCTGCCTTGGCCTCCCAAAGTGTTAGGATTACAGGCATGAGCCACCGTGCCCAGCTATTTACTTTTTTAAATAAAATTTTACATTCAACTATAACACTCATAGAAAAGCACACAAATAATAAAGGTACGACTCAATGAATTTTCACTAAGGAAAATATCATCTAGATTTTTAAAATAGAACATTGTCACTCCCAGTCTCCCCTTGTGCCACTTTCCAGTCACAAACCCTCTCTCTTCCCCAGAGATAATCACTACCCTGACTTCTGTTATCACAGGGTAGTTTTGCCTGTTTGAACTTTATGTGAATGGAATCATACAGTCCATACTCTTTGTGTTTGGAACTCATCATTTATTTTTGTGAGACTCATACACGTTCCTGCATGTAGTAATAGTTGGTCCATTTCACTGCTCTATAGGATTCCATTGACTAGACTACCATGTATGTAGCTATTCAACAGTGACTAGAACTTTAAATTGTTTCCAGTTTGAGGGAATTATGGATAGTACTGCTATAACCATTCATGATTATGTCCCATAGTGTACACATGTACACATTTCTGTTGAGTCTATGCCTAGGAGTGGAATTGCCAGGTCATAGGTATATGTATATTCATGTTTAGTAGATACTGACAGTTTTCCAAGATAGTTGCACTAATTTACACTCCCAGGAGCAATGTGAGTTCCATTTGCTCTACCCCTACATCCTTGCCAGCACTTCATATCTATATTTTTATTATAAGCTATTCTGAAGAGTATGCAGTGATATCTTATTGAGGCTTAATTTGCATTTCCCTAATAACTAATGATGTTGAGCAATTTTTCATATGACTCACCTTTTAAATATATTCTTTTGTGAAGTGTTTGTTTATACCTTTGCTCATTTCTCTCTTGGGTTGTCTTTTTCTTATTGCTTTGCAGACATTCTTTATATATTGCACGAATTTACTAGGGCAGCCAGACAACCATAATAAAGTACCACAAACTGGATGACTTGAATAACAGAAATGTATTTTCTCAAAGTTCTGGAGCCCAGGAGTCTGAGACCAAGGTGCTGGCAGAGTTGGTTCCTTCTGAGGGCTGTGAGGGAGAATCTGCCCTGGCTTCTGAGGGTTAGCTGGCCATTTTTGGTATTCCTTGGCTTATAGATCTCTACCTTCATCTTTACATGGGCTTCCCCTGTGTGCGTGTCTCTGTGTCCAAATTTTCCCTTTTATGAGGACACCAGTTATATTGAATTAGTGATGGTAGCAGCTGCTGGCATCACGCTCGCTGCAGCTGCCCAAATCATGGCTGCAGACCCAGGCCTCCTGCTCTATGGATCAGGAAGGAGCCCCGCCCTCCTGAGTGGGGCTGCAGCTGCCCAAACTGCGGCTGTGGATCTGAGCCTGTGCTCTTGGTGGGGGTCCCGGGAGCAGGCAGGATCTGCCCTCCTGGGTGCAGCTACAGCTACCCGACCAGCAGCTGCAGACCTGGGCTTCCCGCTCCACAGAGCAGACAGAAGCCAGAGACAAACAGGAGCCCCGCCCCTTACGAGTTGGCCGGGGCGGGAGCTCCCCTGGCTGCTCTCCCAGGCACAGGACCTGGGCATCTCTGTAGCCTGCACCCTCTGGTCCTGGGGAGACGACCTCCACCCCCACACATCATCCCTGCAGACTCAGGGGTGTCTGCTCCCACTGCCTGGCCTCTCTCCACTCCTGCTGCCGGCTCAGATCTTGGAGCAGGGTTGGGGCTGAGCCTCGAGTCCGTGAATGGCAACGGGAGGGAGACAGAGTCCTGGGCGGAATGGGGCGCGTCCCTGGTAAGGCCCCGCCTTCAGGCCAGAGGCTTCCAGTCCCACCGACCAGACCGGAGTGAGGACTCATGGTGCCTCTTCCAGGCCTGCCCATGGCCGCCCATGGACCATTTGGCATGCATTTCTTCCCCTCCAAGGTCCATAAAAGCCCCGGGCTTAGCTAGAGCAAGAGAGGAGGGAGAGAACGGAGAGAAGAAGGCACAGGAAGACCAGCTGCAGAGAGGAGCTACCCTCTCTGCTGAGAGCTTCAGAGACCTGCAGAGACATCCGGACTACCAGCTGCAGACAGGAGCAACCCTCTCCAGGGCCTCCTCTCTGCTGAGAGCAGCAGACGTCGGGATAACCTGCCTACAGAAAGGAGCTACCCACTGTGGGTCTCCTCTGAGCCGTTCTAACACTTAATAAAGCTCATCTTCATCTTGTTCACCCTTCACTTGTTTGCATATCTCATTCTTCCTGGACACAGGACAAGAACTCAGGCTGGCCACAGAGGTTTCCAGCCAGAAAATTGACACCTCAAAGATTCTGTAACATTAGGGCCCACCCTACTCAAGTATGACTTTATCTTAACTAATTACATTTGCAATTACCCTATTTCCAAATAAGGTTGCATTCTAATGTACTGGGGGTTAGGACTTGGACATATGAATTTTCGGTGGGCACAATTCAACCCATAACACATATGTTTTGAAAATCTTCTGGCTGGGCATGGTGGCTCATGCCTATAATCCTAACACTTTGGGAGGCTGAGGCGGGCAGATCACTTGAGCCCAGTTCAAAACCAACCTGGGCAACATGGCAAAACTGTGTCTCTACCAAAAAAATACAAAAATAAGCCAGGCATGGTGATGTGTGCCTGTAGTCCCAGCTACTCAGGAGGCTGAGGTGGGAAGATCGCTTGAGCCCCGGAGGTGGATGTTGTAGTGAACTGTGATCGTGCCACGCATTCCAGTCTGGGCAACAGAGCCAGACCCTGTCTCAGGAAAAAAAAAAAAAAAAAGGAAAAAATAAAAAATATTCCAGTGCTTTGCTGTTATATTCTTTTTTTTTTTTTTTTTTTTGGACAGAGTATTGCTCTGTTGCCCAGGCTAGAGTGCAGTGGCATGATCTCAGCTCACTGCAACCTCCACCTCCTGGGTTCGAGCAATCTCCTGCCTCAGCCTCCCGAGTGGCTGGGATTACAGGCGCCCACCACCGCGCTCGGCTAATTTTTGTATTTTTAGTAGAGACGGGGTTTCACCATCTTGGCCAGGCTGGTCTCGAACTCCTGACCTCATGATCCACCCACCTCAGCCTCCCAAAGTGCTGGGATTACAGGCATGAGCCACCAGGCCCGGCCGCTGCTGTTACATTCTCTTAATGGTGTTGTAGTACATTAAAGATGGCAATAAATTCTTTTTCACTCTCTCCATTGAGAGTTGGTGTTTATTACCTCCTCCCTTGACAAAAAGCTTGTCTTATGACTGATTAACCAATAAAAACATGTTGCAAGTGATCCTGTGTTAGTTCTGGGTCTAGCCTTGAGAGAAATGCAGATTCCATTTGTTCCCTCTTGAAAGGCTTGTTCTTGGAACGTTCACTCTTGGGGCCCCAGGCTGTGAGAAGCCCAAACCACACAGACAGGCCATGTGTAGGTGCTCCTGAGTCAACAGCCCCAGCTGAGCTCCTGGTCAGTAACCAGCATTAGTCAACCAGCCATGTGAAAAAACCATCATGGACATTCCACCCCAACTGAGCTCAACCACAGCCATCACCTCCTCGGGACATTGAGATTTCTGCACTTCCACTTTTAGGTTGTGCCAGAGAATGACCCAGGGAACCACTCTCACCACACAGCAGTGCACATAGGTGAATCGGGGTTGAGGCGCCCACTGGCCCAGCTCCGGGAGCATTGCGTGGGCTCGGACTGCTGAGATAGTGGCGCCTCTGGGCTGATGTGCGTTTTTCTAGGTGAGGAGCTCAAAGGGCCTAAGCGAGTGTGGCAGTGAAATCAGCGGTGGCAGAGGCAGAAAGGCTGCCGTGTCACTAGACAGAATTTCTGTGCTGGCTGGGCTCGCCAGGAAACATGCATAGAGAGTTACGGTTGGGGAAGTTTATCAGGAACAGCCCCTGTGAAAGAAAGGCAGAATTGGGCAGGGAGAGCTGTCAAATGGCGATGCTCTGAGCAGACTGTCCAGAAAGGAATCCTGCCTTGAGGGGAAATGGTGAGGCCTCATTCCACCTCTTTGCTCAGTCATTGCCTGAGAGCTGCCCAGAGGCCACGGAGACCTCAGCCAGACAGATGAAGGGGTGTGCTGGAGCCAGCTTGCTCTGGCTCGCAATAGCTGATTGTGAAATTTTCAGGAATTTTATGAGCCAGTTGTTAAAGACAGTCATTATTACAAATTAAATTATGTAAAATTACAATTGAATAAAATATATTAAAAACAAATCTAATACAGATGGCAAATAAGCACATGGATAGATATTCAAGATCATTAACCATTAGGGAAATACAAACGAAAGCTATGTTTAGATATCTCTAAACACTGATGGCTAAAGTTTTTTAAAACATTGATAATAACAAGTGCTGAAAAGGATGAGGGGCAACCAGATCTCTTGTACATTGCTGATGGCAGTGTAAAATGGTACAGCCATGGCTGGGCATGGTGGCTCACGCCTGTAATCCCAGCACTTTGGGAGGCTGAGGCGAGTGGATCACCTGAGGTCGGGAGTTCAAGACCAGCCTGATCAACATGGAGAAACCCTATCTCTACTAAAAATACAAAATTAGCCTGGTGTGGTGGCGCATGCCGGTAATCCCAGCTACTCAGGAGGCTGAGGCAGGAGAATCTCTTGAACCCAGGAGGCGGATGTTGTGGTGAGCCGAAATTGTGCCATTGCACTCCAGTCTGGGCAACAAGAGTGAACTCTGTCTCAAAAAAAATAAATAAATAAATAAAAGGTACAGCCACACTGGAAAATTTGGTAGCTTCTTTTCCTTTCTTTTCTTTTCTTTTCTTTTCTTTCTTCTTTCTTTCTTTTCCTTTCTTTCCTTTCTTTCCTTTCTTTCTTTCTCCTTTCTCCTTTTCTTTTTTTTTTTTCTTGACAAGGTCTTGCTCTGTCGCCCAGGCTGGAGTGCAGTGGCACAATCTCAGCTCACTGCAACCTCTGCCTTCCGGACCCAAGTGATCCTCCCATGTTAGCCTCACCACCATGCCTAGCTAATTTTTGTTTTTGTTTTTTTGAGAAGGAGTTTCACTCTTGTAGCCCAGGCTGGAGTGCAGTGGCGTGATCTCGGCTCACTGCAACTTCTGTCTCCTGGGTTCAAGCGATTCTCCTGCCTCAGCCTCCCAAGTAGCTGGGATTACAAGAACCTGCCACCATGCCCAGCTAATTTTTGTATTTTTAGTAGAGATGGGATTTCACCATGTTGGCCAGGCTGGTCTCGAACTCCTGACCTCAGGTGATCTGCCCACCTTGGCCTCCCAAAGTGCTGGGATTATAGGCGTGAGCCACCATGCCCAGCCTGCCTGGCTAATTTTTGTATTTTTTGTAGAGACAGAGTTTCTCCATGTTGCCTAGGCTAGTCTCGAACTCCTGGGTTCAGGGGATCCTCCCACCTCAGCCTCCTAAAGTGCTGGGATTATGGGCATGAGCCACTGCGCCCAGATCGGTAGTTTTTTATAAAGTTGTACATACATTTATCATACGAGCTAGCAGTCTCACTCCTGTGTATTTATCCTAAAGAAACGAAAATTTATGCTCACACAAAAACCTGTACAGTGTTCTAGACATAAGAAAGTAAATGAGAAAGGTTAATATTGCATACTAAATTTAAAAGTGTGCCATGTCTGTACATTGTAAATAGTACAAAATATTGAGGGATATTCTAGTATTTGAAAACAGTTATCTGATTCACAAAGAAGTCACTCATGCTATTGAATAATGAAGTTCCCAATATACACCTTTGTTCTTTTACTTTCATTTTAATCCTTAATGTAAACAAAAATACCAATCAGTGTTCATGTCAGAATCATACCTGATATATGTTGAATAAGGAGTCTTTAAACAGAAATACAGGTAAAACAATGTTAGATATTAATGGGCTGATGAAAATGTAACCAGAGGCCCTCAGGAACCTTATTCTGTATTTCCTCTAAGAGCAATGGTTCAATATTCACGATTTCAGTGTTTGAAGCCACTTTATAGAACTTATAGAACTACAGAGAATACTGAGAACCCACTGTATATATGCACACATTTCTCCCTGCTAAGAGCTGTTTTTTTTTTTTTTTTTTTTGAGACGGAGCCTCGCTCT
This sequence comes from Homo sapiens, assembly GCF_000001405.40. Lineage (NCBI taxonomy): Eukaryota > Metazoa > Chordata > Mammalia > Primates > Hominidae > Homo > Homo sapiens. The sequence continues at coordinate 62,323,234 of NC_000001.11, read as the reverse complement.
TGTTACCCAGGCTGGAGTGCAATGGCACGCTCTTGGCTCACCGCAACCTCCGCCTCCCAGGTTCAAGCAATTCTCCTGCCTCAGCCTCCCGAGTAGCTGGGATTACAAGCATGCACCACCACGCCCAGGTAATTTTGTATTTTTAGTAGAGATGGGGTTTCTCCATGTTGGTCAGGCTGGTCTTGAACTCCCGACCTCAGGTGATCCACCAGCCTCAGCCTCCCAAAGTGCTGGGATTACAGGTGTGAGCCACCGCGCCCAGAGAGCTGGTTGTTAAACATTACCAATACACCACTGACTGCAGGAGCTCACCACACTGGGGGCTGCCAGCAAACCACATGGCTGCAGCCTGGCAGTCCTGTCTTAAAGTGGGATCTGAGTGATACATCTCCATGTTGGCCCCAATTTCCAAGCCTACAGTTAGAGAGGTTTATATTTGGGTCACAAAGATGTAAGTTTGAATCCTACCTCCCCAATTTACTAGTTGTGTGTCCTCAGGCAAGTAACACTGTGCCTCAGATCCTCAATAAGAGAATAGCTATTTCGGTTTTGTTGTGAGTCCCAGTGAGATTGTGTCATGTATGTGAAATGCCAGTACATGGTAGATAGTGTGAAAGGAAAATATCTTGGGTCCCCAAAATCACTAAGGAAAACTCAAGCTGGAAACTGCTTAGGGCAAACCTGCCTCCCATTCTATTCAAAGTTATCCCTCTCCTCACTGAGATGGATGCATATCTGATTGCCTCCTTTGGAAAGGCTAATCAGAAACTCCAAAGAACGCATCTGTGACCTGGAAGCTCCCTCCCACTTCACTTAGAGTCTTCCTGCCTTTGCTTCAAGTTGTCCCACCTTTCAGACCGAACCAACGTACTTCTTACAATATTGATTGATGTCTCATGTCTCCCTAAAATGTATAAAACCAAGCTGTGCCCCGACCACCTTGGGCACATGTCATCAGGACTTCCTGAGGCTGTGTCACAGGCACGTCCTCAACCTTGGCAAAATAAACTTTCTAAATTAACTGAGAACTGTCTCAGATTTTCTGGGTTCACAAAAGTGACTAGTATTAATCCTCCTACACATGACCCCAAACTCCAGTAAAGGCACAGAGATGCCCCATTCTGTCTGCTGCTCAGTCCTTCGATTACGGAGGATCAGACTGCAGTAGCATTGTGCCCAGTCATTCTAAATCAGTTTTCAACACGAGTACTCACTCCGTCTGAAAGGCCCAGGCTGGGTCCTGCAGTGGAGATGCCCAAACCTGAGATTTTAGAGATCTGCTGCCTGAAAAAGTTTCCCTCTTTCCAGGACCATACAAGGGGCCCCCTTACAGTCTAACTCCTGATGCTTTCCTGTCATGACAGGAATAGTAAGCAATGTTCTTGCTGGTGTCTCGGTGTCTGGGGCTTCTGGTTTTGTGTGGGGTGGGGAGGTGGGGGGGGAGTGGGGGTGGGGATAGAGGATTTGCTTAGTCTGTTTTTCTCCCAGTTTCTCAATACCCTAACCTGGGCTTCAGAAGCCCAGGCTGTCCCAGTTCAGATCTTGCTTTCTCTGACTCAGCTTTACCCTCAAGACACAGTCTCATCTCTGAGTCATCAGACTGGTCTCCTGCTTTCGAGGACAGCAGTCTGGCACTCCCGCTCCATCTTCCCAGGAAAGGTGCTGTCTCCACACCCCAGTCCCAGCCCCATGCCTAACTTGGCTCACAATACCCAGAACCAAGAAACAAATTCTCCATGAGATCAGAGAATGCCCAGAGAAAAGGTTCCAGGACCAGGAGTTGTGGAATGTCTGGTTTCAGTTCCAGCTCCACCAATTTGCTTGTGTGACTTTGGGCCAGTTCTGGAGCCCACCTGAACTGGGCTTCCTCTTCCCTAAAATGGAAATATGATCCACACTGGGTCTATCCCACAGGGATGTTGGGAAGCCCAAATGAAAATAGTGTGAAGTGCCCCCAAACAGGAGAGCACAAACCCCTGGCCTGTAGGCTGGATCTGATCCATAAAGCCATTTCCTTTGGCTTGAACAGTGTTGACCTATGTAGAAAGTGTTTAGCATTATACAAATGAGCTCCTAACAAATTTGGGGCCTTCACTTAAATATCTGACTTATGGCTTTTTTTTTTTTTTTGAGACGGAGTCTTGCTCTGTCACTTAGGCTGGAGGGCAGTGGTGCGATCTCGGTGCACTGCAATCTCTGCCTCCTGGGTTCAAGTGATTCTCCTGCCTCAGCCTCCTGAGTAGCTGGGATTACAGGCACGCACCACCACACCTTGCTAATTTTGTATTTTTAGTACAGATGGTTTCACATGTTGGCCAGGCTTGTCTCAAACTCCTGACCTCAGCTGATCCACCCACCTTGGCCTCCCACAGTGCTGGGATTACTGGCGTGAGCCACCGTGTCCGGCTGATGGCTTCTTTTTCAAAATGGGAGGATCTGGCCACATGAATCCCTTTCCCTAGATGACAAAATAGACTGAGCTGAGTAGCAGCAGCCCCTTCCCTTGGGCAAGAACCTGGAGCTGCTATCAAGCTCACCACAGTCCCCACCACTCCCTACTATGTCCCAACACTGGGACCAAGTCTCTGCTGCCATTTATTATTGCTCTGGGATATTGATTTGCTCCAGTGGAGCTCTAGTGGAAGTGAAATCGTTCAAATAACCATATTTCTATAAAAACGTAAAATGAAAGTCCTAGAAAGTACTCCCCCATCTGGGTCACAATGTCAAAAACGAAACCCCTTTGCCTAAGTGTTAGCCCTTGCCAATGGGCCCATGAAGGATGCCCATTGTGGGGGTCAGAGCTGGCATCCGGAGTCTTACGGGGTCCACGGCCCTCTACTTGCCTATCTCTGTTGTCTTCATCTGTAAAGGAGGAGTAGCAGCAGCTCCTTTTTCCTAGGGTTAGGGTGCACAACGCCCACCAGGCACTTAGTGAACTGTTCATTCAAGGTTAGCGGTTGAAACGCAAACATTTTGAACTGATAAAAAACTCTGGTGGGCCGGGCGCCGTGGCTCATGCATGTAATCCCAGCACTTTGGGAGGCCGAGGTGGGCGGATCACCTGACGTTCGAGACCCGCCTGGCCAACATGGTGAAACCCCGTCTCTACTAAAAATACAAAAGTTAGCTGGGCGTGGTGGTGTGCGCCTGTAGTCCCAGCTACTCGGGAGGCTGAGGCAGGAGAATCGCTTGAACCAGGGAGGCGGAAGTTCCAGTGAGTCGGGATCGCGCCACTGCTCTCCAGCTTGGCCATAGAGCGAGATTCCGTCTCAAACAGCAACAACAACAACAAACCTTTGGTGGGAGGTCGGAGTGTGAAATGAAAGACTTAGGGTTCCTGAGTGGGACTACAGCAAGGATTGGGAAGAAAAAAAGGAGATGGAAAAAGACGATTTAGGAGAGGTAAAAGTTCTGTTACTAGGACCCCAGCCCTCACTGGCCCACATCCGCTGGCGAGGACCTAACTTACTGCACCCAGCTTCCCAGTGGCCAGACCTAGGTTCCAGTCCTGGCTGGGGCAAGTCATTACCTTGTCTGGTGCTGTTTCTGCACCTATCAAATGAGGATGGAAATGTCTAGATGAACCGAGATAAACGCATACGAAAGCACTTTGGGAATCTGAAAAGCGCTATGAACAGGTTAGGAGTTTTTGGTCTCTTTTCAAAAAGTTTTTCTTCTAAGCTCATGTTTATCAAGGGCTTTTGAGTTTATCGAGGCTAAGACCCTCCCCTCGGTTTCGCAATTCTGCCCCTTCCTACACACCAAAGTCCGCGCCGCGTCAGGAGTCTTTTTTTTCTCCCCTAGCGAAGGCGGGGACTCGGGCGCTGTTGGCAGCTGGCGACGCGGGGCGAAGCCGCGGCTGGCGGCGCCTGGCCAGTCCCGCATCCGCCGCGGTGGGTGTGCCCGCAGGGGTGCGCCGGGGCCAGGGCCGAGACCGTCGGCCAGAGGGCGCCTGGAGGGTGTGCGCGCCGCGGACGACCAGGGTGCGCCAGCCCCGGGGTGCGCGCCTGGGACGCGGACAGTGCACCCGGAGGTTGCGTGCGCTCCGAAGCCGGGGTGTGCGCCTAGCTGCCCCGGCCCCGTGCACCGCGGGCCGCCTCGCGCAGGACTTCCGCAGCTCGCCAAGGTAAGGGACTCTGCGACCCCAGTCCCCCGCAGTGCGTCTGCTGGGGTGTTCAACACCCGCCCTGCGCGACCCGAGTGTTGGCCCCGGCGCTCGACCACTCTCCTCTTGCCTCTGCCACCCGCCTCGCCCAGTCCCCAGCGCCGCGTCCCCGGCTCCCTTTAAAGCAGTGGCTGCGGCAGCTTGGGCCGACCTGGCGCCCCCGCCTCCCAGCCTGGGGTCTGCGACAGAAAAGGAGCGGGGCTGCTCGGGCTGCCCAAAGGTGGGCGCCGCTCCCTTTCCAGCCCAGATTGGCTCTCCGCGCCCCAATTCTGGGGGTGGAGAACACTGGTGAGGAGGGGGAGGCCGTGCTGTCCTTGCGACTCAGGTGGTGCAGCCCCCGCCCAGCTTTTCCGAGCTAGGCGCTGCGGTCTGGGATGCAGCCTGCGGGACTGGGCGTTCTTTGCCGCGGGCTCCCACTGCTACCTGGAATCGAGCTCTTAGTCTCTCTCCTGTCGCAAAAGTCTCCCCGTAGTGCCAACCCTGGCACTCCTCGGCCCCTGGCTGAACTTTCCAGGGCTCCCTTTGGGCCGCGACCTTGGGCGGAGGCAATGGGGCAGCTCCGAGTGCTCTAGACGCCGCCGAGGGCGCTTTGCCCAGCCCGCATGCCTCCTGTGGGCTCCTTTCCCTTCTGCCTCTCCGGTAAGGTCAAATCTGTGACTGGGTACTTTGACCCCGCAGACTGGCCAGAAATGGGAGTTGGAAAGTCGAGCCCATGGCCGCTACGCTGGGTCTGAACCTAACTCTTGCCCTGGGCATCCTTCGGGGCTGCCAAACTCAAGTCTTAGTTCCTAAGCGCCCTGGAGTGCAAGCCTTTAGGGCAAAGAGGGAGTATTTTCCAGGAGAGGGAGGAGGACCCCCTGAGGCCTGGGCAAAGTCCTATCTACCAAATAGGGCCAGAGGAGGATCAGATGCAGCCAGTGACCCGGCTGAGGCATGGGGAGAAAGCATCTTGAGTTAAACACGATTCCCAAGGACCTGCTTGGGTAAATCAAGCCCAGGTTGCTTAGAGCCTCTCAAAATGTGACACAGGAAAGCTACACTGGGAATGGAGGCAGAGTCCGTTCTAATACTGCCTTTTCAAGCCCAGCCTTCCCACTTCACTGGACCATAATGTGACCTGGGGAAAGTGAGTTTTGGGGAATGGCTCGGGGATCAGACCAGACTGATTCAATCAACAAATGCTCTGTGCCAGGCACTGGTCAACGTAGTGAGGTACAGAAGTGAACAAAACTGGCACCTTCTGGCCTCATGGAGCTTGCATTCCAGTGGCCAACACCAACAGGAATTAAATCACTCACATAAATAGAGAATTCTCCAGTGCTGAGTTCTTTGAAAGGACTAGATACCCTGAAAACCTGATAGGTCCAGTAGTCGGTCAGTCTGCAGAATGACAGGAGAGAGTGGAATGAGCCTTCTAGGCAGAAGTAGCCGCGTGTGAGAGGGCCTAAGGTGAGTAGCAGAGTGGGTTAGAGGAACTGAAAGCCTCTGTTGGCTGAGTTACTACCAGGGGCCCAAATGGGCAGTCCTTTAGTTGTGCATCCCATTGACTGGTCCAGTCAGTGCCTTCCTTTCTGAACTGTAATAATGAGCAGTTGGAAGTCCCCTGGCTAGATCATAGTGTGGGGAGAAGGAGAGAGATAGACCAATAGCACCTTGCTGGACTCACTGCCCCATGTGTGCACCTTGGTCAGACAGCCCATGCCTGCTCGTGGTGCCAAGAGCAGCGAGCGGTTCATTCCCTAATGTCCATTCAGCTCACAGTGAACCAAAGCCTCTGCCCAACATTTAGGGAGATTTGTGCTAGGAGTGGTGGCTCATCCTAGACTTTTAAAACTAGAAAGAACTTGCTGACAGTGTAAAATTCCTTAGGGTGGCATACATGGCATTTCCTCATCTGGGCCCTACCTGCCTTCCCAGCCTCACTTCTGGCTCTAACACTTTCCCGGCCCCTTGCAATGAGCACCTTCAATATGTTCAGCACAATTATGCTTCAAGTGGTTCCTGGGCCACGCGTTGCCTTTGCACATACTACTACCCTTGGTCTGAAATATTATTCTTGCCCACCCAGTGAATGCACTCTTAGCTTTGAACTTCGGCATTAAACATAAGGTTTTTTCCCCTGCAGAAGGCCCTTCCTGACAAGATAGAGGCAAATGCTGCTTTCTCTTTGTTCCTAAAGCTCCCTGGACATGCTTCTGTCACAGCAAACATCAGCTACACTGAGCACCTTAAAAACAGGGCTCTCCAAGTACCTAGCACAGAGCAGGGCACATAGAAGGTGTTCAAAAAATGCTTGTTGGATGGAAACTGTCCTGTCCAGTATTTCTTAACTTTTTTATATGGGGAGGGGATGGTGGTTATTGCATATATCTTTGAGATTCTGATGAAAATTATGGATACTCTCCTCCAACTGCATAAAACCTAAAATATCTTGCATACAATATTACATGATTCACACCTCCCTGCTCCATTAACCCATTTCCAAAACTTTGGACTTCAATTTTACAGAAAATGGATGCTCAGTGAGGTGCGATGACTGCCTAAGTACCCACAGCTGGCTATGAGTAGGGATTCCTAAGCTCCTGACTTGCAGTTTAAAGCTCCTTCCAGCTCTGTCTGCTTCTCTTAGCCAAGCAGCCTCTTTTCGTTCCTGGTACTTTATGAAGGCCACTGCTCATGGCTGGAAGATGGATATCTTGGTTTTGCTTCAGTTCAGTAGCAGCCTAAGGTGTGACAGGGAGAAAAATATTATGGGCAGAGTTGACAATTAGGAAGACAGATGGGCCCTCTCCCTGGCCTGTTCACCGCCCTTTGCCTGCAATATTATTACATCTGTTTTAGCTGGAGGAGGGTCACTTGTGCTTCACAGTTACCTCCTGGGTCCTGGATTGGGCCATGTGGGCCAGACTGGGGGACGCCCTTGGTGGACCATTGAGATCAGAGGCCCAGCTATTGACCTTGTCAAAGGTTTCTTCCTGCAGAACAGGCTAAGGAGAGAACGGGGTTCTTGCTTGCTGCTACCAGAGCTCTTGCCTGCCTGGCCCCTTTCTTAGCAGATTGGGATTTTCATTGATTCAGGAATTCACCCATTCTTTGAAACTGCATTGAGCCTCTGCTCTGTGCCAGGACCCGTGCTGATTCCAGTTTACAAGACAGGGCCATGGAGTATGTGCTTGTGCACTCGTGGCTCTGCTCTGCAGGGGGAAGGGAAGAGGCAACTTTTACTCCTAGTTCAACCTGCACTTCGGTAGGTATGGTGGGGAGGATATTTAGGACTTCTTAGTGCTGAGAATATGCTTACTTTTATTTATTTATTTTTGAGACAGGATCTCACTGTTACCTAGGCTGGAGTGCAGTATCATGAACATGGCTCACTGCAGCCTCCACCTATATACTTACTTTTAAAACTCTGATGTTGTGCAAGTTATGTCATCTGTGGGCGGGGGGACTCAATTTTCCTATCTGTACAATGGGTTTGAGAACAATCCTTTCTTGCCAATTTCTGGATGATGGCGTGGATACAGTTATCACAGAGCCACTCGATTGTGTGTGAAACAGGAACAGTACAATATCATAATGTACATGTGTGTCGATCCCTGGCATAGTCAAGCCTCACCCTTATCCTAGAGTTAGTTACTGCCATAATCCCCAATGTGTAGGTAAGGAAATCGAGGCTCAGAGAGGTTAAGTGACTTGCCCAGGGTCATGGTCCATATTAAATGACCATAAAACTGGGATTTCACAGAGCCCTCTGTCTTTGGAGATCAGACGGCTAACCACTTTGTGCTACACTGTAGTAGAGTTTGTGGGAAGAGGCATGGGTTTGGAGGTCAGTGTATCCTGGGATTGGAGCCTAGATTCACCGCCAAGCAGCTGTGTGATTTACAGCTGGTCCATAACCTCTCTGTGCCTCAGGACGCCAATCTCCCAGACCAAGTTTGGACTAAGAGGCTTCTAATGGGCCTTTCTGTGAACAGCCTGCAGTCTACACAGATAATATTTCAAAGTAGGATTAAAGGAGAGAAAAGGGGCCCTCCGGCTAAAAACAGGGCTGTCACAGTTTCCAGGATAAAATAAATGCTGTCCAAGATTTAAAGTACGTAGATGGTGAATGTGATACATGGGCAGTTATAGATTGGTGGCGTCTGAAGAAGCTGGCCGAGCGTTCCTTCTCCAAGAGAAAGAAGTCCTGTTTTCAAAAGGATCACTTCACTGTCTCGCCCAGGCCCTGGGCTCTGCCCCCTCAAATAGCTTTCTGGAGACACAGGCATTGTGGGAGAAAACACAAATCCCAGTTCCATCACTCTCCTCATTTTTTCCCCAAAAGTAAATAAAACTTGTTGGTTGGATAGATTTTTTTTTTTTTTAATGTGGCTGTGGCTTTTCCCCCTTTGCATGGAAGGATCCTTTGTGTCTGCAGAGTTTCCTTTGGTATGTATTTCTAATTTGTGGCTCTGACGTCAAATGACAAGGGGGGAGAGAAATACAGCATAGGGAGAATTTGCTCCACACAAGGATAAAAGAGCAGCCTTCGGTGCCGATTCCCCTCCACATCCTGGTTTCTGCCCAGCAGCCCGGAGACGCCAGCTCTCGGTGCCATCGATTTGGATGTTCCTAGCAGGGCACCAGGCAGCAGGGCTGAGTGTTTTCAGGCGCTGCGCTCAGTTCATCGGTGTTTCCCACCCCGCTCTCCCTTCTGCCTTGGAAAATGTAGCCATCCTACTCCTGGGGAAAGGTTTAAAAGACAGAATGGAGGCTGGGCGCAGTGGCTCACACCTTAATGCCAGCACTTTGGGAGGCTGAGGCAGGCCAATCACCTGAGGTCAGGAGTTCGAGACCAGCCTGGCCAACATGGAGAAACCCCATCTCTACTAAAAATACAAAAATTAGCTGGGCATGGTAGCACATGCCTGTAATCCCAGCTACTCAGGAGGCTGAGGCAGGAGAATCGCTTGAACCCAGGAGGCAGAAGTTGCAGTGAGCCGAGATCGCGCCACTGTACTCCAGCCTGGGCGGCAAGAGCAAGACTTCATCTCAAAAACAAAACAAATCAAAACAAAACAAAACAAAAAGACGGAATGGCAAGTTCGGTAGTGGCTGAATATAATAGTGTGGTCAGGGTCTACAGTTATTAGGTACGACGTTGAGTATGAATGGGGAGGGCATTTTATCAATGTTTAAATTTAAAAAAAAATTTATTATTTTACTTTTAGCTTGGGGATACATGTGCAGAACGTGCAGGTTTGTTACGTAGGTATACATGTGCCATGGTGGTTTGCTGCACCTATCAACCCGTCATCTAGGTTTTAAGCCCCGCATGCATTAGGTATTTGTCCTAATGCTCTCCCTCCCCTTGCCCCTCACCCTCAGCAGGCCCCAGTATGTGATGTTCCCCTCCCCGTGTCCATGTGTTCTCATTGTTCAACTCTTACTTATGAATGAGAACATGCGGTGTAATGTTTGAATTTTTAAGAGATTATTTTCATGGATCATTTGTGTGATTTGAAATAAAAAATAATAACAAAAGGCATTACCCACCTGCCCCTCCATAATAGGGTGTTTGGGAGTGAGAGGAAAAGAAAGGGAAAATGGCTTCACCATTTATTATCCCCGTGAGCCTGAGAACATTATTCAAGTTTACTAAACTTCAGCTTCTTTGTCTATATTAATAAAATGGTGCTGACCTGGGGCTCTTGTAACACAGAAAACAGAGACTCCCTTGAGTTGTGGTTCCAGGAAGAGACTGAGAAGCCATAAAATGCAGTACAGTAGTACCTCCTTTCCCATGGGAGATACATTCCAGGACCCTCTGTGGATGCCTAAAACCATGGATAGTACTGAACTCTATATATACTATGCTTTTTCCTATGCATACATACCTGTGATAAAGTTTAATTTATAAATTAGCACAGTAAGAGATTAACAACAATAACAAAAGACAACAATTATAACAATAATACTGTAACAAAAACTATGTGAATATGGTCTTTCTCTCTCTCCCTCAAAATGTCTTAATATTTTTGGACCTTCATTAACCATAGGTAACTGAAACTTCAGAAAGCGAAACTGCAGATAACAGGGGTTTGGGGGGGAACCACTGTATTGATGTCTAAGCACAGGTCTGGAAGGAGGCCAAGCATCCTTGAGGCAGTTGATACCGTGGAGAGGAGTTTGAGTTCAAGGTCATTCTTCCAGTACAGCTGGTCACTGGCCTACATTCTAAGTGCCATGGATTAACACAGCACCTGCCAACCCACCCCTTGCCCTACGATTGCACGAAGCTCTCTTTTGTTGCTGACTTCAAGTTCCAGAGAGCATCCTGATGTCTGAGCTGGTTCTCTGCAAGTGAGGCTTTCTCTCCAGTCTCTGTCTTGGCAGGTGCCAGGCAGCCAGGGCATGGGATGCCACTGTGGCAGGGGTCCTCCTTGGGCCAGTTGGATGAGAGGGGTGGGCAGAAGAGAGTCCTATGTGAAGAACTTTTGAGGCAGAAAGGGTGTGGGTGGAGATTCTTCAAGAAGGAGAGAAGGGTGAGCTGGAACTCAGAAATGTGCCCAGTAGAAATACTTACTGAGCCATAAAGGATCTAACAGAGATTCTTAACTTAGGGTCAAGAGCCCCAAGGGGTTCCCGTATAGAATTCAGAGGAGTCTGTAAACTTGGATAGGGGAAAAAAAGCATCTTTATTTAGGATTTTCTTGTATTACGAATGTAGGCAACAATCCACAGTGTATTTGCAGTCCCTGTGACATTGTCACCACTAGAAATCACAGATATTTTCATGTTACATTTTAGCTGCGACAGATACCTTGAAATATTATTTATGTCCCTGATGGCTTTGTATTTATAGTAGTTACTATACCTGCTGCCAGAGCTTGTTATTTAATGCATTAATAAAGAAGAATATATTACTATATTACACAATTTAAAAAATTTTATTAATTATATTTCAATATTATTGGTTTTCTTTGTAGTCAAGCTATGCATTTTATTTTATGCATTTTTAAATGTTCTGAGAAAGAGTCCATAGGCTTCACCAGTCTGCCAAAGGGATGAAGGCACAAAAAAGGTTAAGACCCCCGACAGGAAGTCAGTAAGCTTTATCCCCAATTTCCTACCCTCCCTCACCCTGACTTTTTATATACTCATCTGTCACTGTCTAATTAGTGGAAGACATTCTTAAGGAGTAGTAAATTTTATTTAATTGTTGGCAAATTTGCAAAAGCGCAGAATTTGTGGTTTGGGTAGAAGACTTTGATGTTATCTAGAGGTCAATTTACAAATTGCAGGCACACACGGCTGACTCATCGGGTAATTCTATCAGCCCACAAACCCACCAGCCCCTGAGCTGATTGCTTGGTTAATCCCATGCAAAGCAATCTACTGGAACAACCACCTAGCGCGCAATGATGATCCCGAGAGGTTAAGGAGTTTGTGTAGACTAACTGATGAATCCCTTGATCCAGTGCAAACTAGAATCCTAGGAAGGAGATGAAGCTGGTGAAGAAGTAGCTTTGAAGTGGGTTCTGAAATGGAGGGTATGCAAAGGAGGAGGAGGGAGGATGTGGAGGACTGGCCCCATGGTGATTTTGAGGAGGAAGCCAGGAAACAGGAGCGTCTACTGGAGCAATATTTATTAGAGTAGTGGTTGTGTTTTTTTTTGCTACCTTTTATCGAACTTGTGCCAGACACCGTGCCAAGACCTTTGAATATAGCAGTTGTTTCATCTTTACCCACTACTCAATAAGGTATGACTGTTATCATTCCCGTTGTATTGGTGAGCAAAGTGAAGCTCTAAGAGGTTAAACACTTGCTCTAGGGTACCCGAGATATCAAGTGGTGGAGCCAGGAGCTCAGCCTGCATCTGCCTGATTCTAGAAACTTGTTCTTGAAACCTACTACAGGCAACTGGGAAGAGTGTGTTTGGGAAAGCTCTGGCTGCCATATTCTTTTGGTAGGAAAGTGCTTACTATCCATCCTCATCTTCCCCAATCCATCTCTCTGGCCTTTGCTTGTTCTCACGCCAGTTCCTTCCCCTCCCACCCTTAACCCACTCACAGGCATACAGTCTGCAGGAGTGATGACAGAATAGAAATTACAAGCAAAAGCTGTGGAGTCAGGCAGAATGGGTTCTAATGCCAGCTCTGCTACCTGGCCATGACCATGCTGAACCTCAGTTTTTGTATTTGTGAAATGGAGATAATGGTGCTTGCCTAATTTTACCTATTCTCCCTCTAGTGCTTCAGCGCCATTTTGGGTAGTTCTTTCCATTTGGGTGGGAGGAACTAGACTTAGACTGGGTGAAATTGTCCCCATCTTCTCAGGTGAGCTCTTTTAGGAAGGCTTCCCTGATTTCTCTCCAACATGAGCAGCAGGCACTACTCATCATAGTACCTGGCTCTGGCCTTGTGAAGAGCTAATTGCTATTGCTGTGCATGGCTGTCCCTCTGTATAGAAGCTCCTTCTCCCCTTCCCAGTGCCCAGTGCCGCATCTGTCATGGAGGCCTTCTCAGTAGAACCTTGATAAAAGCAAATGAATTGTTTCTTTCATTCCCCCTTTCAGGGAATTTGCCCATTCTTGGCACCCCAGCCCCCCAAACCCCTTTTCTGGTCTCCGTCACCTAGAGCTTGTCCCTCACCTTTCTTTGGCCCCTGCTGCTTTCTCCCTCTCTCTCCAGTCCTCCCTGCATCCTACCTTGGCCATTAATGCTGCTGCTCCAAGTGCCAGATGCACTAGGCTCCTACGCAATTTTGTATTAGTTGAGGGTGGAAGAAACCTTACCACTTACCTAGATCGTCCCCCTTGTCTTACAACTGAGGAGCGAACCAGAGAGGGCAGGTGGCAGGCCCTGGGTGGCAAGGGGATTGAATGACTGAGCTGAGTGAGGACTTTTGCCCCAGTTTGCTGCCCTGCCCTGGGACTGATGATTCCACGTGGTTAAGTGACTGATATTTTGGACAAGGGAACAGGGGAGGAGCACATTCTTCTTCAGGTGCTTGCTTGCCTTGCTGTAGTGCCTGCCTCGGGGCTGGCCTTCCCTGACTTAATCCTCTTCTTCATTCTATCCCCATGTCCCTTGGCTTTGCCGACTGCTGAATGGAGCCCTGTGTCAGCCAGGCCTGTGGGTGGCCGCCTTCGGGTGATGCTTGCTGGTGCCAAAAGGCTCCTGCCCTGAGAGCTCTGCCCACTGGCAGAGAAATTCCCCGCTTTTGAACCATTGCTTTGGGCTACTTTGTCTTCTCCAGGCAGCTCTTGTTAAAATGTAGATGTGTTACCTGGAAGGAGAACCTGTTAGTCCATCGCAGTGTGGCCCGTGGAAGAGTGAAATTCCCCTGGCCTTGGCTAAGTCACATCGCTGCCCTATCCTCAGCTTCCTATCTGTAAAATGGGGACAAAAAAGATTGTATTATAGGGTTACCCAAGATGAAATGAGATAGTGCACTTAAAGCCCTTGGCACATAATAACTAGTTAATAAAATTAGCTTTTTTAAAAAAATTTAAGTAATGTAGTCTTCTTTCAGTTGAAGGTTTCTTTTTCCTTTCTAATTATAAAGTGGTTTTGAAGTTAACTTTCTTGCCTTTAAAATAGGGTAAAAGATCCTACTTCACTGGTGTGTCGAGGATTTATTGAGCTAAACTGCCTGTGGATGCTACCAGGTCTGCCTGGGATTCTCAATGAGAGCCTGGTGCTGTGGTCTGAAAGCTGGTATCCTCCCAGAATTCATATGTTGATGTTCTAATCCCCAATGTGATGGTATTAGGACATGCAATCTTTGGGAGGTAACTTAGGTCATGAAGGTGGAGCCCTCACAAATGGGATAGTGCTCTTAGAAGAGAGAGCTCTGTCAACCCTTCTGTCATGTGAGGACACGCCAGATGCCAACAGTCTGCAAGCTGAAAGAGGGACCCCACCAGAACCCAGCCATGCTGGCACGCTGATGGCATTCTCCGAGCCTCCAGAACGGTGAGACATACACACATCTTTTGTTTGGAAGCCACCCATCTTATGGTAGTTTGTGATAGCAGCCCAGACAGGCTAAAACACCTGGTATTCTTCAAGTTATCCTGGAGGTGAGGATTGAAAGCCCCTGGGAGCCCCAAGGGAGGTTCTGGGACGGTCCCTAAGGGAGGAGATGGAGGAAAAAGAGGCAGGAGAATCAGAAGTCAGGGGGACCCTGCTCCTCCACCCCAGCTGCTTAGATGCCAAGTCTGGGTGGGAGGGGACTTAGGAATCTGCCTTTCTCTGGGAGGGTTTGGGCCCTGTGACATTTTTCCCAGATCGTTGCCTTCTAGGCAAGTTCTCTGAGGTGCTGAGTTCCCTGGGGAGAGGTGCCCTCGGTGTTCCCTCCCTGGCTTGACTTTGGGGGTGGTGGTTGTGGTGGTGGTAGCAGGAAACCAGAGTTTTCCTTAACCCTCTGATCTTGGGATGAGTGTTGGTGGGTGCTGGAAACTGCTCCTTTGAGAGGGTGGCTGGGCTTTTGAGAATGTCAGCCTGGCTAGATTCTTTGTGATTCCTCCTGAGACCAGGATAGTTCTCTCCAACCTGGACCAGGAGAGAGATCAGGAGCAGGAGCACCTGGCCCAGGCTCCTGGCTGGTGAGTGAGGAGGGGTAGGGGGTGCAGCTGCTCAGGAGTTTTCTGGTAACCAGCATAGACTCACTTCAGGGCTCTCTACAGGATCCTCCCACCCCTGCTCTTGTCCTGACTGCAGAAGGCACATTATCTGGCCAGGCAGCCGCCCTGGGCAATAGGAGGTCATTAGGCCCCTCTCCATGCAGGCGCCTGTGTGAGCCTCTCCAGCCGGCTTTCCTGTTAGCCTCTGGGGAAGGTGCGTCCCCACTGTCATCCATCATAACTGTAGTTAGCCTTCCAAAGCAGAGCCTGAATCATGCAGAAAACACTTTTCCCTAGGGCGCTAGAGACCAGGAGCAAAGGGCAGGCAGAGGTGAATGCTGGTTCCTGGGGCCCAGAGACCAAGCTGCAACCTGCCACTTGCCAGTCTGATAGAAAAGACAAAAAAGGGCATCCTACAGGGTGGATACGGGGTGAGCAAAGGCACAGGGGTGTTAAGGCAGGGGGTGAGGTGTGAGTGGCATTTATGAAGGGCAGAGGAATTGGAGATGAGGCTAGAGAGGTATGCAGAGACAGCCTTCAGGGCCTAGCTGGCAGGCACATGGGTGGCATTTGGCTTGCATTTGGGTTCTGTTTGACCTTCATAGCATTTTTTAAAAAAGAAGAATTCTGTCAACATTTAAAAATCAGATTTTACATAAATCTACATGTCTAGCTTCTTTTGAAAAAAAAAAAAAATCAGGTCTGGCAACACTAGCCTTGAGTCACTCCCACCATGGCCACACCTGGCTGGAAGGTGAGCAGTGGACCTTCGGTGATGGCTGGGGTCCCACAGCCAACTGGCTTGTCTGAAATCTCTGCCATAAGCTTACTGTGGAGTTATTACAATGTTCTCAGAATGTTAATGTGTTACAGGGGAGGAGAAAGGAAATTCTAAACTATTCACATTATAGTCTGTTTATCAGATTAGGAAATGAATTTTAACTACTCCTCAGGAATTTTTTTTTTTTTTTTTTTGGCAGAGTCTCTTTCTGTCACCCAGGCTGGAGTGCAGTGCTGCGATCTCAGCTCACTGCAACCTCTGCCTCCTGGATTCAAGCCATTCTCCTTCCTCAGCCTCCCAAGTAGCTGGGACTGCAGGTGTGCACCACGACGTCCGGCTAATTTTTGTATTTTTAGTAGGACAAGGTTTCACCATGTTGGCCCGGCTGGTCTCGAACTCCTGACCTCAGGCGATCTACCCACCTCAGCCTCCCAAAGTGCTGAGATTACAGGTGTGAGCCACCGCACCGGACTCCTCAGGAAAATTTTGATTGTGGGTTGAGAAGCAGTTAGGTGGGGCAAATGGGATGCTTCCTGCATGATGGCCTGGGAAGGAACCTGGACGAAGTGAAGGTGGGGCCAGGACATCTGGAAAGATGGAATGACGGGTAGGCCTGTTTGCTTTCAGCTGCAGTGTCTGGCATCTTTACTGGGGATGACACCAAAACACCCACCCTTGGCCAATATTTATTGTATTGTAAGATGTTTACTATCTTACTTTATTATCCTTTTAAGCTTAAAAAGAAGGACAGAGTGAAATGTTTCTGTGTGTTTGTGTGTTTAATTGCTACAGAAACTAATACAAAGAGAATTTTTAGGAATAATTTGGAAAAGGAGGAGAGGAAAAGAAATTATTATTATGTTATATTATATTACTATTCCTCTAAATAATGTGTATGTTGGAGGGGGTGGCCTTTACAATTTGAAAGGCTTTGTGAACACTATTGGGAATTTTTTTATTAAAAATTATTATAAATATCATACCAGTTAGCAGCAAACATTGAAAAATATATAGAGGTAATGAGTTATGATCATGCCACTGCACCTCTGCCTGAGCAACAGGGATAGAGAATCTGTTTAAAAAATGATAATAATAAAATAATGTAGAAGCATATAAAGGCAAAAACTTTAAACTGTCAAGAACTGGTGGTTAGAGCATATAGACCAGTTTGGAGGAAATTGATCTAGTTTGGCACTGTATATATATGATATGTAACTACATATTCTTATATAGAGCTAGATACATATCCAGATATATTTGTATAGAAAATTTTTTAAATAAAAATGGGGCTTACCTATTGTCCTGCTGTTTTTTTCCTCATACTCCATCTTGAACATATTGCAAGTCATTAATTATGTCTGGGTCTGAGTAAAGAAAGTCTGTGGTCTAGGTGCAGTGACTCATGCCTGTAATCCCAATGCTTTCAGAGGCTGAGGCAGGAGGATCGCTTGAGGCCAGCAGTTTGAAACCAGCCTGGGCAACATAGTGAGACCCCTATCTCTACAAAACATAAAAATAAAAATTAGCTGGGCATGGTGGCACATGCCTGTAGTCCCACCTACTTAGGAGACTGAACCAGAAGGATCGCTTGAGGCCAGGAGTTTGAGGCCACAGTGAGCCATGATGGCACCACTGCACTCCAGCCTGGGCAGCAGAACAGGACCTTGTGTTAAAAAGAGAGAGAGAGAGAGAGTCTGTAATGGGAAACACTACTAAATAGAAAGAGCTAGTCCTGAATCCCCACTGGGCACCTCCAAACCTTAGTTGCCAGTTCTTTTAAATGGAGATGATAATTCCTTCCTTCAAAGGTTCTACTGAGGGTTAAATAAAATGTGAATGTGTTCAAAGCAGCTTTTTGGGTACTGGGTTATCAGAGCGCAATGCAGTGTCAGGAGAAAGCAACCCCTGCTTAACATCTTCCATTCTTTGGATTCCCGATTTTTCTTCCTTCACCGTGTTGCAGGAGGGTTCAGAGGGCCAGTGAACCTTGGATGAGTTATAACTTTCACAGTGGAGCTTAAAATCCTCCTTTCAGTGCTGTTTAACATTAAAATCTCAAGCAGGGGCAGGCATGGTGGCTCACACCTGTAATCCCTGAACTTTGGGAGGCTGAGGCAGGTGGATCACCTTAGGTCAGGAGTTCAAGACCAGCCTGGCCAACATGGCAAAACCCCATCTCTACTAAAAATACAAAAAAATTAGCCAGGCTTGGTGGCAGGCGCCTGTAATCCCAGCTACTTGGGAGGCTGAAGCAGGAGAATTGCTTGAACCCGGGAAGCGGAGGTTGCAGTGAGCCGAGATCACGCCATTTCACTCCAGCCTGGGCGACAAAGCGAGACTCTGTCTCAAAAAAGAAAAAAAAAATCTCAAGCAATTCATCAACAGCTGCATTCGGGTTTTGTTTAGGACATTTTCCCTGGAATCACTTTTATTTATTCAGCTGCAGGAAAATTTCTGAAGCCAGGTAGGTATGTGGTGTTCTCTGATAGGAAGGCTTTGGCCTGTGCTGGCTCTTGGGGAGATGGAGGTGCCCTCCTGCCGTAGGAAAGGTCAACCCCTCTTAGTACAATGGAGGGGATTCACAGCTTGTCTTTGCAAGTGACACCTCCTTCCTGCACCCTCCTTTTCCGTTTTCACATCTCTTCTGCTTCCCTCTCTAGATTACAATATTCCCTTTCATTTGGATATCACTTCGTCTTTAGCAAAGCACTTGTACTCCCATTATCTCATTGAACCCTCTGGCAAGTCTATAGACTTAGGACAGTAGTGGTAGGTAGCAGATAAGCAGCTGAGGCCCAGAGAAGTTGTGATATGCCTTAAACTCACACAGCAGAAATTGGACAAATCTGAGTTAGGATCTGGATTTCCTGGCTCACAAGCCATGCCGGTCGCGCTGTATCATATTGCCTCCTTTCTTAATTGTTGGCAGGAATCTCCTGAAAGGGGAGGCTGTTGGCGAGGGGGCGGGTAATCGGCCCCAGTGCTGGCTGGTTGGGAGAGGCTTTTTGGAATGCATGAGGTTGTTGGGCTTAGTGTCCTAAAGAGACTGGTGGGAGCAAGCGAAGAGGATGGGGCTGGGTGGGGCAGTTTGGAGGTCACCTGAGGTCAGTGGAGGGGGCAGACAGGAGCTGGGGAAGTTAAGGCCCAGTGCAGAGCTAGAAGGGGAGAATCCTGGATTGGAAGCAGGTCCAGGGTCCTTCTTGTCATCACTGGAAGGCTTGTGGGCTTTTTTGACATTTGGTCTCATTTTGGATGTTTGGCCCTTTTCTTGCCCCCATCAGTGGCACATCATAAAAATCTGCTTCTGGTATCCCAGTGAGCACCTCTTTCTTATTTCAGGTCACAGCTCCCTGGCACTCCATTCCCATGTCCAACAAATCAAAACTTATCAGTTCTGTTGCTATTCAGATCAACGTCTTGGTTAAATGGGCCTAAAACATTCATTTAGCCCAAATTTGGTATATGGACCAGCTCTTGCCAATAGAAATAGAATCTGAAGGTCCGGGCATGGTGGCTCATGCCTGTAATCCCAGCATTTTGGGAGGCCAAGGTGGGCAGATCACTTGAGGTCAGGAGTTCAAGACCAGCCTGGCCAACATGCGGAAACCCTGTCTCTACCAAAAAATACAAAAATTAGCGAGGCATGGTGGTGTGTGCCTGTAGTCCCAGCTACTTGGGAGGCTGAGGTTGGAGAATCGCTTGAACCTGGGAGACGGAAGTTCCAGTGAGCTGAGATTGCACCATTGCACTTCAGCCTGGGTGACAGAATGAGAGCCTGTCTCAAAAAAAAAGAAAAAAAGAAAAAGAATTTGAAATACATTTTAAGTTTTCTAGGAGTACATTAAAGAAAATAAAAAGAAAACAGGTGAAATTAATTTTAATATATTTTATTTAACCCAATATATCCAAAATATTATCATTTCACCATGTGATCAGTACCAAAAAAAGAGAAATTTTATATTCATTTTTTCATATTAAGTCTTTGAAATTCAGGTGTACTTTACACTTACAGCACATTTTAATTCAGACTAGCTACATTTCAAGTGCTCAGTAGTTAGTTAAGTAACATGTAGTTAGTTAGCCACTAACATGTAGTTGGTGGCTACGATATTGGGCAGCAGAGTTATGAACCAAGACGACTTAGTTTGGGATGGGCGGTGGGTGCTTTTGGGCACCTTTGTAATTAGGGTGCCTTTGGGTCGGGGGGCTGGTCAGGAAACCTCAGCTATAACACATCATGGCTGCTCGCCCTGTCCTCACCTTTGCACTTGTTGGTATGGATGACATGATGTTGAAAATACCGCCCCTCCCCATTATGCCAGCTATCATGCCCTTCTTTGTGCCCTACAATCTCCCTCTCTCAACTCCTTTGACTTTTGTCAGCCCCATCCTGGATTAAACTTTACTGTCCCATTTCTCTGACCCTGTCTTGGGACTGCTGGATCCATTAAATCCATGCCCTTTGACTTCATCTGCTACTTGGCATCCTCCATGTGTGTCAGCTGCCTCTCATCCCAGTATCCTCACTGACTATTGCAAACCTCATCTACACTTCGTAAGTTCCCAAGTCCATTCACACAGCCCTCAGTCTCAGCTCTTGATCTCTTCCTACCTGAGAAGATGGAGATCATGTGGCTTAAACTTCCTCATTCCCACCTTGCTGTTTTTCTCCATCTTTGCTCTCCACTCCCCTGCCAAAGCCAAACTTTGAAAGCCTTCTCTTCCCACCTCCAGAAACTCTAGCAGACTGGCCCTTTGGGTAAAAGCCATGAACTCTTAAGCCAGAGCTTTTGGCTTCAAATCTCAGATTCTCCTACTGCTAACCTGGGTAAACTATTTCACCTCTGTCTTAGTCCATTTGGGTTGCTATTACAAACTACCATAGACGGGGTGGCTTATAAATTTTAATAAATTTTATTTCCCACAGTTCTGGAGGCTGGAAGTCCTGGGTCAAAGCGCTGGCAGATTCCACGTCTGGGGGACAACCCTCTTCCTGGTTCATAGACAGTTGTCTTCTTCTGAGTCCTCAGTTGGTGGAAGAGGCCAGGGAGCACTCTGGGGACTTTTTTATGAGGACATTAACCCCATTCATCTGCTCTATCTGCCCAAATCCCTATCTCCTAATACCATCACATTGGGGGTTAGGATTTCAACATACGAATTTTAGAGGGGGCTCATTCAGTCTGTAAGCACCCTCTCTTTGCCTAGTCTTCTCATTGTAAAATATGAAATAAAATAATAAAAGCATCTAGCTCCTAAGGTAGTGGTAATGAGTAAATTCAACATGTGTTGCATCTTTTATTTAGCACAGTGCCTGGAGTAAATGTCGACTCCTATGCCAGCTCCTCTTTCTTGCATCTAGAAGTCCATCCTTCTCCCTCGGCTTCTTCCTCCAGACCTGCAAACATGCTCGCCTTTCCCAGAGCTCACCTTGTCCCTCCCTGGAGCTACTGTCCCTTTCTCTCCTGAATTGCACTGGAAAACAGCCAAAGCGTAGCCCATCTGCTGCTTCAACCATCTTGTCAACCCTTGACGTCTGCCTCCTGCTCTTTTGAAACTAAGCCCGAGCCTCACATGGTCTTCAAGTTCCACAGCATCTGACATCATAGAACAGTCTTCTCAAAACTGACCCCCTTTGTGTTTCTGAGCTGTACCCCATCCTGGCTCTTCCTTCTTACCTGTTCCCCATGCATGACTGTCTTCAGGGGTGCTCCTCAGACTCCTCTGCTTGCTCTTGCTTCTCACCACCCCCCACCCCCAACCACGTGGTGATCACACGGAAATGGATGGCTCTTGAATCTACATCTCTAAGCTTCAGGTTTCTCCCTTGTCCCAGCTGTTAGGTGCCAAGTGCTTTCTTCCTTGCTTTCTCTCTGGTTGGTGACCTTTCAATCCCCACTGCAGGCACTGTGATAAGCATTTTACATACCTCATCCCAATTCATCTGTGTAATCCTATAAGGAGGAAATTGTTTTTTTCTCGTGTTAGCTATTTGGACGCTGGGCTGGCAGTAGAGGCGGTGGGCGCAGTTAGGGAACCTAAACACACACTGGTAAGTGGCAGAGCTGGGATTCAGACCCGGATCCACACACTCCAAAGCCCACACCCTTAATCTTTGTGCTTTCCTGCCTCTGTCCGGTCTAGTCCCAGGCTACGCTGTTTTCATAATTTAATAAGCGGTGGGTGCTGAATACCACTCATGTATGTCAGACATTCTTCTGTGCCTGTGTTGTTTGTGTGTCGGTGTTCTGTTCACCTTGCTGTTGGCCAGGTTCATCACTGGTTAATTTCAGTCTATGTCTGGACCTTTGGTGTTAGTACCTGAAAATCTTAACTGAGCCCAGGTCCCTGCTGTGCAATGCAAGAACCCAGTAGTAGGAGCGTGCACACATTTCCACATAGTGCATATGTTTCTCTTTCTCCCAGTCTCCCCATCTGTGAAATGAGAGAGTTGAACTCGGTAATTGCAGGAGCCTGTCCAGCTCTTGTGCTCCGTAAGTCTGTTTCATGTTCTGCTTACCTGGAGCCTACTGTGTTCCCAGCACATGATAGATGCTTTTGGGCAATGCTGAGAGAACACAAAAGGCATTGAGCTGTCACGGAGCCGAAACTCAGTCAGGAAGACAAAGCCAACACTCATGAAACTGCCAACCATGTAAGACGTTATGTAATTATGCCTGCAATTTCAGATTATATACATTTGTAATGGTTCAGTACAGGAGAAGAAAAGCTTCTGTTCTCTTACAAGAAAAAAAATAAATAAAAGGAGCATTTAGGGAAAGGTATTAAGTCTGGCCAGACTGCTTGCCAGACTTGCTATTTCCCTCTTGAAGTCAGTTGTTCATTCTGTAAATATTTATTGAATGTCTACTAATAGTCCAGAATCTGGGGACATACGCCCCTCATTGCAGTCAGAGTTGTATTTAAAACCCAGCTTTCGTCTTGTTCCTCCCTGCTTAAGAACTTTTGATGGTTTCCTATTCTAGAAAATAAAATGAGCTGACTTCCAACCTCTGTCTTCCGCCATCCGCTTCCCCGACCCTGTACTCTAGGCCAGGATTGCTGGTCATTCTTCAAGCCCACCATACATGTTTTCATCTCTAGCTAGAGAGCTGCTTCTCCCATCTGCCTGCTTAACTTTTACTCATCCTTCAACGCCCAGCTCAAAAATACCAGATCTGTGATGTTTTTCTGATCCTCTGAGATGCTCCAGCCACACCTCTCTAACACCACATAGGTCCTTGTTTAGGTCTCTGCCTCCCATTTTGGACGGTGAGTTCCTTAAAGAAAAGAACCCTGTCTTTTTCATCCATGAGTCCACAGAACCTAGCCCAGTGCCTGAAGAAGAATTTCTGATAAATGGATGATTGCACACAATCTGTCGAGGCTGGTCTTTGAACAGAAAAGGGTCTCTTTTCTTCTTTCCTCAAGTTACTGGGCTATTGAACTTCATGCCTTGTGGCCAGTGAAGGGGACTCAATGGTTGAGAAAGCATTGTGGTCTCTTTCTCTGAGCAGTCGTGGAGAGACTGGAGCCACTGGAGCCTCACTTTTGCCCTGGAGGGGGACTTTCAGCAGCAGCAGCAGCTGAACCCACATACACCAGAGGACTGTGGTGAAGGAGGCATTTGTGTTGGGCTTGGCAGGTGGGAGGCCTTTGTGTTCCAGAGCACAAGTGGGTAAGTATGTCGGACAGGCTGCAGGCTGCACACACATGCCGAGGGGCTGGGCCCAAAACGCCTTCTGACCTGGGAAGAAAAGGAGGCATTGTGTGCACTGGCAGCACTCCAAGGGAAATATTCCAGTTGTTCTATTTTGAACGGCTCACTCTTTTAAAAAAGAAAAGTCCAGAGGTGAACATCTCTCTCCCACTCCAAAACATCCTACCTACAAATTTCAAATCATTTGCTACCCTCAAAATATGAATTAATCCATTATTTAAATAATTCATTAATTCAGCTGCTACATCTTTATGAGGCAGCACTATGGTCAGCATTGTACTAAGCACTTGGGAAACAGAAGTAAAGAAGACACGGTCCTCATCACTGTAGGCTCTATTCCTGATTGCTTGCTGGGTGTCTAAATCCTTTTGGAACCTGGTCCCGCCCCTTCTCTTGTGCCTGATTTTTCTCTGCTCCTTGGCAATCCTTCCTTGAGGCTTCTGTCTGCTGCTGCCCATTCTCTACCTCTGCACCCCCGGTCCTGTACTGTGCCATGTTGTGGGGTCATCAGGTACCAGCTCACCACCTTTTCTAGACTCAGGTGGGCACAGACAGAACCAGGCTTCAGTCTGGGCCATTAAGAGCTTGGGCAGTTGTCTGGGTGTGTCACTCATGCCTGTAATCTGAACACTTTAGGAGGCTGTGGCGGGAGAATCACTTGAGCCAGGACTTTGAGACCAGCCTGGGGAACATAATGAGAGCCTGTCTTTACAAAAAATTTTTTAAAAATTAGCCAGGCATCATGGCATGCACCTGTGGCCCCAGCTACTCTGGAGGCTGAGGCAGGAGGATCACTTGAACTTAGGAGGTCGAGGCTAGATTGAGCTGTGATTTTAACCACTGTAATCCAGCACTCCGGCCTGGGCAACAGAGCAAAACACTGTCTTAAAAAAAAAAATCTTGGGCAGGAACACCTAAATTCATCCCTAGCTCTGCCTTTTACTATCTTTGTGACTATGACCAAGTTACTAAGCCTCTCTGAGCTTAGGCTTCCTATTCTGTTAAACAGAAAAAAAAAAATAATACATAGAGACATAGAGTCTTTGAGAAGAGTAAATAATAATAGTGTAGTACTTGGCACAGTGCCTAATATACCACACAACAACTCTCAATAAATAATAACAAAACAACTGACTTTTATTGGGCACTTACCAGTTTCTTCCTTCCCTCAAAAACAACAGCAACCACAGCTTGTATTTCAGTGTCTTCTACATGCCAAGTACTGTGTAAGGTATAGGCATGTAGCCATCAGAACAGCCTTATACAGTGGAGAGTGTTACTTTGTACCATTTTATAGCTGAGGAAGCTGGCTTCAAGGGCTAGAGTGACTTACCCAAGGTCACACGGTTTCAAGTGCTGGTGCTAGGAATCATGATTAGGGCTGTTGAGCTCCTTCCCATTCCTCCCCAACCAGACAAATACCCTGACCACACACTTTGCTACTTGGTGCTGGGACCAGCAGATCAGCATCTCTTGAGAGCTTGTTGGAAATGCCAACTATGAGGCCCCACTCCAGACCCACCAAATCAGCATCTGCATGTTAACAAGATCTTCAGGTTTATAGGCATACTACAGTTTGAGAAACAATGAACTACAGTTTACCAAAGATTTTTAACAGTAGGTTAGAACAGTACTTCTCAAACTATCGTGTGCATAAAAATTACCTGGAGGGCTGGCTGGTTAGAACACAGATTCCTGTGTTCACTTCAGCAGCAAATATACCAAAATTGGAATGATACAGAGACGATCAGCATGGCCTCTGCACAAGGAATGACACAAAAATTCATGAAGCATTTCATATTTAAAAAAGAAAAAGCCCCACAGATTCCTATCCCTGTGATTCTGATTTTGTATCCATTGCTTATTATTGACAGGGAGGACCATCGTGCTCCCGAGTTAACAAGGCAGGAGCTGTGGATGCCTGCATCAGCCATTCCACCCTCCTCCTGCCCTGCCTAGAGAACAACAGAGAAACGAAATTAATCTGTAACCTAAAACCCTTGTATCTGCCCTGAAAATATGTCTTTCTAATGGAAAATTTGACAGAGTGTTCCATCTGCAAAGAGCATTTTATATGAAATGGATATCTGTGTAACTCAACTGCTGCTATCTGGTTAAATAGCAATTAAACACCTCAAGACTCCTTGGAACTTTCAAAGATTACTTGAAAAGTAATTGTGTTTTATTGATTAAATAATTTGCAGTGGATTAGAAAGTCACTGAATTTTTTAGCTATTCCTTCACAAGTAAATTGGTCTTATTTAGAGACCCAGCGTGTCCCCAACCATGTTTATATTTTAATAATCGCCTGATGTTTAATAGCATGGCTGGTGGTGGAATTTAATGCTAGATTCGTTCCTTTGCTAAATCCTTCTATCTGGTTCTTTCTGTTTCTATTTAGACTTCCGAAAGCTACTTGCTTCATAGATGGCTACAGAAATAGGACCCAAAAGGCAAAGAACACTGTTGTTAAGAGCTCGGTCTCTGGAGTCAGACAAACCTCAATTTGAATTCCAGTCCTGCCACTTACTAGATTTGTGCCCCTGAACCTGTGATCTGTGAAAAGGATATAATAGCACCTACCTAATATGGTCATCCTGAAATTAAATAAGTTAGCATTTGTACAATATAGGACAACAGTATCTAGCTAGCAATAATAATTATTATTATTATAACAGTGTAAGTATTTACTAGTATTTTTTATTTACTTATTTATTTTTTGAGACGGAGTCTCACTCTGTCACCTAGGCTAGAGTGCAGTGGTGCAATCTCAGCTTGGTGCAACCTTGGCTCACTGTAACCTCCGTCTCCCGGGTTCAAGCTATTCTCCTGCCTCAACCCCCTGAGTAGCTGGGACTATCGGTGCGCATCACCACACCCGGCTAATTTTTGTATTTTTAGTAGAGACGCGGTTTCACCATGTTGGCCAGGCTGGTCTCAAACTCCTGAACTCAGGTGATCCACCCGCCTCGGCCTCCCAAAGTGCTGGGATTACAGGCGTGAGCCACTGAGCCTGGCCTAGTACTAGTATTATTAAGCCCTAGTTTTCTAATCTATAAAATGAGTGTACAGGGAATAAAACCATCAACATATGAGTATTAAAAACATCTTTGCAGCCAGATGTGGTGGCTCACGCCTATAATCCTAACACTTTGGGAGGCCAAGGCGGGTAGATCACTTGAGCCCAGTAGTTCAAGACCAGCCTGGACAACATGCCAAAACACTGTTTCAAAAATTAGCCGGGCATGGTGGTGTGCACCTGTAGTCCCAGCTACTCAGGAGACTGAGGCAGAAGGATCACCTGAGCCCAGGAGATTGAGGCTGCAGTGACCTGTGGTTATGCCACTGCACTCCAGACGGGGTGTCAGAGCGAGACCCTGTCTCAAAAAAACAAAAACAAAAACCAAAAAAACCACCAAAAATAATTTCTGTGCTTTCGGAGCCTTCTAAGTAATTTCCTACAAAGGACACTTCTGGCAGAGCTTTCTTGGCTGTTATCCCTCCATTATTATGCAGATTGAGGTCATTCAGTGATGAAAAAGCCATGGACAAATGGAGCCAATATTGGAATTCCCAATGAAGGGGCCAGAGAGAGGCTGGCAGTGGAGGGATGAGTAGATGCCAGAGGCGGGGGAGGTGAGGGAGTGAAGAACCAGGTGGGAGGATTCACATAAGGATGTTGGGGAACGGCACACACTGCTGCTGGGGCAGTCACTCTGCTGGAAATAGACACCTAGAACAGCAGAGATGGGAAAGAAAAAATTTAAGACTTTTGCTTCGTGCTAAGAATGCACTTCCCGTTTGGTATTTTCTCTAGAGACCGCAGTGAAGGTTTGGATTGCTTCCAATTAACTTTTTTCTCCTTAACTGCTGATTCTTTGAACACAGCCCTGAACTGAGGCTGGGCCATGAGGCAGCATCTTTATCTGGTTTACAGAGGAGTCGTGCCCAGGTTGTCCTAGGCACTGAGTAAGGATGGGTAAAGGACTTACCCAGGACAGAGTCAATACTTAATTGATGTTGGCAACTATTTTTATTGTTATGCGTTATACTTTCCCTGCAGCCAGAGGCTGCAAGCAAAGATCACCAACAGAAGTATGAGCAGTTCTCTGGCACACTTTACCACAATAAAAACTCCATTATTCCACATTTAAACTGGGGACGCTGGCCACATTCTTTTTAAAGAAACCATCAATTCCATGTCCTCCAATATCACACTGAGGACCAGTACATGAGATTTGTAAAGGAAAGCACTGGGTTAGGAGTCTCAAAAGCAGACTCTGACCTTGGCCCTGCTGTATGAGGTGGGCAGGTCATTGAGCCTCAGTTGCCCCTTTATGGGTGCAAATGTCGTCCAAGACCCTGTTTTATATTTCTCTCCTCCCAACAGTAGATAATCAGTGGACTGATTGAACATAAAGGATACCCAGGAGCACAAAAGGGGAACCTTGATTTGAAAGAGCCCATAACCTGGCTGGAAGAAAAGATGTGAGCAAGGCCAGGTGCAGTGGCTCACCCCTGTAATCCCAGCACTGTGGGAGGCCAAGGCGGGTGGATTGCCTGAGCTCAGGAGACCAGCCAGGATTGCCTGAGACCAGCCTGGGCAACATGGCGAAACCCTGTCTCTACTAAAAATACAAAAAAATTAGCCGGGCTTTGTGGCGGGCGCCTATAGTCCCTGTAGCTACTTGGGAGGCTGAGGCAGGAGAATCGCTTGAACCCGGGAGGTGAAGGTTGCAGTGAGCCAAGATGGCGCCACTGCACTCCCGCCTGGGCGACAGAGCAAAATTCCATCTCAAAAAAAAAAAAGAAAAGATGTGAGCAGAGTCACTAATAAAAGTCTGCCTATGCTATGCTCCAAATGCCCCACCATTCTGTGACACCTTTGAGCTGCTCCGTGGGGTGATATAAACCTGGGTGATATTGTCAA
The DNA here is from genome assembly GCF_000001405.40 of Homo sapiens. NCBI lineage: Eukaryota > Metazoa > Chordata > Mammalia > Primates > Hominidae > Homo > Homo sapiens. Next base: position 62,295,023 of record NC_000001.11, on the reverse strand, counting down.
TTTTGGCAATGCCTTTTCTTAGTAACTTTGCCCACATTAAAGCAAAACAAAACCCAGGCCACAACAATATATAACCTTCCTTTGTATTACCGGATGGAACACTGAAGGAATCCCATCTCTTTCAAGGGAAAGTTGAAGTTCAGAGAAGTTCCTGGTGCACTTCATCTCTCCTGAAGTCTCTTTGATTCATCTCTGATGATACCTGCCCTTCCTCTGGCTGGCATGCTGCCGAGGCTGGGTGGTCACCATCTTTGCTGGACCCACATCACACATGTCCGCTTCTTGTCAGACTGAACTTGCCAGAGGGTTAGGTGGGGCATTGTGAAATAATAACAGCTTTCCCGCCTGAAAAATCTGGAAACATCGCTTTCTCCACCCAGGTTCTGGGGATCACTTAGCCTCAGTTTGGTTTAAACTGATTTTCCTGAATGTGCAGCCTGTGCATATTTGAGCCAACAAAAACCTTCCTCCCAACCCAGAAGGCAGATGCAACAGCCCACGCAAGCTCTAAACTGTCTGCACCTGCAACTCGAGCTGTGGCACCCAGCTGATGCCTGCAGAGGCATCTGCTGAATTCTGGACCAGGGATGATGCTGCTCGGATGGGAGCTGCCCAAAGAGGGTGGGTGCAGGGGTGCCCCCCTGTGGAGTATTTGTGCCTACCCTTGAGAGGCTTTCGCTGAAGTGACCCAGGAGGGAGGAAGTGGAGCTGAATTCCTAGGAAACATTTACTCCAAATTGTGGTTTCCAAGCCCTCTGGACTGTAGCCCAGTTCAGGGGAGCAAAAGACTTTGTGGCCCACTGAGTCCACTCGCTCCTACTTTGCAGTGGGAGAGAATTTGGTAGTAACAAAGGATTAAAGGAGAAGAGAAAACTAATCAAAGTAATGCAGCAAATACTCAGGACAACAATCAACAGAAACTCCTAAAAGTAATTTTATAAGTAATGTAAATTAATAGAGTAGAAGCAGTTTAAAACCAAGAGATTGCCGATGCTGCGTTGTAGCCATTAAGGGTCACGGTTGCGAACACCAGAACCTGCTCTAGCAGGCCTATCTATTTATAATAGAAGAGGAATTTATTAAGGGATATGAAGTAGCTGAACATCACGCCACCATCTCCCCATAGTCACTTGCTGTAAATTCCAGTTTCAATCTTGGGGAGGTGGGTCTTCTGAGAAGGAAATAACCAAGTATAGGAAGGGTGTTCACAAAAGTGCTGGGTAGCTGAAGAAAAGCACACAACAAATGTCTTCTGCACTAATACCAAAACGCCCTTCCTGAGAATTGGAATTCCACCTCTTAGGCTGGGTGCATACACAGGAGTTTCGCTGTATTGTTTAGTGATGGATGGTGGTCACCTTTCTTTACAGAATAGAAAATGAATATTCTCAGTAAACTCTTCTAACACACTAATTTTTGTTTATTAATGCCAAGGCTTATTAACCCTCAATAACTCACATATTATGTTCCTAGTTCCTTATAAAAATGAATTCCCATGTAATACACTTGCTTGTAAGAATTGAAGAGAATACACATATTTGAGATGCATTTTTTATTCTTTTAGAAACCCTTAGTTTCTATCACTGGGCCAGGGACTCTGCTTTGAGAATTATAGATTTCAAGAATTGAGGCCGGGCATGGTGGCTCACACCTGTAATCCCAGCACTTTGGGAAGCCGAGGCCGGTAGATCATCTGAGATCAGGAGTTCGAGACCAGCCTGGCCAACATGCCAAAACCCCATCTCTACTAAAAATACAAAAAAAAAAAATTAGCGGGGTGTGGTGGTGCATGCCTGTAATCCCAGCTACTCAGGAGGCTGAGGCAGGAGAATCACTTGAACTTGGGAGGCAGAGGTTGCAGTGAGCCGAGATTGTGCCATTGTACTCCAGCCTGGGCAACAGAGTGACACTCTGTCTCACACACACACACACACACACACACACACACACACACACACACAAAGATTGAGACACTTAATGGCAGGGGCATTTCTAGGGCCCTATTAAGAGATCTCTGGGAACTGTGAAAGACCCAGAAGAAGAAGGCTTGATTCTTGCTGTCAGGGAGCTTTCAGTCCAGCAAGAAGCATTAGGCAATTATCCAGTGACAAAGGTGGATGGCAGGACTAGACAGGGACCATGAGACGAGTTAGTTAACTTGCCCAAGGTCTCAATATATAGGAAAAGCAGCATTTGAACCCGTGTCTGTTGGATTCCAAAGCTGACTTTTGCCACTACCCTGTCCAGCAGGCTGACAAATCAGTGATCAGCTGACTTCCTTGTGTAGAACAGGTGATCCAAAACATGTCCAGATATATCAAACTGAGATTTCTGAAGCCTTTCAGGGTTCACCTCCCATTAAAATAGAGATTTGCCATTCTCAATTGGAGGAAGGCTTTTATAGTTACAAATTGGACTCCTAATCCCATGTGGCCTCACACCGATTAAAGAGTAGTTATTTACTATAGGATTTCAGAAATTAGAGAATTCTACCCAAATAGGCTCTCCAGATGGCTTCCTGGGGGAGGTGGGGTCTGGTGAGAGGAATGGGTAGGATTTGAACAATAGGTAATATGGGGAAATACTGGTCTAGTCAAGTGGCACCATGTAAGGGCAGACATAAAACCTTGAAGGAGAGGCTTAGAGTGCAGTTCTCATTGAGAACTTGCCATACCTCCTGCGTGTTCACGTGTTTCTAGGGTCATGGTTATTAAGGAAGAAAACACAGAATGGGCCCTTGTATGGACTCTATTACCAAGGTACTGTGTGACATTGAAAACAGGGTTAGATTAGGTGACCTGAAAAAATCCTTTTTAGCTCTTGTGAACCTTGAAAACATCATGTTAAGTGAAAGAAGCTAGTCACAAAAGATCACAGTGGTGTATGATTCCATTTGTAGGCAGTGTCCTCAATCGGCAAATCTATACAGACAGAAAGTAAATTCATGGTTTCCTGGGGCTGGGAGGGAATGGGGAGTGGAGTGGAGGGAATAGGGAATAACTGCTAACGAGTAGGGCATTTCTTTTTGGGGTGGTGAAATGTTCTGGAAATAGAGGGTGATCTTTTCAACAAATGGTGCTGGGAAAACTGAATATTCCCATGCAAAAAAATAAAGTTGTCTGAGTATGGTAGCTCACACCTATAATTCCAGCACTTTGGGAGGCCAAGGTGGGTGGATCACTTGAGGTCAGGGGTTCCAGACCAGCCTGACCAACACAGTGAAACCCCATCTCTACTAAAAATACAAGATTAGCCAGGCGTGGTGGTGCACACCTGTAATCCCAGCTACTTGGGAGGCTAAGGCAGGAGAATCACTTGATCCCGGGAGGTGGAGGTTGCATTGAGCTGAGATCACGTCATTGCACTCCAGCCTAGGTGACAGGGAGAGACTCTGTCTCAATAACCAAAAAAAAAAATTAGGTGTACCTGGTGGTATGCACCTGTAGTGCCAGCTACTCAGAAGGCTGAGGTGAGAGGATTGCAGAGCCCAGGCGTTTGAGCCTGTGGTGAGCTATGATTGTGCCACTGCACTCCAGCCTGGGCAACAGAGTGAGACCCTATCTAAAAAAATTAATTAATTAGTTAAATTATACAAAAAAATGAAGCTGGAAGCTTATCTTATACCATATACAAGGTTATTGCAAAATATATCAAGAAGAAATTTTTTGCAAATCATATATCTGATAAGAGGTTAATATCCTGAATATGTGAAGAACTTGTACAACACAGCAACAACGAACAAACAAGCCAATTCAAAAATGGGTAAAGAACTTGAATGGACATTTCTCCAAAGATGATATACAAAAGCCAATAAGCACATGAAAAAGATAGTCAACACAATTAGTCATTGGGGAAATGCAAATCAAAACCACAGTGAGATACCAATTCATACCTACTACACCTACTAGGATGGCTATAATTTAAAGCAAACAAACATAAACCAGGTGTTGGTGAGACCACAGAGAGATTGTAATGGCCAGGTGTGGTGGCTCATGCCTGTAATCCCAGCACTCTGGGAGGCCGAGGCAGGCGGATCATGAAGTCAAGAGATCGAGACCATTCTGGCTAACACGGTGAAACCCTGTCTCTACTAAAAATACAGAAAAAAAAAATTAGCCAGGCATGGTGGCAGGTGCCTGTAGTCCCAGCTATTTGGGAGACTGAGGCAGGAGAATGGCGTGGACCCAGGAGGCAGAGCTTGCAGTGAGCCGAGATCGCGCCACTGCACTCCAGCCTGGGCGACAGAGTGAGACTCCATCTCAAAAAAAAAAAAAAATCCTTTCCAGCTCTGACAGTCTCTGATCCATCCACCCATGCATCCATCTATTTATTTGATTCAACACGTTTTTATTGAATTCCCATCATGCTAAGTGTTAAAAATGGGGTGAGAAAGAAAACAAATATGATCCTTGCCCTTTCCTTGCTTCACATTGTGGGTTTTAAAAAGTAATCATAGCCAAATGTATTGAGTGTTTATTATATCCTGGGCACCAGCACAAGCACTTTGCATCCCTTATCCCCTGCGGTCTTCACACGGTGTACTGAGCTGTGCTCTTCTTGAATAAGGACATTTTCTCAGGGTCATGCAGCCAGGATTTGAACCTGGCCTGTCTTACCTCAAAGCCCATGCAGCTGAGATCCAGCCACCTGGAAATGGGGTCTTCCCTGGAGACCTGAGTGAGGACCGTCTGTCAGGCTGGCTGCTGTGGTAGCATTGAAGGGAGAATTAAACAGGAGGTGGCATGACCCCCTCTAGGGAGGGGTTTGGAAAATAAGGTGCAAGTCAATGGACGTTTGTATAGCCATTTATAGTAATCATTACAAAGCAGGTAAAACTATACTTTTAAAAATGGCTATATAATAGAATTTTGAATACAAAATTGGATTTATAATTGAATTTATAATTGAATTTCTACTATTATATTAAAAATAACCAATGTATTTACTCATTGAACAGGACTATGTACCGGACTCTGTCCTAAGTGGTTTGCATGTATTGTCATCCTATTTAATCTTTCTGACAGCTCCGTGACTTATAGGAAATACTGCTAGTCTTATTTCACAAGCAAAGCAACTGAGGCACAGGGAAGTTCAGTAATGTGAGCAAGATTATACAGTCAGTCATTGGCAAAGCTGGCATTTCAGCTAGTACTTGACTTGGAGCCCAGGCTACAAGTCCACTATAGAACTTGCCCTTCAATTATGTTAAATATACAAAATAGGTGATCATGAAAATTGCTGTAGCCAGGTGGCAGAATTATGTTGACTTCCCATCTCTTTCCCCCCAAATAATTTATTTTTTATTTTCCAAGAATACATCATAATAGTTATGATTCCTAGACCACCAAGGAAAGAAATCACATGTGACTATGACCTTTTTTTGTCTTCTTCTGTCTTCACCATTGTATTTTGCTGTATTTGATTTTGAATTCCCCTATGCACATGCACAAACTGGACAGTGCCATTGGACACGCAGGCAGTGTACTGGGAGACAGTCGTGGTGTGCTCAGAGGTATTGCCACGGCCTGAAGTTCCTCTCTTGGCCGCAGCTGCCCCCACTCTGCTGCAATCTTCTGGGGAGGGTGAGTCCCCTCCTCATCAACACTGAGGCTCTTTGAAAAAAACATTTTTCTAACTCATAAGAGAGTCTGCTGTACCATGGTTAAGAGCAGCATATTAGCATCAGAAAAACATGGATTCAAATCTTGGCTCTGATGGTCTCGATACCTGGGCAAGTGCTTTAGGCCTCTGCTTTGACTTTGGACAATAGAAGTAACAGTACGCAGGGGTGTCCAAGGGAGAGAATGCACTCACGGGTTCTTAATTTCTGTTTCTGGTTAGGCCAGTAAAGACCTTTCCTCATCCGTCTTTTCCACTTATCACTAGAGACAGAAACTAAAACCTATGTCTTCAGGCACTAAAAGCCTAAAACAAAACAAAACAGAACAACAACAAAATAAGGCGAGTTGGACAAGCTTGGCAGAGTTTTTTTGGGAATAGGATGCTGTTTGGATTGGACCAGAGTACCCGGCTCATTGTAGGGTATGGCATGTCAGGATTTATCTGACATCTTTTTTATTAATTTGTGAGGTTATACATTTCTCAAATATTAACCATTTGTATTTCTTCTTTGATGAATTGCCTGCTCATACCACTTCCTCATTTGGCAATTGGCAGTTTGATTTTACGGTATGTTTAAGTCACGGACCAAGAACATTTTGGAAGCATCCAAATGAAAAAAGAGATGTGGAGTGGGGGTCTTTTTCCTTGCAAGTCTAATGCCTTTTTTCCCTCCAAGGAGCATTTTTCATTGGTTAATGCAGCCTCCTCTCTCCCTACAACTGGCCCAGCTTCTTCCCTCAGAAAATTACATCTGCTTTGTAGAGTCAATCTTTAGAATAGCTGATTTCCCTCCTGGATGGCTGCACCCACAGGTCTCACATGCATAATTTCTTTCTCTGCCTATTTAAGTTGCATTCTGTGGGAATGACTGTGTCTGTGACCAGTCTGCTCAGAGAGGCTCTATTTGAGTGTGTGAATACCTAACAAGCGTGCCCTTCTCAGCCCTGTGCAGCCATACAGCCTACCAAAGCGCTGACCTTTCTGAGTAAAGTGCAAAAGCCTAAGGGATTGCTTAGATAAAAGGTGCATTCTTCAGATAGCTGAACCTCTTTTCCCCTCTGGCCTAGCCCCCATCTTGCTGGACTTGGACAGTTCACCTTTTTTTCCATCATGGGGCAGAAGGGACCTGGGCCATAGAAGTTGAGCATTTCTAAATTGCAAAAGGAGCCAAACCTCCCTCCAGTCCCGTGATTCTTGTCAGGAAAGTTCTTGTGGATAAACATGTTTGGTTCAGGAGATGGTCTGTGTGGCTTGGTAGGAGCATGAAGCTGGCTGCTGGTCTTAAACATACGTCTGAGTAAGGCATAGGGGTTGGGGATGCTGGTAACATGGAGGGCTTTTCTTCCATCTGCATCTTAGAGAAATGCTGCGTGCCTCCAGCTGTTCTCTAGCCAGTTTAGAAAGGATAGTCAATGATCATTTGAAGTGTATCAGAGAAGCAGTTTGCTCCGCAGTATATTTTTTCTATACCCTTAGAGTTCAAGGTATACTTTGGATTCTTTTTTTATTCTGATGATTGGTCTGCGTACTCAGCTAACTGGAAAAATACTTTTACCAGTTGAGAAAAGTGATGTTGGTATTCCATAGACTTGCCTACCACCACGTCATCCTGTGTACTTTGCAAAGTCTCCTAACCTCCATCTTGAGCAAGAGTCTCTAGAATCTTCCAAGAAAAGTAAGGAACTTGATCTAGGGCAATGGGAAGAACAGAGAACTTTACCCCAGGACACTCTGCTCTTGGATGACCCAAGAGAAACCACTTAGACTGTCTCTCATTTTCTTCACCTTTACAATGGGGAGATTCATCCCTGGTCTGGCTGCTTCAAGCATTGATGCAAGGATAAATGAGACACAGGACGGAAAGTGCTTTGCAAGTGTACCAGGCTCGATGCAGGCAGCGTTTCAGGGTGACACTCCTTGCCAGCATCAATTTCAGCATGGGTTAGACAGGAACCTGCTCTGGTCTTGGAAGGCACATCCAGACAGTCAGTATCAGTGAAGGTCAGGGCTACATGTGATGTGTCTTACTGTGAGGCTTCATTTCCCAGCACAGCCTCACTTGGTTAGAGCACCAGGAGGCGAAGGAACAAGGTCCCTCTAATCCTTTTACTGAGTCTGCATAAAGGAACCCAGACGCTTTCCTGGCCCCTCCTGGACCATCCCCGCTCCTTTCAGGTCCGGGAGCAGCACAGGGTTTGGAGAGTGTAGAGTCTGGTGCCTGCACCTCACACCTGTCTCTGCTCCTAAGAACTGCAGCAGCTTTGGGCTGTAGGAAGACCCTCCACTGTGCTTGCCCGGGACACTCTGAAACCTTGCTCCTCTGGCAGCTGCCTGCTCCCTGGCTCCTGCACCCCGCCTCTCGGAGTCTCTGGTCTGCGCTGCAGTTAGAAACCCTGCCTGGAAGTGGATCCACTGAACAGTAATTTGGTCGTCACAGCAGGTACTTCCTTGCTTTTTCATTCCTGCCAGAACTGGGTGTGTTTTGGTGCTCTAGGGCAGCAGATTGGTAGAGCAGCAGGAATAAGGAGCTGCCAGTCCAGCCCCAGGAATTTACTGGTCATTGTTCCTGTCTCGGCTCTGCCCCGACAGATTTCCGTTTGTTTAATGATCAGAGGCTTCATGTGGTCCTGGGGCCCCAGGAGGGGGTAGGGAAGGATGTTTCTAAAGCGGAGCCAGGAAGAAAGTGATGCACTACTGAAGGGTTTCAACTCTAAGGAGGCTACGTCCTCATTAGGAACAAATTCATTAATGAGCCACATCAGCTGCAGGGAGGAAGAAGCTCATAATTAATTATAGCTGCTCAGATGAGCTGCCAGATTCGGAGGAGTCAAGAAGGAAGATTGTGTGTTGTTTGGATGTCTCTAGATGTGTTCCTCGGAAGCGATGGCAGCTCTGGGAACTAACTTTCTAGTTAAGGATTTGAGCGTTCTTCCTCTTTCTGCAAGATCCAGTCTTAGTTTATTGAGCAGTGAATTCGTTTCTGACCCCACTCACCTATTCCCGGGAGCAAAAAGGAAGTCAGTATTTGCTTTTCCAGCAAGGTCAGGGATTACCTGACCAAGTCCTTTAACAGCTGCGAAACAGACACAGCTGTGCTGAAGGCACGAGCTATCAGCTCCGGCCCTGCAGCCGAAACCTGGCTTTCTGGGAAGGAGACGAGTCCTCCCTGCTGTGGGCTATGCAGCAGGAGGATGCAAGGGAAGGTAATGTGGGCACAGCGTTCCTCCCGACTGTTTTCTCTTCTTCGTGAAGCTCCAGATTCAGCTGCTGCAATGCAGGCGAAAATGACACACACTTGCAAAAAACGTGGGAATGGAGTTAATGAGATTGTGTTAATGTGTCATTTATTGAGCAGGACTCATCTCTGTTTGCCAGGTCGGCAGGAGGTGAGCCCGCTGGAGAACTCAGTTGGCAGAATCTTTCTCAGTGCTTCTCACCTCCTCTGGTGTCCCGGCTTCGGCCCTCTCAATGTTTAGAAGCAGCGGTCAGATGCCTCCTGCTTCTTGGCACAGGGAATATTTGCACTTGAAAGGCTGGGGTCCTGGGATGGGGAAAGAGGAAGCTCTCATCATCTTGGCATGATCAGTCCAAGGTACAGGTGATTTTTTTTTTTTTCTTATGGAAAGAGTGCTTTGTCTTTGCAAGGGATCATGCAGGGATTGGCAGGGTTGTTGTTTGGTGAACTACCTTGCTAAATACTTGACTTTGTAAGGTTGAATTCTCCAAGAATTCTCGTGGCAATGAGGCTGAGACTTGAGCCAAGCTGTCTTTTCAAGGAAATCCAAGGTGCTATTTATTTTGGCATGCAGCCTGCTCTGGGATGAAATACCACATTTTTATTATTGCAGAATAAAAAGAGGTTTGAAGAGAACAAAAGTACAGAACCAGGTTTGTTTCAAGACTAAGTAAGGGAAGGTCTCTTTATATTTGGATTTGAGGTTAGAAATGAGCTTGAAAATGGCATCATAAAAGGCGTAAGTGTGGAGAGGAGAGGGTGCGGATAAATGCTGCAGGAGTTGGGCTTACCTGGGGAAACCCATGTTCCTGGGCACTGAGGGTGGACCCAGCTGGAATGGTTTCCAGTCTGGCCTGGTAGCTGCACGTGGACTATCATCGCTGTCTGCCAAGTGACCACTTCTTTGCTGGATTTTTGAATGGTCAGCCTTGGTCCTCACCTCCTTACCGCCCCATAGGCTTGGAAAGGCACTGTGGAATGATGGAGTCACACAAGCTATCCTGCTCCTAATTAACTGGAGAACTTTGGATTAGCCACATGGACTCTTTGTGCCTTAGTTTCCTCGTTTGTAACTTGGACATGTTCCTGTTTCCTAGGATTGCTTGTATGAGGATGAAATGAGAAAGTATACCCAGTAGCTGATTCCCAGTGTAAGTGCTTAGCTCTTGTTAGTTTCTTTCCATGGGTTCCCTTTGAAGACAGACAATTTTGTTCCTTTTATTTTGTTCATCTAAGAACCATGGACTGAGTGTCTGCCGTGAGTTAGACATGAGGAGTTGGGGGTGACATGGGAATAAGACTTGCAATAATTCTGACCTTCACAAGCTTACAGATTAGTAGGGGAGAAGAGCTAGAGAGAAAGCAAGCTATGTATGCCCAAAACATCTAGAATATGATGAGCTATGGAGAGAGGTTGGGCCCTAACTCTGGATCCTTGATCCTGGCATAGGACAAAAACAAATGAAAAGTAACGTAATAACACCAGGTATTTAAAGGTTCTGAACAGTGGGGATACAACTTAACAGAATGGGTAAGAAATGGCTTTATGATCAGGTGCCGTGGCTCACCCCTGTAATCCCAGCACTTTGGGAGGCCAAGGTGGGCGGATCACCTGAAGTCAGGAGTTCAAGGCCAGCCTGGCCAACATAGTGAAACCCCATCTCTACTAAAAATACAAAAATTAGCTGGGCATGGTAGCGCGCGCGACCGTAATCCCAGCTACTCGGGAGGCTGAGGCAGGAGAATGGCTTGAACCCAGGAGGCGGAGATTGCAGTGAGCTGAGATCAAAAGAAATGGCTTTATGTCAAAGCTTTAAATGCTCCAGAGAGTTGCAAAATTCCATTTTAAAGGGGAACTGTGTCCCATAAAGCTATTTTCATATTCTGTTTTATTGCAAACAAGGTAGCATGCATATGTTGATGTGGCAGTTATTTTTACCTAACCTAACCACACTGAGCATTGCCCACTGGAAGGAAACTCCCTTAGCTAAGCTCCACGATGTCTGTTGCTAGGACCATGGAGGAAAGTGCGGAAGGCTGGGGGTGGGAGTCGGGGCTGGAAGTGGTGACTTGTGCACACGACAGATCCCTCCTTCCTTCCTTCCTGTATTATGAGCCCTTTAGAGTAAAAAGTTGCCGAGAAACCCCTCCTTTGAGAGTTGGGTGTCAGCTCCACTTAATTTCTGTAGCCTTGAAATGATTAATTTTACTGAAATCCAAGTCTAAGAGAAATCCAAGTCTAAGAGAAATCTTCGAGGTCTCTACAGAGTTCTTTTTAATGAAATTTGACCTAATGTGTGCTGAATAATTCTTTAAAATCATATGATCTGATATACGATGGGCTGAATTCCTAATTCTAACCAAAGGCTAGGCGTGTGATTGAAAAGTCCCTAGGCTGATGATGAGAGTTTGTGAAGCCAAAAGTCCAGCTGTACCCAAGTGGCCCCCTCCTCTGCAGTAGGAGCTTCTCCAGCCTTGGAGAAGCAGAGCTCTCCTTTGGCTCAGGAGGCTTTACAAGAGAGCAGTTCTCCTCTAAGCCCAGAGGCTTTTTGTGTTTACTGTGGGAGAGGCAGAGAAGCACCAGTCAGAAGCATTTCCCCTCACAGGGGGAATTAAAGATCAGTCATAGTGTCAGGGAACCCGGCTGACTTACAGGGTGGACAAAGGCTTACAAATCACTTTTGTTCCCAACCCAGGCTTGGAGTCGGCTAGACTTGAGGGCACATCCTGCTACAACACTTGCTTGTTATGTGACATGGATCAGCCCTGTCAACTCTCTCAGCCTCAGTCTCCCTCCCTTAAAAATAGGAATAATAATAATCCTCTTTGGGTGATGGTGTAAAGATTGCATGAGATAATTCATGAATGTCAAGTACTCCCAGCTCTGCCCGTTGCTTAGTAATGTTACAGGGGTGGGAGGGAGAGGGGAGCAGGAGCAGGAGAGGCTGCGATGGTGGAGATGAAGGGTCAAGCTTAGGGTTTGCCACCTCACTCTTTTCTTCTGCAGGCTTCACCTGCCACTGCCTCCTGCATGCCAGCATCGCCTGCTGCAGACTGCAGAGCTGGGGTGGTGAGAGAGGCAGCGGTGTTCTCTGCCTGGGAGCCTTCTCTTTATAACAAGGGCAAGCCTGCCTCACCCCAGGTTAGAACCTTCCACACCTCTCCACCGTCTGCCTCCTTGGCGGCCACTCTCAGCCTCTGCAAGACCACCTACACTCTCAGCTCCCTTGTCTCTAACTTCTCTAGCTCTTTGTTTTCAACAAACCAGGATGTGCTGGTGCACTGCCTGCTGCCTCAGAGGTAAGCAAGGTACTCAGTGTGCCAATCCTTCTGCAAGGATTGTCTCTGCTTCTAGAAAACATGCCTGCCCTTTGGGGCTCCATCCACCTGGATAGGGCAAGGCCTGTCTGGCAGCTGCTTGGCAAACGGGCTGGAGGAGATGAGGCAGAAGCAGCACTCGCAGGAAGAAGTGATGCTAAACTTTCTGGTGGCAAACTTTGGCATTTCTCTCTTATTTGACAGGCCTCATCTTTTCCAGCCCTCTTCTCCAGTTACTTGTTTGTCCCCTTTTTTCCATCCTTGGTTTCTGGGGGCCACCCATCATCCTTTTCTTTCACTCTCAGTTTCTCCCAGTCCTTCCCTCATCACTGGTTCACTTTCCTGGTCTGGAGTTCATTGTCAAGCACATTGGAATTCCTAAAACAACCCTGCTTCCACTGCTGCGGTGTCACAGATAATTCATTATTCTGATGTATGTGGAGTTACAATCATAAAAAGCCAATTTCCTGGGTGATTCATTGTAATGGGGGCAGGAGCTAGGATGTTTACCATTTGAAGAAAGAGTCCTGGAAATGGATTAAAACTTTGGGGAGAATTTATGGTCAAACCTCAAGGCACACTAATTCAGAGCCAGGGCAATATTCTGCTTGAATAGTTACCCATGTCTTCGGGCCACCCAGGTTGAACTTCCCCTTGTTCTGCCCATGGTTAGAAATTACCTCTAAGTAGCAGCTCCCTGTCAGTACTTGCAATTATGTCATCTCTGTCTTCTGTTTGATTGACATGTCACACATCATTTATAGGTACTCTGATTCCAGCTTTTTCGCAAAGTGGATTATAAGTCCCTTCCCAGGATGGGGATAGGTAGATTTCAACTCTTGAGATTATGGCAAGAGCCCTGTGCTGGTATCAGAAGCCTGGGTCTGATACTAGCACCTTCACGAATAGTCTGAGACACCTTAGAGCAATTAACTCCTCAGCCTCAGTTTCCTCATCTGCCAAGCAAGACCGCTGGACCAAATACTTCCACTTCTTTTCATGTCAACTATTGCTAATATTCCATGAAGAAACACCCAGAATTGGGCTCTAGAAATGTGTACAGGTTTTTAATCTTCCTCCTTGGAGGGCTGTGAGCTCATGGGCACCCTGGGAGAAAGGCAGGGATGGATGTTACTTTGTTTAGTGCTGTGTTTCCCCAATACTTATTCAAACGCTAATGAGACTCACCACTTCTGTATCCTCCTTTCTTTCAGAACCTTCAACAAGTTTTACAGACTCATTGGATGAAGAGTGCCTGAGACACTGAGGGTCAGCGCTCCAAAGATGGAGAAGACAGATGGTAGGCAAGCTGCTTTGTAGGGCCTGGTTTAAGATAAGCACTTGGGCTGGGAAAGAATTGTTGCCACAAATCCTGGAAATAGCCTAGGAAAGGCCTGCAGGAGATATCCCTCAAACAGGCAGTGCTGGTAGGCTCAAGCATGTATTTCAGATTTTGTGTATCTCCAGCCCTAGCCTAGGAAAGAGGCACAATATGGTAAGCCTCCATTTATACCTAAGTGATTCTACAAGTCATTTAATGTCTTTGATCCTCAATCCTCACATGTATCAGTTAGCTTTGCTGTGTAACAAACAGCCCAACAATTTAGTCACTTAAAGATGTTAATTATTTCTCAAAAGATTCTGTGTGTTAGCAGGGCCATTATTCTGGTTTGGGCTGGCATGGATGATCTTTTCTGGGTTCATTCACATGTCCATGGGCTTCTGGGTGACTTGGCTGGGA